>NC_000001.11:67735653-68038683 GCF_000001405.40 Homo sapiens | reverse complement strand
AAGATGAATTCCAAGGTGTTGGAATTATCTGAAGATAATTTTAAAGCAGCAATTATGAATTCTCTTTAACAAATAAAAAAAGAGAAAATCTTAACAAAGAAGTAGAAGTTATAAAAAGAATCAAATGGAAACTATAACACTGAAAAGTACAATAACCAAAATAAAAATCTTGCTAGATGGACTTAATAGTAGAGTGGAGATGACAGAGAAAATACCATCAGTGAACTTGAGGACAGATGAATATAATTTACCCAATCTGAGCAAGAGAGAGAAAGTAGAACAAAGAAAATTAACAGTGTCACAAGCGCCAACATTCATATTACCAGAGTCCCAGAAAGAGAGAAGAAAGAGAGAGGAGCAATTTACAGGGGAATACAGCTGCTGTCAAGGTGGAGGTGGGTAATGGAGGGGCACTGGATTCATTACACTTTCTTTTCCCCATACTGCTGCTCACTGCCCCCATCCCCTATTTTTACTACACTCTGCCTGGATTTTTCCTTCTCTTAATAAAGTCATATATTAAAATTCAAGGCATTCTTCAGGACTCAACAAATGCCAAATCTGTTGAAAGCCTTCCTTGCTTTCCTTAATGGAACTTGGTAGCACCTCTCTCACCACATGCCTCTAACTTACATTGAACTTTAGCTTGGACCTGGCTCAATGCTGAAGCTTAAAACAATGTCTTTTGACTAATAATCCAGTGTTGTTTTTGCCCCTACATCAGACTAACCCTCTAAGAATTATAAGACTTATTCCTCGCCTTCAAGTAGCATCATCAATCAGGAGTCAAAAGATTCACATTTCATATTTTACTCCTAACTTTACAATTTTTTAGCTTCAAGTCAGAACAAATCATTTCTCTCAGACTCAATTTCCTCATCTTTATAATGGAGGATAAAAAGTTCTTCTCTGTCTGCCACATCAAGTGACTAGGAAAATGGAATAGAATTTGCATGTGAAAATACTTTGTAAAGTATAAGAAAAGTGCAAGTAAATAATTTTAAATCAGGTTAGGTGAAAGAAAGAAGTGTTATTTACATTTATGGATGTGACAAGTTTCTACTTGCAGACTTTATGAAAGTTGGCAATTCTGAGTTGAGATTTTGGCCAGAGCCCTAACATTTTTGCACAGGAGTTGATAATAACTTCACAGCATGTTCTCCCCTTTCCACATTTGTTAAATTTCTATTACATTTCAGAATGTTTTCTGAAGATCAAACATTTTATAGTTAAGGTGTGCTTATGCCTCTTATTAAAACATTATCTCCAGAGTTATTTCCAAATTTTTTATGGTAACATCTTGAATAACTGTAGTACAATATCACAACCCAGAAACTGACATGAATACAACCTATCAATCTTATTCAGATTATCACCAGTTTTATATATCCTTGTGCTTGTATGTGTATGTGCATGTATTTAGTTCTATGCAATTTATCATATGTCGCAATTTATGTAATTACCACCACAGTTAAGATACAGAAGGATTTCTTGTGCTACTCTTTTGTAATCACACTCTTATCCCTCCCCCTGCACTTTGAGCCCTAAACACTGGCAACTATTAATCAGTTCTAGTATATCTATAATTTTGTCATATCAAGAAGGTTATATAAATGGAATCATGACGTATGTAAGCTTGTGGGATTGGTTTTTTTTTTACTCAGCATAATTCCCTTGAGATTCCCTCAAGTTGTGTGTATCAATAGTTCATTCCTCATTATTGCTGAATGATGTGGATGTGCTGTCGTTTGTTTAATCATTCATCCATTGAAGGACATCTGGATTGTTTTCAGTTTTGGCTACTACAAATAATACTGCTATAAGTGTCCACATGCAGATTTTTGTGAGAAAATAATATTCATTTCTCTGGAATAAGTGCCCAAGAGAACAGTTGCTGGGTCATATGGTGGTTGCATGTTTAGTTTTATAACAAACTGCCAAATGTTTTCCAGAATAGCTAAATCATTTTACTTTCCCACAAGCAATGTGTAGGTGATCTAATTTCTTTGCATTGTGATGACCAGCATTTGGTGTTGTAATTATTTTTTTTAAATTTTAGCTATTTTGATAATTGTGTAGTTATGTCTTATTGTGTTTCAATTTTTGTTTCCCTAATGGCTAATAAAGATGAACATCTTTTCACATGCTTATTTATCATCTGTATATATCCTCTTTAATAAAATGCTTATTTAGGGGTTTTGCCCATTTTCTAATTGGATTGCTTGTTTTTTATTTCTGAGTTTTTAGAATTCATTAAACACTCTATATTTTATTCCTTTTTCAGATACCTGATGTTCAAATGTCTTCTAGTTTGTAGGTTCTGTTTCTGTTTTCATTCTTTAACAGGGTCTTTCACAGAAGTTTTAAATTTGATGAAGTCCAACTTATCAAATTTTTCTTTAAGGATTAGGCTTTTGGTGTCAAGTCTAAGAACTTTTCACTTAGATTTTGAAGATTTTCTCCTATTTCTTGTTAAGATTTATAGTTTATGCTTTATATTTAAGTGGATGATCCATGTTAAGTTAATTTTATATAAGGTGTGAGGTTTAGGTTGAGTTTTTTTTTTTGAGTTTTTTTTTTTTAAGTTTTTTTTTGCCTGTGGATGTTTAATTGTTCCCAAACCATTTATTTAAAAGACTATTGTATTAGTCCATTCTCACATAGCAATAAAGAACTACCTGAGACTGGGTAGTTTATAAAGAAAAGAGGTTTAATTAACTCACAGTTCTGCAGACTGTACAGGATGCATGGCTGGTGTGGCCTTGGGAAACTTACAATCAAGGCAGAAGGCAAAGGGAAAGCAGGCACATCTTCACATGGTGACAGGAGACAGAGAGAGAATAAAGGGGGAAGTGCCACACACTTTTAAACCATCAGATCTCGTGAGAACTCACTCCCTGTTATGAGAACAGCAAGGGGGAAATCTGCCCCCATGATCCAATCACCTCCTACTAGGTCCCTCCCCAAGCACTGGGAATGACAATTCAAGATGCGATTTGAATCTCATCTTGAAATGTAAATCCTCATAATCTCCATGTGTCAAGGGGGAGCCCAGGTAGAGGTAATTGAATCATGGGGGTGGTTTCCCCCATGCTGTTCCCATGACAGTGAGTGAGTTCTCATGAGATCTGACGGTTTTATAAGGGCCTCCTCCCCATTCACTCGGCACTTCTCCTTCCTACTGCTTTATGAAGAAGGTGCCTTGCTTCCCGTTCACCTTCTGCCATGATTGTAAGTTTTCTGAGGCCTCCCCAGCCATGCTGAACTGTGAGTCAATTAAACCTTTTTCTTTTGTAAATTACCCAGTCTTCGGCTGCTTTTTTTTATAGCAGTATGAAAACAGACTAATACACATATCAACTATCTTCCCTACAGTGAACTGCTTTTGCACCTAGTGCATGCTTTTGCACAGTTAATTGAACATAATTGTGTGTGTCTATTTCTGAGTTCTCTGTTCTGTACCATTGATCTATGTGTCTATCTCTCCACCAATTTGACATTGTCTTGATTATTTAGCTTATATAGTAAGCCTTAATATTAGGTAGAGTTATTTCTGCCACTTTTTTGGGAGGCTGAATAATGGCCCTAAAACTATCCAGGTCCTAATACCTGAAACCTGTGAATGTTCCTTATACAGTTGGCCCTTACATAACATTAGTTTGAACAGTCTGGGTCCACTTATAGGTGGATTTTTCAAGATAAACATATTGAAAAAATTAGGGGGGTTTCTGAAAACTTGAAAAAAATTGAAGATGAACCACACAGCCTAGAAATATCAAAAAAAATTAAGAAACAGGCATGTACTAAATGCATAAAACATATAAATGCTAGTCTATTTGATTATTTGCTATAATAAAATATACACAAATTTATTATAAAAAGTTAAAATTTATCAAAATCTATACAAACAGACAACTTACAGTTGAGAGAAATGTAAACAAACATGAAGATAGAGTTGATATGGTTTGGCTCTGTGTTCTCATCCATATCTCATCTTAAATTGTACTCCCATAATTCCCATGTGTTGTGGCAGGTACCTGGTGAGAGAGAATTTGAATCATGGTGGCGGTTTCTCCCATACTGTTCTCTTGGTAGTGAATAAGTCTCACAAGATCTGATGGTTTTATCAGGGGATTCCACTTTTGCATCTTCCTCATTTTCTCTTACCGCCACCATGTAAGAAGTGCTTTTTGCCTCCCACCATGATTCTGAGGCCTCCCCAGCCATGTGGGACAGTAAGTCCAATTAAACTTCTTTTTTTCCCCCAGTCTCCAGTATGTCTTTATCAGCGGCATGAAAATGGACTAATACAACAGTATTCAATCGTAACAGCATGAAATTAACTATAGTACATATTACTTTAATAATTTTGTGGCCACTTCCTGTTGCTATTGTTGTGAGTTCAAGTGTTGCACCCATCCACTTAAAGTGCTGATGATGCTAAGCATCTCCATGTGAGCAGTTTGTGTCTTTCCAGTAAATTGCCTATCACAGTAAAAAGTGATCTCTTGTGGTTCTCATGTATTTTTTATCATGTTTGGTGCAATACCATAAATAACACCATGGGAACTATATGAAGTGTCACTAGTGATGCTGGAAGAACTCCTAAGAAGCAGGGAAAAGTCTTGACATTACAAAAAAAAAAGTTGAATTGTTAGATATGTACCATAGCTTGAGGGCTGCAACTGAGACCTCAATCTGCCATTTCAAGATAAATAAATCCAGCATAAATAAATCTGTTGTAAACAAAGAAAAGTACACTTGTGAAGCTATTGCTTCAAGTGTGAAAACCTGTACTTTCTGTAAAACATCTTTCTCATATTGAAAATCCAATTTTTATGTGGGTGCAGGATTGCTATAAGAAAGGCATACTTATAGACTCTAATGTGATTCGAGAAATAGTAAAGTCATTATATGAAAACTTTAAGGAAAAAGAAGATGAAGGATCTAAAGTTGGAGAATTTCATGCCAGCAAAGAACAATTTGATAATTTTAGAAAGAGATTTGGCTCTAAAAATGTTAAGGTTACAGGAGAAGAAACTCCTGCTGACCAAGAGGCAGCAGACAAGTTTCTAGATGCCATTAAAAGAAGAGAAAGGAAATTTGCCTGAACAACTTTTCAGTGTAGACAGAAGTGTTCTATTCTGGAGGAAAAAAATGCTGCAGAGGATATTTATTAGTAAGGAAAAGAAGTGAACACCAGGATTTTTGGCAGGAAGGGATGAGCTAACCCTACTGCTTTGTGGAAATGCAGTTGCGTTTATGATAATGACTGTTCTTCTCTATAAAGCTGCTAACCTCCAAGCCTTGAAAGTAAAAGATAAACACCAGTTGCCAGTTTTTTTATTGTTGTACAGCAAGAAGGCCTGGACAACAAAGGCCCTTTTTCTGTATTGGTTCCATTGATGCTTTGTCCTTGAAATCAACAAGTCCCTTACCAGTTAAAAACTGCCTTTTAAAGTTATTTTAATACTGGACAATGCCCTTGGCCACCAGAACCCCATGAGTTCAACACTGAAAGTTGTGAAATGGTCTCCTTGCCTCCCAAACACAACACCCCTAACTCATTCTTCAAAAGATGGGTCATGAGGACCTTTAAGGCTGATTATACATGGTACGCTATGGAAAGGACTGTCAACTCTATGGAGGAAAACCCCAATAGAGAGAACATCATGAAACTCTGGAAAGATTACACCATTAAACATGCCATCATTGTTACAGAAAAAGCCATGAATGTCATCAAATCCAAAGTGATAAATTCCTGTTGGAGAAAACTGTGTCCAGATGTTGTGCATGACTTCACAGGATTTACAACAGAGCCAGTGAACGGAATCTGAAACAGATTGTGGATACGGTTAAAAAGGTAGAGGACGAAGAATTTCAAGATACGGATCTTGGTGAAATTCAAGATCTAATAGACACTACACTAGAGGGATTAACAGATGATGACTTGATGAGTGCTTCTGAACTGGTGCCAGATTATGAGGAAGAAGATGTAGAAGAAGCAGTGCCAGAAAACAAATTGACATTAAACAATCTTCCACAACAGTTCTGATTATTCAAGACCTCTTTTGATACTTTTTTTGGTGATGTAGATCCTTCTAATGGGCATTAAAACTAAAGCAAATGGTGAAAGAAGGATTGGTATTATAGAAGCATTTCTAGAGAAATGAAAAAGCAAAAAAGTCAGGAAGAAATTATGTTGTATTTCTGCAAAGTTACCAGAGAAATAAAAAAGCAAAAAAGTCAGGCAGAAATTATGTTGTATTTCTACAAAGTTACACTGACTGTGCCTGCCTCTCCTGCCCCTTGCCTCCCCTTCCACCTCCTCTTGTTTTTCCACCTCTGACACCCCTGAGACAGCAAGTGCAACTTCTCCTTTTCTTCCCCTGAGACAGCAAGTCCAAATGCTCCTTTTCTTCTTCCTCCTCAGCCTGCTTAGCATGAAGATAATTAGGATGAAAACCTTTGTGTTGATCCACTTCCACTTAATTAATAGTAAATATATTTTCTCTTTTAAATAATTTTCTTAATGACATTTTCTTTTTTCTAGTTTATTGTAAGAATAAAATATATAAAAATGTACAAAATATGTGTTAATCAACTATTCATGTTATCAGTAAGGCCTCCATCAAGAGTAGGCTATTAGTAGTTAAGTTTTGGGGGAGTCAAAAGTTACATGCAGGTGTATTCCTAAGTATTTTCATTTGTTTATTTGTTTTTGCAGCTATCATAAAAGAAGTTGAGTTCTTGATTTAATTCTCAGCTTGGTTGCTATTGGTGTATTGCAGTGCTACTGATTTGTGTACATTAATTTTGTATCCTAAAATTTTGCTGAATTCATTATCAGTTTTAGGAGGTTTTTGGATGAATCTTTAGTGTTTTCTAGATATATGATCATATCATCAGCAAACAGCAACAGTTTGACTTCCTCTTTACTGATTTGGATGCCTTTTATTTCTTTCTCTTGTCTGATTGCTCTGGCTAGGACTTCCAATACTATGTTGAATAGAAGTAGTGAGAGTGGTCATCCTTGTCTTGTTCCAGTTCTCAGGGAGAATGCTTTCAACTTTTCCACATTTAGTATAATGTTGGCTGTGGGTTTGTCATAGATGACTTTTATTACCTTAAGGTATGTTCCTTCTATGCCAATTTTGCTGAGGGTTTTAGTCATAAAGGGATGCTGGATTTTGTCAAATGTGCTTTTTCTGTGTCTATTGAAATAATCATGTGATTTTTGTTTTTAGTTCTGTTTGTGTGGTGTATCATATTTATTGACTTTATATGTTCCATCCCTGAATCCCTGAAAGGCCTCTACAAGGAAAACTACAAAACACTGCTGAAAGAAATTATAGGTGACATAAACAAATGGAATCACATCCCATGCTCATGGATGGGTAGAATAACTATTGTGAAAATGACCATACTGCCAAAAGCAATCTACAGATTCAAGGCAATTCCCATCAAAATACCACCGTCATTCTTCATAGAACTAGAAAAAACAATCCTAAAAATCATTTGGAACCAAAAAAGATACCACATACCCAAAGCAAGACTAAGCAAAAAGAACAAATCTGGAGGCATCACACTGCCTTACTTCAAACTATACTATAAGGCCATAGTCACCAAAATAGCATGGTACTGGTATAAAAACAAGCACATAGACCAATGGAACAGTATACAGAACCAAGAAATCAAGCCAAATACTTCCAGCCAACTGATCTTCAACAAAGCAAATAAAAACATAAAATGGGGAAAGGACATCTTATTCAACAAATAGTGCTCAGCTCCTTGGTAAACCACACATAGAAGAATGAAACTTGATCCTTATCTCTCACCTTATACAAAAATCAACTCAAGACAGATCAAAGACTTAAATCTAAGACCTGAAACCATAAAAATTAATTATAGAAGATAACATTGGAAAAACCTTTCTAGACATTGGCTATATGCATATATTTCCTGACCAAGAACCCAAAAGCAAATGCATCAAAACAAAGATAAATAGATGAGACTTAATTAAACTAAAAAGCTTCTGCAAAAAACGGAAATAATCAGCAGAGCAAACAGACAACCCACAGAGTGGGGGAAAATCTTCACAAACTGTGCTCCTGACAAAGGACTAATATGCAGAATCTACAAGAAACTCAAACAAACCAGCAAGAAAAAAACAAACAATCTTATCAAAAAGTGGGCTAAGGATATGAATAGACATATCTTCAAAAGAAGATATACAAATGGCCAACAAACTTATGAAAAAATGCTCAACATCACTGATAATCAGGGAAATGCAAATTAAAACCACAATGCAATACCTCCTTACTCTGCAAGAATGACTATAATATAAAAAATAATAAAATAATAGATGTTGGCGTAGATGTGGTGAAAAGGGAACACTTTAATGCTGCTGGTGGGAATGTAAACTAGTACAACCACTGGGAAAAACAGTGTGAAGATTCCTTAAAGACTAAAAGTAGATCTACCATTTGAACCACCAATCCCACTACTGGGTATCCACTCAGAGGAAAATAAATCATTACACAAAAAAGATACTTGCATACGCATGTTTGTAGCAGCACAATTCACAATTGCAAAAATATGGAACCAGCCCAAATGCCCATCAGTCAACAAGTGGATAAAGAAAATGTGGTACATATATACCATGAAATACTACTCATCCATAAAAAGGAATGAAATAATGGCATTTGCAGCAATCTGGATGAAATTGAAGACCATTATTCTAAGTGAAGTAATTCAGGAATGGAAAATCAAACCTTGTATGTTCTCACTCATAAGTGGGAGCTAAGCTATGAGGATGCAAAGGCATAAGAATAATACAGTGGACTTTGGGAACGCAGAGGAAAGTGTGGAAGGGGGGTGAGGGATAAAGGTGTACAAGTACAATGTACACTGCTTGAGTGATGGCTGCACCAAAATCTCAGAAATCATCACTAAAGAACTTATCTATGTAACCAAACACCCAAAAACTACTGAAATAATTTAAAAAATGTTATATGCAGATTTTCTATTGCGCAAGGTGCCAGCATCACTAGTCCTCACATTGTTCAAGCATCAACTATATAGGAGAAGGGACTTTGCAGAGGGGATTAAGGATCTTGAGAGATGGGACAATTATTCTTTATTATCTGTGTGGGTCGTAAATGAATTATATATGTCCGTATACAAGGGAGGCAAAGGAAGATTTTACTACAGAAGAGGAGAAGGCAGTATGACTATGAAAGTGGAATTGGAGTAATGCACCCATGAGCCAATGAGGCCAGCAGCATCTAGAAGCTGGAAGAAGCATGAAAAAGATTATCTCCTGGGGCCTCCAGAAGTAACCATTGCTGTCACACCTGGACTTTAGTCCAGTGAAACAGAATTTGGATTTCTGGCCTCCAGAACTGTAAGATAATAAATGTGCATTGTTTTAAGTCACCAAGTTTGGGTTAACTTATTATATCAGTCACAGGAAACTAACACAAAATTTCTTCTTTTTTCAAGATTGTTTGAACTATTCTAGGTTTTGTGTTTGTCCATATAAATTTTAGAGCAGTTCATCTATATTTCCAAAAAATCTTGCTGGGATTTTGATGGGAATTACATTAAATCTATAGCTCATTTCTGAGAGAACTGACATCTTTACTACATTAAGTGTTCCGATCCATGAGCATAATATGTCGTGTCACTTATTTAGGTCATCTATAATTTCTTTCATAAGCATTTTGTAACTCAGTATACAAATCCTGCATGTCTTTTATTGTGTTTATAATTATTTCATTTTCTTTAGAGCAATTGTAAATAGTACTGTGTTTTAAATTTTGGCTTCCAGATTTTTGTTGTTAGTATATAGAAATACAATTGATTCTTGTGTGTTGATGTTACATCCTGCGGCGGTTGCTAAACTCAGTGATGTGGTTTGGCTATGTCCCCACCCAATCTCATCTTGAATTGTAGTTCCCATAATCTCCACATGTTGTGGGAGGGACCTGGTGAGAGGTAATTGAATCATGGGGGCAGTTATCCCCATGCTGTTCTTGTAATAGTGAGTGAGGTCTCACGAGATCTGATTATTTTATAAGGGGCTTTTCCCCCTTTGCTAGGCACTTCCCTCTCCTGCCATCATATGAAAAAGGATGTGTTTGCTTCCCCTTCCACTATGATTGTAAGTTTCCTGAGGCCTTCCCAGCCATGCAAAACTGTGAGTCAATTAAACCTCTTTCCTTTATGTTACCCAGTCTTGGGAAGTTCTTTATAGCAGCATGAGCATGGACTAATATACTTAGTTATTAGTGTTAGGATGTTTTTTGGAATTTTCTACATAGAGAGTCATATTATGTAGAAATAGTAGCAGTTTAATTTCTTTCCTAATTATTGTGACTTATTTTTTGGCTTTATTTTGGTAGGTAAAAATTCCAGAATTATGATGACTAGGAATGGTGACAGTAGACATTCTTGTCTTAGCCCTGATCTTAGGTGGAAAGCATTCAATCTTTAACCATTATGTGTGATGTTAGCTGCAGTGTTTTTGTAGATGCCCTTTATCATGTTGAGGTAGTTCTCCTTCATTACTAATTTGCTGAATGTCAGACTTTATAAAGTGCTTTTTCTGCTTCAATTGATATAATCATGTTGTCCTTCCTTAGCCTGTTAATGCAGTGAATTACATTATTGATTTTTAAGTGTTGAACCAACCATGTATAGCTGGAATAAATCCTACTTGTTAACAGAGTATAATTCTCTTCATATATTACTGGATTCCATTTCCTAATATTTTGTTGAAGATTTATGTCTAAGTTCATGAGATACACTGGAGATACTGCGTCAGAGTTTTTTGAGGTTTTTTTGGTACTCTTTTTGTCTGGTCGTGGCATCAGGATAATACTGGCCTTATGTAAAATGACTTAGGAAGTGTTTCCTCTTTTTCCATTTTTTGGAGTAGACTGTGTAAAATTGTGTTAAATCTTCTTTAAATATTTGGTAGTATTCTCTGGGGAAATCATTTAGGCCTGCAGATTTATTTTGAGGGAAATTTTAAATTATGAATTCAATGTATTTAATGGTTTAGGACCATTCATATGTTTCATCTTAGATGATTTTTGGCAGTATGTGTCTTTTGAGAAATTTGTATGTTTCTTCTAAGTTGTTGAATTTAAGCATAAACTGTGTATATTATTCCTTTACTATCCTTTTAATCACTATAGGGTCTGTAGTGATAAGCCATTTTTTATTTTTAATATTGATGATTTGTGTATTTTTTCTTTTTATCTTTGTCATTATTATAGGTTTATATATTTTATTGAATTTTTTGAAGAACTACCTATTGGTTTAATTATGTTCTTATTTTCAATTTCTTCGATTTCTGCTCATTATTATTTCCTTCCTTAAACTTGCTTTCAGTTTCTATTATTCTTTTTCTAATTTATCGAGGTAAAAATATAAATTTTTGATTTGAGACTTTTATTTTAATGTAAGCATTTGGTGCTATAAAATTTTCTCTCAGCAATGTTATAGGTGCATCTTACATATTTTGATATATATTATATTTTCAATTTTATTATGTTCTATGTATGTTTTAAACATCCTTTGACACTTCCTTTTCAACTCATAGATTATTTAGAAGTATTTTGTTTCATTTCCAAGTGTGTAGAGATTTTGTGGATAATTTGCCACAAGTGATCAATAAATACACAGTACACATGCAATGAATAAAATGAGAGACATGCATAAATAATTACAATACAGTGTGGTAAGTTATTTTGACGGTAATACAGCAGGCTATGAATGCAGAGGAAGGGCAGCAAACCCAACCTATGGTAGTAGGACAGAGGGGTATGTGGTGCAACCAAGGAAAACTTTGAGGGTGAAGGCTATATAGGTTAAGCTATGAGTAACGGAAAAATCTAAAATGACAGTGGCTTAGGTGAAATAGAAGTTTATTTCTTCCTCATAGGCAAAAAGTCTGTAGCTAGTCAGTCTAGGACTCGTGTGGTGCTCCAAAGTGTCAAGGATCAGACTCTTCCTATCTTCTTTCTCCACCCACTTTGCTTCTCTTCTTTTCATGATTCAAGAAGGTTGCTGAAGCTGTAATATCACTCACATATTCCAGTCAGTAAGAAGGGGGAGAATGGAAGAGCATTGTTCTTTCCCTTTATATACATTTCCTTTAGTTGTACTCATCACTTCCCTTAATGTCCCACTGTCAGAATTTAGTTCATGCCCTTCTCCTCAGGTTTCAGGGAAGTGGGCACATATCTTCAGAGAGGTTGGCACATATATCCTTTATCTTCTTAGGATAAAGAAGATATGTGCCCTGCCAAGCTAAGGGTTTTGTTACCATGGAAGAAGAGAATATATGTGGATACAGTTAGCGGTTTCTGTCACAAGACACCTCCCAAATCTACATTATATACTTCTGTAAACTCTATTAACCGAAGAAGCCATTCCTTATTACAATTCTCAGTTCAGACTATCTCATCTTTTTAATCACTATGGACATGCTTCATGGAGTGGAGACTGCACCAACACAAGAGGAGATATGGCTGAATTGGCCAAGACTCTTTCTCTCCATGCATCTCAGCTTCATTGACCATAATACAAAAGTTTAGGACAAGATAATCTCTTAGGTCTAACCCCCAAAAATCCATAGATGAGAGAGAAATTTTGCAATATTACTGCTTGGATGGGAGCAAGAGGAAGGGGGATATAAATCACTCTTCCAGTTCTTTGAAGGAACTAACTGTTCTAAGGAACTGGAATCTACAGCTCTTAGCCTTATGTGACTATTGTACACTTGAAATGTGGCTAAAGTGAAATGTGTTGTATGTATAAAATACAGTCTGGACTTAGTATGAAAAGAATAAATGTAGAATATCTCATCATTTTGTATATTTATTACATGTTGAATGATAATATTTTGAGTACTGTGGGTTAAACGAAATATGTTTTTAAAATTACTTTCATGTTTCTTTTCACTTTTTTTAATATGGCCATCAGGAAATTTAAAATTATATACATGGCTCATCTTTATGACTCACTTTATGTTCCTACTGATCAGTGCTGATCTATAAGACTGCCTGTTGGAACCAATTTCTAATTTGAGTTTGATTAAATACATTAGACAGGATCAAAAATCAAGTGTCTTAGAAAAATGATAGCATATATTTAAAATTCTATGCATTGTCAGATGTCTGAGGAATTTCATGAATTTCAAGATGAACAGAAGTATAACAAAATCCACTGAGATATGTTTGCATACAAATGAATTTGAATAGCATATCTATAAGCTACATCTATAAACCTGGGCTCACAGGCCCAGAGCTTAGGAAAAAAAAAAGTCAGATTTAGTGATTCCAGAGCATTGGTAAGGTTGAAAATGAATGAAAACTGAAAGTATTTCCATTGCACTGATATAGAGTCAGTATCAGGGTACTGATACTGAATCCCAAAGCTGCCATCCATTTGAAACTGGGAAGTGGTGGAAAGAAACCTAGTGTGGAGATGAACACAATTTTGCAAATGGTGAGTCAATAAATTTAACCATTTGACATGTTGTGGGTGTATGTGGGTAGGTTCATAAACGCCATCTGTTCTATCCTCTGAGTGAATGGCCATGGGCTAGAGAAGATTTCCCAAACTCAAAACAGCACTGGAGTCCCCCATGTCCTGCCTCAAGACTTCCTTTATAGTTCCCTCTGAGCATGTCACTCCATATACCCTTTCCCCAACCAGCCTGGAAAATTAGCTGTCCCCCAAATATCCCATGTAGTCTTTTCTTTGTGGTCTCTTCATTCACGATGTGCTTTTCAATTTTATTTAATATTATTTAATATTAGTTTTATTGAATATTATTATTATATTATTATTTATTAATTTTATTTAATATTAAAGTAATCCCAGTGAGGAACCACATGGTCTAATTAAAACAAACAAACTGTAAATGTATTGTACATCTGCATGTGGCATTTACCAGATGAGAAATAGATGAAGCTCAGAACAGTTAAATAAGTAACCCAAGATTACTTATAATAGAGAGTTGCAGGTACCAGTCATGCTGAGATCGCTGGAACTGGGATTCTCACCCAAATCACCTGACGTCACCAAAATGAGCCCAGAGTTAGAAAACGTGGGTTTAATCTCATGTCTCCTCTTTCTTGGTGTGTGACCTAGTGAGTTGTGCAAATGAAATAAAACACCTATGAAATCATTGTTTATAGTGCCTGACACTTAGTAAATCCTCCACCCATTACATGAATTAGATGTCTCCTTCACTTTTTACTTGCCCTAGATATTCACTCCATGGCTAAAGTATCATTCTACCCAACACCCACTACCTCTGTACCCTCAGAGATTATGTTTATCTGATATTTGTAAAAGAAGCACATCTTAACAATTCCATTTCTAAAAGCTCTACATTCAGGTGTGGGAGGTGACTAGCCTGCCATGTTAATGCATGTCCTCCTGTTTACTCCTTTCTCTTTGAAAGCTCATGTGGCCTCTTTGCAAAGGTGGTCATTAATCCAGAGTGGGACCAAAAGAGACTGATTTGGAGGAAAATGACTGGTACCTGCAACTCTCTATTAGCATGTTATTCTTCGCAACCTGAAGCTGAACATTGTGAAATGTATTTGTTCCCAGTGCAATTTAAATGTGAAATGAGCCATGCTGTGAAGCTGGGCTATTTGAGGACAAGGCAGTTCTTCACGTATTTGGAATTGTTGCCTGAAAATGCCCACCAGAGTGAAAATGCCCCCCGCCCTGATGGTATGGATATACTTTAAGGTGCTAACTTTAATATCAGCTCTGCCATGCTTAACTAGCTGGTGGCCTGTGGAAACTTCTGTGGATTGCAGTTTTTTCATCTTTAAAATGATAGAATTTTAAACTCAAGGTCCATAGCAGGCAAGTAGGGGTTTAAATGATGGTATATGAGGAGTTATATTCCAAGTTGTATTCCGTTTGTCTCGCCAAACCAGTTTTGAATACAGAGCCTTCACCTCTAGTTCTAAACCATAGCTCTCTAAAGACTCAACCTTCGTTCCTCCTTCCTTACAGCCCACTCAGCTACATCTGTTCTTTGCTACTCAGGTTAACACTGCCTCGGTTAGACCTTCTCTGATTGTCCAGACTGGGTTATATCTCCATTGTAAGTTCCCATCAAACCCTGTCCTTCTCCTTTGCAGCATTGTTTGTTTAATAGTTTACCAACCAGATAGAGAAGACAACTCATGGGCATGAGGTCATGTGTGATGCTTGCGCACTGGTGTATCCCTAACGTCTAGAACAATGTATGAACTCACTAGGGGCTGAATAAGTACATGTTAAGGAAGGAAGCCACATTTTATAGAGGAAATTGAGACTCAGAAAGGTTAACTATCTTCCCAGGGCACAGAGCTAGGAAGGAGCAAAATTGGGATTCAAGCCTAGATTTGCCCAATTCCAAAAGCCCTGATCTCTGAACCACCATAAGCCAAGAGCATAGACCTATATTATGCTTCCCAAGTTCCCAACC
Organism: Homo sapiens; assembly: GCF_000001405.40. Taxonomy (NCBI): domain Eukaryota; kingdom Metazoa; phylum Chordata; class Mammalia; order Primates; family Hominidae; genus Homo; species Homo sapiens. Next base: position 68,023,172 of record NC_000001.11, on the reverse strand, counting down.
TGTCCCAAAGGAGAGAAAAGGCAAGCCAATATGAAGGTAGAATTTTATTTTTAAGTTAGAATAATCAACTGACTTTTCTGTGCATATCAAAAATAAGAACTCAACATATGCTTAGAAATGCAATGACCCTCATGTTGCAGGGAAACTTGTCACTTTGTGGTTGACTTCATCAGGTCTGAAGCAGAAAAGCTTCCAGGGGCATCAGGTACCAGTAAAAGACCAAACAATTTCCTGGCAGAGTCAGGAAGAAAAGTTCACAAGTAACCTTCTTACAATACCGGAACACAATAGGAGAAAAGATGATGTCACTATAAGACTTAGAACTACAAGGATGAGGACAGGCCAGGAGCTGGAGGAGGCCATGGCATGTGCCACATGTACAAGAAGGAAGCAGATTCTAGATCCTGGAGTACAAGTGAGACACACAACAGGGTCCCTAATCCAGAGGGAGGTAATTTTTTTAATTTATTTATTTATTTATTTATTTTTATTTAATTAATTAAATAATTAATTATTTTTTGAGATGGAGTCTCACTCTGTCGCACAGGCTGAAGTGCAGTGGCATGAACTCGGCTCACTGTAGCCTCAGAGGGAGGTATTTTTAAAAAACATAATGTTTTTACTAATAACCAACAAATACTAGGCTCTCTGTCCATCCATTCATCTATCTGTCAAATATCTACTGGAAGCCTACTGGGTATTGGGGACTTTTCTAGGTGCTGAGGATACAGAGATGAATGTAACAAACTGGGTCTTTCCCTTAATAGAACACCATTCTAGTGGGTGGGTAGTATGGGGAGGAGGCACAATAATAAAATACCTAAATATCAGACATGCATACATACATACTATAACATCAAACAATGATAAGCATAATGAAGAAAAATAACACAGGATGAAGGAACCAAGAGTGGCCAAGGATGCTCTTCAGATAATGTGACCAGGACACTTTGCTAAGGATGCGATAAAAACATGATTGTGTGTAATTCCTACAACCGCCCTCTAAAGTGGGTATTAGTATTTTTACAGCAGAGGAAATGGAAAAGTAGTAGACTAACTTACTTGTCCAAGAATCAGACTCAAACCCAAACCTATCTCATGCCAACCCACATTTGATGCTTATGCTCTCCAATCCCAGAGATTTGGGCTGATTGGAGCTGAGCCAGGCAAAACCTGGCTTCTTGTTATTATTTTGTTCCAGCAAAAACATTTATTAAGTTTGTATGATGCATTAGACTCTGCACCAAGCTCTGGGAGATAGGCTCCATCCCTGCTCTAAATGAGGATACCGTCTGGTAGGAATGTGGACCATGAGGTAGGCACCTTGAAACAGTATCTGACATAATGTAGGCCTTTAGTCAATGTGTGCTGACTTGGTGAATGAGGGAAGAATGAACAAATGACTCTCTGTGTGCATGATGAGATGAGATTGGAGGGCTTGGTAAAAACACAGCTGCCTGGACACCAGCATGGAGAGGTGGCTTCAGTAGGTTTGGAAGAGGGCTCAAACATCTGTGATGTCCAAAGGTTGAAAGTTAATTCTGAGGTCCAAGAGTCAATTGTTACATATTTGGGAATTATGCAAGTTGGTTGCTAAACACGCAATTATTAACAATTATAAACAAGTAGATTAGATCAACTTATAATTACAGAAATTATATTTAAAACAAATATGCTCAAATTCAAAATACTCAGAATTCATCACTGTAATTCCCAATTACTTTACCACACTTAACTATTACCTGTGCTCTTGAGTTTTTCATCATTTTTATGTGTGTGGTGAAAATGCTCTATGATGTGGACGACTGCACACCCCTTTTGATCTCTCTGTTCAATGATGTCATGTTGGCGGCCTGAAACTGGCCACTGCAGGAGCATTTACACCATGGAAATTGCCAAACACTACTAATGAGGGCTTTGTCCTATTGGAGAGCCAGTTGTTTATTATTCACCAGCACACCATAGCACATAGAACTATAAGAACCACTGAGTGGGAAGAGGATGAATTCAAATCAACTGTGCCACTCACTAGCTCTGTGACCTGAGCAGCTTCTAAACCTCTCTGAGCCTAAGTTTTCTTAGGTCTAGACTAGAACTGATGTTATCTTTCCTCCTCCCTGACCCTCCCTGGCCTTGCCTCAGCCTAACTTAAAGGAGAAGGCCAGGTGCGGTGGCTCATGCCTGTAATCCCAGCACTTTGGGAGGCTGAGGTGGGCGGAACACCTGAGGTCAGGAGTTCAAGACCAGCCTGGCCAACATGGCAAAAACTCATCTCCACTAAAAATACAAAAAAGTTAGCCAGGTGTGGTGGCACGTGCCTGTAATCCCAGCTACTTGGGAGGCTAAGGCAGGAGAATTGCTTGAAACCGGGAGATAGAGGTTGCAGTGAGCCGAGATCGCACCACTGCACTCCAGCCTAGGGGACAGAGGAAGACTCCATCTCAAAAAAACAAAACAAAACAAAACAAAAAAAGTGGGCCAGGCATGATGTTTTACACCTGTAATCTCAACACTTTGGGAAGCCAAGGTGGGTGGATCATTTGAGGTCAGGAGTACAAGACCAGCCTGGCCAACATGGTGAAACCCCGTCTCTACTAAAAATACAAAAATTAGCCGGTCATGGTGGCACGTGTCTGTAATCCCAGCTACTCAGGAGGCTGAGGCAGGAGAATTGCTTGAGCCTGGGAGGCAGAGGTTGTGGTGAGCCAAGATTGTGCCACTGCACTCCAGTCCAGGAGGCAGAGTGAGACCCTGTCTCAAAAAAAAAAAAAAAAAAAAAAAAAAAAAAAAAAAAAAGGAGGAGAAAATGCAGGTAAAGCAATTATTTGCTTAGCATACAAGAGGCCTTCAGCAAAAGTCAGCCTTGTAGCTACTCTTGTAAAGCTCAAAGGAATGCTTTCACTAAGTGGTGACTCTTGTGCAGGAGAATTCAGCAGACAGAGAAGAAGCAGAGAGAAACCATTATGGTGATGGAGAAGCACTGAGTGGGCTGGGAGAGAAAGTGACAGAACATATTCTGGGGTGCTCTGAATGGTTCCACTGCTAGAGTAGTGGTTCTGAAACTTTCTAGTCTTGGGACCCCTTTGTAATATTAAAAATTATTAAGCACCCTCAAAATATTTTGTTCATGTGGGATATATTTCTTGGTATTTACCATATTAAATGTTGAAACTGTAAACATTTTTAAATCTGTATATTTATTAATTTAAAATAATAATAAACCCATTATGCATTATGTGCTAACAAAAATATCTTTTATAAAAAACAAGTATATTTTTCAAAAAAAAATAGTGAGAAGCTGGTATAGATTTACATCTTTGCAAATCTCTGTAATGTCTGGCTTAATCAAAGACAGTTAGCTGGGTTCTCATATCTACTTTTGCATTCCATCTGTTACAATAGCACACATCATGTAGCTTTTGGAAAATTCCACCATAAACTCATGAGAAAATGAAAGTGAATAAAGCAAATGATATGTTAGTATTATTATGAAAATAGTTTCGACCTAAGACTCCTTGACAGGGCACGGAAACCCCATTGGTCCTACAACCACACTTTGAGAACCTCTCATGTAGCACATAAAATTCAAAGTATATAACCGAAAAACTGATGGGTTGAAAAGATAAAACTTGAGAGAGAAGCAGGGGCTAGATGATATCTTATGGAGTTCATGAAGAGCTGTTGAGGGCTTAAAAGCCAGAGAGTGACAGGGCCACTTTTTTATTTTGCAAAGATCATGGCTACAATGAGAAAAGTAGATTAGATCAGCCAAGAAGGGGTTATGAAAGGGGGACCAATTAGGAGGTTGTTGCCCTAAAGCAGATGAGACATGAAAGTGGCCTGAATTGTAGTCAGGGCAGTCATGTGGGGGTAGGAAAGGTGGGTGGGTGACTCCTAAGTTTCTGACTTGGGCAGCTGAATGGATGGCAGGGACATAGAAGGAAGAATAGGTTTGAAATAGGAAATAATTAACTCTACTTTTTATTTGTAAATAGAATTTTCTAGAAGACTGTTGACAGATGGGGCAGAAAACAGAAGCGGCATTTGGGCAGGCAATAGTACAGCCTGGGAAAGCTCAAGCCAAAGCTTAGAGGGAACAACTTGATTTGACTGTGGTCACACAGCTTCTAAATGTGTTTCACATTTTTAACAGGATAACTGTATGAAAGGGATTATTGCAGAACCTGGCAAATAGTGGTCCCTAAATAAATCAGTTACTTTTTTTTTTATACCATCATTTGTCTATTTTTCTCTAATTTTCAAATGAATTAGTGCATTCATCTGGGATAATGCAATGCATGGGCTTAAAGTGAAAGACTTAATGTAATTTCCTTCAGGCTTGTGGCCAAGAAAATTAAGGTTGGAAAACATAAGGTAGCTATTCTGCAACTTGCTATGGAAAAATGGGAACAGTATAGAAATCTGTGAGCAAGATTATTAAGCATCTACCACCACAATGCTTCAGGAACAGAAGAAATCTGATGCCAAGTTGTACAGCTACAGCAGAGGGTTTGACCATAATCACAATGAATAGCACCAACATTGACCACACAAGTGATGAATGATATGGGTACGGTTTATAGTCAGGGACAGAGTGTCCAAAAGGAGAAGGGATATACATGGTCAGTAAAAGCTCATATAAATTTTGTCTTAGTCCATCCAGGCTTCTATAACAATACCATAGACAGGGTGGCTTATAAACAACAGAAATTTACTTCTCATAGTTCTGGAGGCTGGGAAGTCCATGATCAAGACTCTGACAGATTCAGTGTCTGGTGAGGGCCTGCTTCCTGGTTCATAGATGGCCATTTTGCTGCATCCTCACACAGTAGAAGGGGTTAGGGAGCTCTCTGGGCTGTTTCCTACAGAACACTGATCCTATTATGAGGGATTATACCCTCAGGACCCAATCACCTCCCAAAGTCTCCACTCTAAATGCCATCACATTGGGGATTCGGTGTTAATATATGAATAGTGGGGAGAGACATAAACCTTCAGTCTATAGCAGCTGCCATTCATTCATACATTACTCAACAAGAATTTCTTCAGTATCCAACTAGAGACAGAGCAAGGTGGTTAGGTTCCATGGGAGTTGTAAATTGGAATGAGACTAGGATCCTACCTTGAAGGAAGTTACAAGACAAATAAGAAATGTTTCTTGAGCTTTTACATTGTGCCAGACACTGTCCTAAGCATTTTACATATATCAGCTCTTTGGATCTTCACAACAAATGAATAGATTACATATTGCCACTGTAGTTTCCATTATACAAATGGGAAGATGAAGGCAATGAGGGATTAAGGCACTTGCCTAAGTCCCTAGAGCATGTGCCCAAGTTGGGTGGATAAACAGAAGTCTCTGAGAGGATGGTGCACACACATTGCATCTTTTGCAATGGGTGCAATAAGGAGCATGCCAAGGAACAGAGACTTACAGGTGGGAGCACATGAGGCTGGGCCAGGGAAGAGGCCACTTGTGGAGAATTTGGGAGGTGAGGAGAAAAGCCAGCCTAGCACAGAGCTGGTGCTTCATAAATATCTGTTGAATGGAGATTTAAGGAGAAAAAATACTAATAAAAATCCACAGATGGTATAACAGGACCAGATTTCTGAAGGCCGGGAAAGCCAGGTTAAGTAGTTTAACAATTATTTATATAAGCAGTGAGGAGCCAGAGAATCTTTAAGGGAAAGGATGTTATAATAAAAAGAATGGTTCAGAAAAATCAATATGGCAGCTCGTGTAGCACACAAATTGAAGGAGAAGGAGAATATGTTGTTAGGTGTTTTTGCAGTTCAAAGAAGAGATAAGGGCTGTCTTGTTTCTGTAAATGATAGTCTTTATCATTCTTTTCCTTATTATAAAGTAGGACATGGTCACCACAGGAAATTTGGAAAATATGGAAAAGTGCAAAGATGAAAAATACTAAAGAGGCCAATATACTGGGATAATTACTGTTAACATATTTATTTATTTTCAGTTATTTTTCTAGGCCTATATCCCCTAGATAGATAAAGAGATAAAGAATGGACAAATGGATGGATGGATGGATGGATGGATGGATGGATGGATGGATGGGATTGATTTAAAAAATTAAAATCATATTATTTGTAATTTGTAACCCTGGGTTTTCTCTCTCTTTGTGCATGTTGGGAATGTTTTCCACATGCCACTAAACATTTCTTTTAAGAAAACACATATTGGAATGATTGAAATATGATGTAAGCAATTTGTTAATTATTGGATATTTTCTTTGATTCCTGTTTTGTTTTTGTAGTTGCAAATAGTGCTTCAAGGAAGAACCTGTGTATAAAACTCAGTCCTGTCTCTGAATATTTTCTCAAGCCTGGGTTAAAAGATATGAGCCTTTTAAACCTTCTTGATCTGTTTTTCCAAATTACTTTCTGAAAAGACTGCAATAATTTGCATGTTTACCAGCCCTGGGCAAAAGTTCTACCAGAAGATTGCATGTTTTTTGAGTCAGTTTATGAGAACCTAGCCCTGAATCATGTGGATTATGCCAGACCACAGTTTCAAATAGGGTTTCAAATATTTTGACTTGGATTGTGTCAGATCAGGACAGTTTCTTTTTGAAGCCAGATTTGCTCAGTGGACCAGGGACTGGGTAAGTTACCACTTATGTTTTGGAAGTAGAAACGAAGTCTGACGTCATTGAGTTAGTTCACTGCCTGACAGAAAGGCATACAACTCAGACAAAGCACTTTAAAGAAATGGGAAGACTGGCTTTTCAGACACCTTATTGTCAAATTAGCTTCAAAATAGGTAATCCCTATTATGTGGCGCTTGACTACCCTGAATTTTTATCCCTTTTCTGTCTCCTCCTGATAAGCTGGGATTTGACTGATTCACTTTTTATTAACACCTCCACCAGAGGTCTGGAAGAAAGAGTAAAAGAAAAAAAAAATCAACGCTGCCTAGGCCTCCTTTTTGATTGGCAGAAGGAAAAAAAATAGAACATCAGTGAAGAGCATAATATTCCCTGTTCTCTTTGATTCCCAAATCAAAGAAAATTGAGAGCTTGTCTTAGAAATGATTAGGAAGGTTTTTCTTTCAATCACAAAAAGGGCCTGCCTGATTTTCTAGCTCTGGAGATTATATAACTCATCTTTATGAAACCTCGAACATACAGAAGGTATCATGTTTTTCCGGGAGGCTCCCCAGGATTTTGTCCCATCTCATTCACTTACCCTCGCAGCACGCCCCAGCTTATTTATCTATATAATGAACGGAGGCAGTGAATTAGATGAGTGTCAACCGTAACCACAATGATTGTTTAGTTCTAACATCTTAATCCAGGATGAATGACCCGTGGAGAAGACTTGGGGAGCAGTGGACCTTCCTTCCTTGGCTTTATCTATAGGCAAACTGTAGGTCCTTTCCATAAAGTCTACATGTATTCTAAGGGCTCTTCAAATATTACATCCAGTCCTCCTGAAGACAAGCACTGTTAATAGTGTCAATTTACAGATGAAGAAACTGAAGTACAAAGCATTTAATTCAGCCAAAGTCTCACATGCCTAGCTAGTAAGTGGCAGGGACACATTTCAGACTGAGTCAGCTTGGCCCCACAGTGAACGCTCTCAACATTCACAAACTGAGTGAGCCTGTCTCTGGACAGTTCAAATCCTGCCAACCCTACTTCCCAGTATCAACACCTCAAACAGATTTATGTCTCACTTTGCTCAAACCTAAAATAGGAACACAAAAACATACCTCACTGTGGTGGTGTGAACTATAAACAATGTATCGTTTGTAAAATATTCACTTATTGGCATTTGCTAGCTGTGTGACCTTGGTCAAGTTTACTTACTCTCTCTGTGCCTCAGTTTGCATATCTGTCAAACATAACAGTACCCATTTCAGGGGACTGCTGTGAAAATCACCTGTAAAGCACTCAGAATAGGACCTGACACAGAGAAACTACTCTTTAAGTGTTGTTTGTTATTAATATTATTATATTAGATGTCAGATTATTATAATAATATGTTTTGTTATATTATATTATAATTACATGCCAGGTACTGTGCAAAGCACTGGAGAGATAGCATTAAACAAGAAAGGTGGGTTCCTCCCATCAGGTCTAGTGAAGGAACAAATAATGACAAATGATAAAATGTTTGGAGTGTTACAAAGGAGAGCTACACATTGCTCTGGGAGCAACCAATGTAAAGCTCTAACCAGGACTGGGGATCAGGGAAGTCTTCCATAAGAAAGTAATTTAATATAGCAGATGCCAAAATCTTCATTTCTCCCCAGCGTGTTTTCCTTCCTTGCTCTTCCTATTGTCTCATCTCCTTTCTTCACCTTTACCACCCAATCCATGAACAAGATCTATAGGATTTAATTCCAAAGTGTACCCCACTTCTCTTCAATTCCCTTATCTACCAGATGAAGATATTGATATTAACCCCTCAAGGGTAGTATCATCTGAGTCACCAATATCTCCACATTGCATCCTGTACAGATCATCCAAAAGTTTTTGCCACTCCTCCTAACTCCCTCTCCCTCTCCCTGCCACCCTGTGATTTCTCCCTGTCATTTCTACCAGGCATTCTCCATTTAGCATCCAGGGTAATATTTTTTAAATGTAAGTGTAAATTAAAATGCTCCAATAGCTTCCATTTAGACTTAATATCTGAGCCCTGACCCATGGCCTAGAAGGCCCTAGATGTTCTGCTCCACCCACCTCTTTGATTTATCTTATGCTTCTCTAACTCCATCACAGTGTTCTAGGAACCATGACCTTTTTTCCCTTTGACTGTACAAAGCTCATCTCTGCCTCAGGCCATTGTATTTGCTGCTACCTCTCTTGGGAGTATCCTTTTTTAATCTTTCAGCTCACAGCTCATATCACTAAGAAGTGATCTAATCTAATGTATACCACCCTCTCCCACCCAACCACCACCCTCCAGAGAGCCTGGCCTGACCCATCTGATTACCCTTGTATTGCCTCTCAATACCACCGTTAAAGCATTATCTTGTTCCTTCATTGCCTGCTTGTTTTCCCTCTGTCTCCCCAGTGCTAGAATACGAGATTCATAGGACTTTGCCTTCCTATTTGCTACTTTCCCCATTGTCTAGAAAAGTGCCTGGCACATAGTAGGCACTCAATAAATATTTGTGATTTAAATGACTGAAGTGAATTTAACCTGGATCCTTGTATTAGCCCATTTTCACACTGCTATAGAGAACTGCCAGAGACTGGGTAATTTATAAAGAAAGGAGGTTTAACTGACTCACGGTTCTGCATGGCTGGGGAGGCCTCAGGAAACTTACAATCATGGCAGAAGGGGAAGCAGGCATATCTTACATGCAGCAGTCAAAAGAGAGTGAAGGGGGAAGAGCCCCTTGTAAAACCAACGGATCTCATGAGAACTCACCCACTCACTATCACAATAACAGCATGGGGGAAACTGCCGCCATGATCCAACCACCTCCCACTAGGTCTCTCTCTCAACACCGGCGATTACAATTTGAGATGAGATTTGGGTGGGGACACAAAGCCAAACCATATCAATTCTAAAAGAGGGATAAGAGATGGTCAGGTGGAGAGAAGAGGCAAGAATGTGCCAGGCATGGGTACAGTATGTGCAAAGGCCTAGGCTGGCAAGAGCATGGCATCTCTCACAAATGACAAAGGCCAATACAGCCAAAGCACAGACAGCCAGGGAGGCATGGTAAAAGATGAGGCTGGCAGATGAGTTATGCTGTCGACTGCTGACTTTTTTAAGGGCAGTGAGAAGCCCTTTTCTTTTTTTTTTTTCATTTTGATTTAGCAATTTCCTTTTATATATATATTTTATATATATATATAAAATTATATTTTAAGTTAAGCAACCTGTTCAGTGTTTTTGGAGGAACCTCTGTAGCCAATGCATGGATTTAAGGTGGATATATAATGTTGCAGAGCTTCTTTTCCTCTGCCTCAATTCTAACAAAAACTTTGTGGGGCAAATATGATTATTTCTAAACTACAGATTGAAAAAGCAGATTCTGAGAGCATAAAGAAGTTGCTGAAGGTCAGAATTTCTTTATTTTGCCTTGTCCTGGCTTGAAGCAGCCATGAATGAAGGAAACAGGGAGAAATGAAAAAGATCACCAAATGGAACTGATGCTCACAGGGCATCCTCTCCTCTCCTGAGGCAGGAGAGGGCATAGGGCCTAACACACATAGAACCTTCTCTTGTAATCAATATTCTTCTTCCTCGTGAAAAGACTATCAGGAATCTTGTCTCTTAAAGAGCTTCTCTGCTCTGTGAATTCTAACAACTGTCTTTACTGTAGAAACTTATCCTCCTGCTGTTCCTAGTTAAAATCTGAATCTTGGATGAATAGATATACCACTGGTCTGCAAGAGCAGTAAGGCCATTCATTCATTTGCTCGAACAATTTAGGTCCATCTTTTTCACCTGTAACTGATGAGGTCGCTGCCCTGGTTTGCTGCCACATCGCTTTTCTCCCTTCTTCTCTCCTCCAGAAGAAGGATGAGAGCCCAGAGCTGTGCCTGCTGCAGGTGGAAGGGAGCAGACAAGAAGCAGTTCCTGAGCACCGACTATGCGCCAGGCTTCATGCCAGGTGCTGTTCATCCCCTATCTCATTTCATCCATACACAGCAATTCCTTTCCTGTTTTGCTGATTAAGAGATCTAAGTGGCATTTTTTACATGAAAAATACTAAACATATTAGAATCAAAGTATATGTATTCTCTATTCTGACTGCCCCCGTGCTGGATCCAACCTCATCATCTTTCACATGATAAGAACCACTTTACAGTAACTTAGACTCCGGTCTTCCTCCCAACTATTGCATCCTCCATTACCACCAGAGTCATCTGGAAAAAGCACAAACATGATTGGGTTTCTCCTCTGCTTTGAAACATTCCCTGGCTCCCCATTGCCTGAAGTTAAGTTAACAGAGAGTGAGGGAGGCATGGTACAAGATGAGGCTGGCAGATGAGTCATGCTAAAGACTGTGGACTTTTGTGAGGGCAGAGAGAATCTCTTTTAAGGCTTAAATAACCTATCTAGTGTTAAGCAGACAGTAGCTCAGTAAAGAATGAAAACAATCATGCTTGAAGCACAATAATAAAAGAGTGCTATTAGAGCAATGGCAGAGGAGGGAGGTGATTCATTATACTTTTGCTGGGGGAGCAGCAATGGGGGCGGTGAAGACTTCACAGAAGGGGGTTGGGCTGGGTTTGGTGGTGAACAGAGGGGTCCCTCTAAAAAAATTGACAGCAACCTGCACAAAGCCACTGAAAGGCAAAAGCTGTGGCTCTGGCTGCCCCAAGGACACACAGCAGCCTATAGACTCTTTCTCTCAGGACTCTACAGAGCAGCATAGCAATAAGCAATGATTTGTTATAGCTCTGCTGTCAGGCAGCTTACCTAAATGTTAGCACCCACATGAACTGCATAATGATTTCTGAAACTCAATTTCTCCACTAATACAAGCAAACAGATTTAGTTACAGTTAGAGAGGGTTTGGGGGAAAGGCAGCCTCTAGAGAGAGGCCAAGACTACCCCCTCCATCGCCCCGACTCCGTCTCTGTGGAGCACTAAAGTACTGATTTGGATCAAGACCAAGGAGGATAGAGGCTCAGGGTTGGAGCAGAGATTTCAGTGTGATAAGGAAAATGATTTAAAAAAAAAACAACCCTGGAATCTGAATGTTAGATCTTCAGCTTTCCCTTTTTTGTCTTCTACATTTGGCTTTGGAAATATCTCTTCTCTCATGAGGCTAAGGAAGGGGTATCCATGTCCTGGGAAGGTCAAGTAGACACCACAAGGGTACCACAACATAGGGGATCAGGGGAAGGGAGGCTTCATTTGTCTTCTGAGGCATTTCCTAGCCTAGACCTTAAGCTAAAAGTGCAAAGAGAGTCCTTAACATTTTCCCAGTTCTGCTCATTGGGACTAAGAGCTCTACAGAGAAATTAGGTTCAAATCACAGCTGATAATGAAAAGAAACCATTTGTTCAGGTTCATTTTCTATGTATCTTGCCCTTGAAACTTAGCAGTCCAAGGTCAGCGGTAGTTGGAGATTGTCCTTTGTCCCAAAGTTTAGAGTTGCCACCTCCCAGGACCACATAAAGAAACAGGAGGACTCAAATTCAGGTCTTGTGATTGATTTCTCTGGGGCATTGGCACTGCTAACACAGGAGCCCACAAAAGGCTCTAGAAGCACGGGCAGGGAAGCAGAGTCAGCTTCAACTCCTGCATTCATCCAGGAGCAGAGCTCCTACTGATAAATACAAATTGATGCATTCTAGGCCACCTGGGCCTCTTGGATTGCTTACTCCTGTTCTTGCAGCTTCTCTAAGCTTGGGCATGCATTTAGTCAGTCCATAAGTGTTACTTTTCGGTAGACAGGTTTTTGCAATATACTCCTAAGGAAATGAGATATGCTCATCTTCCAGAGTATTCTAACTCACTTCCTGTGGTCTTTGTTTTGTGCAGGAAATACAAGGATAAATGGAAGGCAATTCAGATAACCAGGGCTTTCAGCATGGGGCTTATTGTCAGAACTTGGAAAAAAACGTATTTATTGAGGGAAAAAGGTACAGATAAGAAAATGGCAACTCCAAGAGGTTAATAGATGATCGGTAGACGGATGTAATGTAAAATGTGAGACAGAGTATTACTCTTACTCTATATACCAACCCTACACTGTCTGTGTAACTGAACCTACAATTATATATAAATACATTTATAAATATTTACTTTCAAAATATTTATGGTAATTCAACCCTCCTCTTCAAACTCAGTGTTATAGTGCTAATTCAGGCAATTAATATCTCTTTAATTTGTCTATTACAAGAACCTCCAGCTCCTTCTTCCTCTACCTAGCCACCAGAGGGTGTATTTATCTAAAGCAAGCATGATCATATTACTACCTTGCTTAAACCATTCAATGGCTCTCTGTGATTCTATTTTACCTATTTGACTAGCCTATACTCCCCAGTTATTCAATTAAACACAAATCTAGGTGTTGCTGTGGAAGGTATTTTATACATATGATTAAAGTCCATAATCAGTTGACTTTGAATCAGGGAGATTATCCCAGCTCTTCTGAGTGGGCCTGATTCAATCAGTTGAAAGGCTGTAAGAACAGAACTGGGGCTTCCCTGATGAAGAAGAAACTCTTTCTATGTACAGAAGCTTTAGCTTATTCCCTAGATTTCCAGGCTTCTCTTCTCATAGCCTGTCCTTCAGGTTTTGGCTTGTCTAGCCTGCCCCTACAATAACTTAAGCCAATCGCTTGCATTAAATCTCTTAATATATTTATTGAGATAGATAGATATATCTTACTGGTTCTGTTTCTGTGATTGAACACTGATTTATACACTCATCATAACTCATAAGATGAGATTCAAAGGGTAGAGGCCTTTTTGACCCTGGCAAAGGTGTTTAAGCAAAACTTCTGATGAATTATTGGCTGGCCACTGAGCTATGCCAACTCAGCAGTGAACCCATGAAAGCCAGATGTAAAATTTTTTAAACAATTTTTTAGAGAGCAGCTGAGCAGCCAGCAGAGACTATACTATGAGAGAAACAGACTCCAGAGAATTCATTCAAAAAATGTCTGGGCACAGTGGCTTACGCCTCTAATCCCAGCACTTTGGGAGGCTGAGGCAGGTGGATCACCTGAGGTCAGGAGTTCAAGACCAGCCTGGCCAACACGATGAAACCCCGTCTCTACTAAAAGTACAAAAATTAGCTGTGCGCGGTGGTGTACACCTGTAATTCCAGCTACTCGGAAAGCTGAGGCAGGAATTGCTTGAACCTGGGAGGCAGAGGTTGCAGTGAGCCGAAATCATGCCACTGCACTCCAGAGTGGGTAACAAGAGCAAAACAACACTTCCAAAAAGAAAAAAAAAAAGAATTAATTCAAAAAATAAAGAAACAAACAAAAACAACAACAAATGGATTCCATTACAAGATGGCCAAATGGGAACAGCTCCAGTCCGCAGCTCCCAGCATGATCAACGCAGAAGATGGGTGATTTCTGCATTTCCAACTGAGGTGCCTGGCTTATCTCATTGGGACAGGTTGGACAGTGGGTGCAGCCCATGGAGGGTGAGCCGAAGCAGGGTGGGGTGTCGCCTCACGTGGGAAGCACAAGGGGTCAAGGGATTTCCCTTTCCTAGCCAAGGGAAGTTGTGACAGATGGTACCTAGAAAAACAGGACACTTCCACCCAAATACTGCACTTTTCCAATGGTCTTAGCAAATGGCACACCTGAAGATTATATCTGGTGCCTGAATTGGCAGGTCCCACACCCATGGAGCCTTGCTCACTGCTAGTGCAGCAGTCTAAGATTGGCCAGCAGCCTGGCAGCGGGAGGGGCAACCACCATTGCTGAGGCTTGAATAGGTAAACAAAGCGGCTGGGGAAGCTTGAACTGGGCAGAGCCCACTGCAGCTCCGCAAGGCCTACTGCCTCTGTAGACTCTACCTCTGGGGGCAGGGCATACCTGAACAAAAGGGAGCACAAACTTCTGCAGACTTAAAAATACCTGTCTGACAGCTCTGAAGAGAGCAGTAGTTCCCCCAGCATGGTGTTTGAGCTCAGAGAATGGTCAGACTGCCTCCTCAAGTGGGTCCCTGGCCCCCTTGTAGCCTAACTGGTAGACACCTCCCAGTAGGGGCTGACTGACACCTCATACAGGCAGGTACCCCTCTGGGATGAAGCTTCCAGAGGAAGGATCAGGCAGCAATATTTGCTGTTCCGCAGCCTCCGCTGGTGATACCCAGGCAAACAGGGTCTGGAGTGGACCTCCAGCAAACTCCAACAGACCTGCAGCTAAAGGACCTGACTGTTAGAAAGAAAACTAGTAAACAGAAAGGAATAGCATCAACATCAATAAAAAGGACATCCACACCAAAACCCCATCTGTAGATCACCAACATCAAACACCAAAGGCAGATAAAACAACAAAGGTGGGGAGAAACCAGAGCAGAAAAGCTGAAAAATTCTAAAAACCAGAGCACCTCTTCTCCTCCAAAGGATCGCAGCTCCCCACCAGCAATGGAACAAAGCTGGACGGAGAATGACTTTGATGAGCTGACAGAAGTAGGCTTCAGAAGGTCGGCAATAACAAACTTCTCTGAGCTAAAGGAGGATGTTCGAACCCATCGCAAGGAAGCTAAAAACCTTGAAAAAAGATTAGATGAATGGCTAACTAGAATAAACAGTGCAGAGAAGACCTTAAATGATCTGATGGAGCTGAAAACCATGACACAAGAACTACATGACACATGCACAAGCTTCAATAGCCAATTCGATCAAGTGGAAGAAAGGGTATCAGTGATTGAAGATCAAATTAATGAAATAAAGTGAGAAGAGAAGTTTAGAGAAAAAAAGAGTAAACAGAAATGAACAAAGGCTCCAAGAAATATGGGACTATGTGAAAAGACCAAATCTATGCTTGATTGGTGTACCTGAAAGTGACGGGGAGAATGGAACCAAGTTGGAAAACACTCTTCAGGATATTATTCAGGAGAACTTTCTGAACCTAGCAAAGCAGGCCAACATTCAAATTCAGGAAATACAGAGAACACCACAAAGATACTCTTCGAGAAGAGCAACCCCAAGACAATTAATTGTCAGATTCACCAAGTTGAAATCAAGGAAAAAAATGTTAAGGGCAGCCAGAGAGAAAGGTCGGGTTACTCACAAAGGGAAGCCCATCAGACTAACAGCAGATCTCTGGGCAGAAACTCTACAAGCCAGAAGAGAGTGGGGGCCAATATTCAACATTCTTAAAGAAAAGAATTTTCATTCCAGAATTTCATATCCAGCCAAACTAAGCTTCCTAAGTGAAGGAGAAATAAAATCCTTTACAGACAAGCAAATGCTGAGAGATTTTGTCACCAGCAGGCCTGCCTTACAAGAGCTCCTAAAGGAAGCACTAAACATGGAAAGGAACAACTGGTACCAGCCACTGCAAAAACATGCCAAATTGTAAAGACCATCAATGCTATGAAGAAACTGCATCAACTAATGAGCAAAATAACCAGCTAACATCATAATGACAGGATCAAATTCACACATAACAATATTAACCTTAAATGTAAATGGGCTAAATGCCCCAATTAAAAGACACAGACTGGCAAATTGGATAAAGAGTCAAGACCCATCCGTGTGCTGTATTCAGGAGACCCTTCTCATGTGCAGAGACACACATTGGCTCAAAATAAAGGGATGGAGGAAGATCTACCAAGCAAATGGAAAGCAAAAAAAAGCAGGGCTTGAAATCCTAGTCTCTGATAAAACAGACTTTAAACTAACAAAAATCAAAAGAGAAAAAGAAGGCCATTACATAATGGTAAAGGGATCAATTCACCAAGAAGAGCTAACTATCCTAAATATATATGCACCCAATACAGGAGCACCCAGATTCACAAAGTAAGTCCTTAGAAACCAACAAAGAGACTTAGACTCCCACGCAATAATAATGGGAGACTTTAACACCCCACTGTCAATATTAGACAGATCAACAAGACAGAACGTTAACAAGGATATCCAGGAGTTGAACTCAGCTCTGCACCATGCGGACCTAATAGACATCTTCAGAACTCTCCACTCTAAATTAACAGAATATACATTCTTCTCAACACCACATCACAATTATTCCAAAATTGACCACATAGTTGGAAGTCAAGCACTCCTCAGCAAATGTGAAAGAACAGAAATCACAACAAACTGTCTCTCAGACCACAGTGCAATCAAATTAGAACTCAGGATTAAGAAACTCACTGAAAACTGCACAACTACATGGAAACTGAACAACCTGCTCCTGAATGACTACTGGGTAAATAATGAAATGAAGGCAGAAATAAAGATGTTCTTTGAAACTAACGAGAACAAACACACAACGTACCAGAATCTCTGGGACACATTTAAAGCAGTGTGTAGAGGGAAATTTATAGCACTAAATGCCCACAAGAGAAAGTAGGAAAGATAAAAAATCAACACCTTAACATCACAATTAAAAGAACTAGAGAAGCAAGAGAAAACAAATTCAAAAGCTAGGAGAAGGCAAGAAATAACTAAGATCAGAGCAGAACTGAAGGAGATAGAGACACAAAAAACTCTTCAAAAAATCCATGAATCCAGGAGCTGGTTTTTTGAAAAGATCAACAAAATCGATAGACCGCTAGCAAGACTAATAAAGAAGAAGAGAGAGAAGAATCAAATAGACGCAATAAAAAATGATAAAGGGGATATCACCACCAATCCCGCAGAAATACAAACTACCCTCAGAAAATACTATAACCACCTCTATGCAAGTAAACTAGAAAATCTGGAAGAAATGCATAAATTCCTGGACATATACACCCACCCAAGACTAAATCAGGAAGAAGCTGAATCTCTGAATAGACAAATAATAGGTTCCAAAATTGAGGCAATAATTAATAGCCTACCAGCCAAAAAAAGTCCAGGACCAGACGGATTAACAGCAAAATTCTACTAGAGGTACACAGAGGAGTTGACACCATTACTTCTGAAACTATTCCAATCAGTAGAAAAAGAGGGAATCCTCCCTAACTTATTTTATGAGGCCAGCATCATCTCGATACCAAAGCCTGTCAGAGACACAACAAAAAAAGAGAATTTTAGACCAATATCCCTGATAAACATTGATGCGAAAATCCTCAATAAAATACTGGCAAACCACATCCAGCAGCACATCAAAAAGCTTATCCACCATGATCAAGTTGGCTTCATCCCTAGGATGCAAGGCTGGTTCAACATAAGCAAATCAATAAACATAATCATATAAACAGAACCAAAAACAAAAACCACATTATTATCTCAATAGATGCAGAAAAGGCCTTTGACAAAATTCAACAGTCTTTCATGCTAAAAACTCTCAATAAACTAGGTATTGATGAAACGTATCTCAAAATAATAAGCGCTATTTATGACAAATCCACAGCCAATATCATACTGAATGGGCAAAAACTAGAAGCATTCCCTTTGAAAACTGGCACAAGACAGGGATGCCTTCTCTCACAACTCCTATTCAACACAGTGTTGGAAGTTCTGGCCAGGGCAATCAGGCAAGAGAAAGAAATAAAGGGTATTCAATTAGGAAAAGAGGAAGTCAAATTGTCCCTGTTTGCCCAAAATCTCCTTAAGCTGATAAGCAACTTCAGCAAAGTCTCAGGATACAAAATCAATGTTGCAAAAATCACAAGCATTCCTATACACCAAAAACAGACAAACAGAGGGCCAAATCATGAGTGAACTCCCATTCACAATTGCTACAAAGAGAATACAATACCTAGGAATCCAACTTACAAGGGATGTGAAGGGCCTCTTCAAGGAGAACTACAAACCACTGCTCAATGAAATAAAAGAGGACACATACAAATGGAAGAACATTCCATGCTCATGGATAGGAAGAATCAAAATCATGAAAATGGCTATACCACCCAAGGTAATTTATGGATTCAGTGCCATTCCCCATCAAGCTACCAATGACTTTCTTCACAGAATTGGAAAAAACTGTTAAAGTTCATATGGAATCAAAAAAGAGCCTGCATTGCCAAGACAATCCTAAGCAAAAAGAACAAAGCTGGAGGCATCACCCTACCTGACTTCAAACTATACTACAAGGCTACAGCAACCAAAACAGCCTGGTAGTGGTACCAAAACAGAGATATAGACCAATGGAACAGAACAGAGGCCTCAGAAATAACACCACACATCTACAAACATCTGATCTTTGACAAATCTGACAAAAACAAGACTTCGGGAAAGGATTCCCTATTTAATAAATCCCTACATATGGCTAACAGGGAAAACTGGGTAGCCATATGTAGAAAGCTGAAACTGGATCCCTTCCTTACATCTTATACAAAAATTAATTCAAGATGGATTGAAGACTTAAATGTTAAACCTAAAACCACAAAAACCCTAGAAGAAAACCTAGGCAATACCATTCAGGACATAGGCATAGGTAAGGACTTCATGACTAAAACACTAAAAGCAATGGCAACAAAAGCCAAAATAGACAAATGGGATCTAATTAAACTAAAGAGCCTCTGTACAGCAAAAGAAACTACCATCAGAGCGAACAGGCAACCTACATAATAGGGAGAAAATTTTTGCAATCTACCCATCTGACAAAGGGCTAATATCCAGAATCTACAAAGAACTTAAACAAATTTACAAGAAAAAAACAACCCCATCAAAAAGGGGGCAAAGGATATGAACAGACACTTCTCAAAAGAAGACATTTATGCAGCCAACAAAAGTGCTCATCATCACTGGCAATCAGCGAAATGCAAATCAAAACCACAATGAGATACCATCTCACATGAGTTAGAATGGCGATCATTAAAACGTCAGGACACACATGCTGGAGAGGATGTGGAGAAATAGGAATGCTTTTACACTGTTGGTGGGAGTGTAAACTAGTTCAACCATTGTGGAAGACAGTGTGGTGATTCCTCAAGGATCTAAAACTAGAAATACCATTTGACCCAGTGATTCCATTACTGGGTATATACTCAAAGGATTACAAATCATGCTACTATAAAGACACATGCATAAGTATGTTTATTGCAGCACTATTTACAATAGCAAAGACTTGGAACCAACCCAAATGTCCATCAATGACAGACTGGATTAAGACAATGTGGCACATATACACCATGGAATACTATGCAGCCATAAAAAAGGATGAGTTCATGTCCTTTGCAGGGACATGGATGTAGCTGGAAACCATTACTCTGAGCAAACTATCACAAGGACGGAAAACCAAACACCGCATGTTCTCACTCATAGGTGGGAATTGAACAATGAGAACACTTGGACACAGGGTGGGGAACATCACACCCTGGGTCCTGTCATTGGGGGGGTACGGGGAAGGGATAGCATTAGGAGAAATACCTAATGTAAATGACAAGTTAATGGGTGCAGCAAACCAATGGGGCACATGTATACCTATGTAACAAACCTGCACACGTTTTGCACGTGTACCCTAGAACTTAAAGTATAAAAAAAAAAAAAAAACCAGAAAATTTAGTGAGGCAATGAGTGAAGTGACGGTGAACAGAACTCCTTTCCCAGCCTGAGATTTAACAACTCTGGGGGCTTTCAAATGGCTTGTAATGGCAGCTGTCTTGATTTCAGTTTTTAATCATTTGTTTAGTAGCTTTTCCCATGTTTTCTTCCTTAATATGAAACAGACTGGGCTCTCCTGTTGTGTAAGGCATGAGGAGCTAGAGGAGACAAGATGCCTCTCATGCCTCCACCTCTCAGGTGTCTTGTTATCTGCTGAACACTGCCAACTGCAGTGGTGGTTGATAAAGCTTGGCCCTGTGTCCCCACCCAAATCTCAACTCAAACTGTGATCCTCACATGTCAGAGAAGAGGTTTGGTGGGAGGTGATTAAATCATGGGTGCAGATTTCCCCTTTGCTATTCTTGTGATAGTGAGTGAGTTCTCATGAGATCTCATGGTTTAAAAGTGTATGGCACTTCCCCCTTTGCACGCTCTCTCCTGCTCTGCCACGGTAAGACGTGCTTGCTTCTCGTTCACCTGCCACCATGATTGTAAGTTTCCTAAGGCCTCCCAGCCATGCTTCTGTACAGCTTGTGGAACTGTGAGTCAATTAAACCTCTTTCTTCATAAAAACAACAACAACAACAGATACCCTGGGGGAATCAGAATTCAGAATTGTTACAATATATTTTCAAAATATCAAGTTATCCACAAAAAAAAAAAAAAAGAAATAGAAAAGCGTGTTCCATCAATAGGAAAAAAAGCAGAAAAAAGATTCCATCTCTGAGGGTCCAGATTTTGGACTTAGCCAAGAAAGCAGTACATATAAATATTTACACAGAACTACAGGAAACCATCTTTAAAGACTTAAAAGTATGACAATACTGACTCATCAAATAGAGAATGTCAATAAATAAAAATTATTTTAAAAACACAAAATGAAAATTCTACAGTTGAAAAGTACAATAACTGAAATAAAAAATTTATGAAAGAAGGTTTAACAGCAGATTTGTGCTTATAAAAAAATCAGCAAACTTGAAGATAAATCAGTAGAAATTATCCAATCTCAAGAGCAAAAAAAAAAAAAAAAAGAGAAAAGAAGGAGGAGAAGGAGGAGGAGAAAGGATAGAGCCTCAGAGACATAAGAAAGTCCTCATGCATACAAATATAGATAGTAAAAGTCCCAGGAGAGGGAGAAAATCAATATATAAAAATCAATTGTAAAGATGGCATAAACACACTTTTCCCTGTTCCTCCTCTTTAAATACAATTAACTACCCTTAAAATAATTCAGCAGGCAATCATGAAAGGTCTCTGAAAGGTGTAAAAAAGAAGGTAGACTGGGCTGGGCGCTGTGGCTCATGCCTGTAATCCCAGCACTTTGGGAGGCCTAGGCGGGCCGATCACGAGGTCGAGAGATGGAGACTATCCTGGCTAACATGTGAAACCCCATCTCTACTAAAAATACAAAAAATTAGCTAGGCATGGTGGCAAGCGCCGGTAGTCCTGAAGTCAGGAGTTCAAGACCAGCCTGGCCAACATGGTGAAACCCCATCTCTACTAAATCTACAAAAAATTAGCTGGGCGTGGTGACACATGACTCTAGTCAAAGCTACTCAGGAGGCTGAGGCAGAAGAATCGCTTGAACCCAGGAGGTGGAGGTTGCAGTGAGCTGAGGTTGCGCCACTGCACTTCAGCCTGGCAACAGAGTGAGACTCCATCTAAAAAAAAAAAAAGGTAGATATTTCTTGAGGTAAGTTTCTTGGTTTTTTCCAGGCATTGGAGAAGCCTGTAACCTGGAATAAAGGAAGGAGTATGGGAGGGTGAGGAGAGATGGAGGGAAATAAGAAGGGATATACTTCTCTGATCATAGTAAAATCAAACTAGAAATCACTTACAGAAAGACAACAGCCAATTATTCAAATCTATGAAAATTAAACAACTACTTCATGTTTCAAAGAGGAAATCTAAAAGGAAATTAAAAAGTAGAACTGAATGAAAATAATAAGACATGAAAATTTGGGGGATGCAGTCAAAGCAGTGCTGAGAGGAAAATTTATAGCACTAAGTATTTATAATAGTAAAGTGGAAAGATCTCAACTCAATACCTAGGTCATTCTAGCACTACTGTAAAGAAGTATCTGAGACTGGGTAATTTATTTAAAAAAAACGTAGTTTAATTGGCTTACGGTTCTGCAGGCTGTATGAGAAGCATAGCGGTGTCTGCTTCTGGGGATGCCTCAGGAAGCTTATAATCATGGCAGAAGGAAAAGGTGGAGCAGGCATATCATGTGGTAAAAGCATGAGCAAGAAAGAGAGGGAGAGAGGGAGCTACACACTTTTAAATGACCAAATCTTGTGAGAACACACTCACTATTATGAGGACAGCACCAAGGAGATAGTGCTAATAAACCATTCATGAGAAATCCACCCCCATTATCCAATCACCTCCCATAGGCCCCACCCCTAACATTGGAGATTACCCTTCAACATGAGATTTGGCATTGGCAGGAACACATATTCAAGCCATATCATCCTATCTCAAGACACTAGAAAAGAAGAGCAAAATAAACCCAAAGAAGATCAAAAGGAAGAAAATCATGAAGAGAAGCAATAAATGAAATTGTAAACAGGAAAACAAAGGAAAAAATAAATGAAACAAAAAACTGGTTCTTTGAAAATAATCAACAAAACTGAAAAACTTTTAGCAAGACTGAAAAAGATAAAATGATCAAAAAACCATGAATCATCAATATCAGGAATGAAATAGGGGCTATGACTACAGACCCTGCAGCCATTAAAAAACATAAGAAAATATTATGAATAATTTTTCATCATAAATATGACAACTTAGAAGAAATGGACCAAATCTTCAAAATCCCAAAAATTACAAAACATACCAAGATAGAGAGGATAACCTGACTAGCCCTATACGACTAAAGAAATGTATTTGTAATTAAAAAGCTTCCATAAAGAAAATTTTCAGGACCATATGGTTTTACTGGATAGTTCTATCAAACATTTAAAGAGTTAATACAATTTTATACAATTTGTTACAGAAAATAAAAGAGGAGGAAGCACTCCCATGGTCATTTTATGAGTTTGGTACTACCCTGAGATGAAATCAGGCAAATACGGTACAAAAAAAAAAAACTATGAACCAATAATTCTTATTAACTTATATGCAAAAACCTCATTAAAAATTTAGCAAATCAGGGCTGGGCACAGTGGCTCATGCCTGTAATCCCAACACTTTGGGAGGCCGAGGCAGGCAGATCACTTGAGGTCAGGGGTTCGAGACCAGCCTGGCCAACATGGCGAAAACCCGTCTTTACTAAAAATATCCAAAAGTTAGCCAGCCATGGTGGCAGGCACCTGTAGTCCCAGCTACTTGGTAGGCTGAAGCACAAGAATCGCTTGAACCCAGGAAGCAGAGGTTGCAGTGAGCCAAGATTGTGCCACTGCACTCCAGCCTGGGTGACAGAGCGAGACTGTCTCAAAAAAAACCTAGAAAATCAGGTCCAGCAATATGTAATAAGAATAATACATCACAACTAAGTGGGATTTATTCCACTTGTGCAAGGCTGGTTCAATATTTAAAATCAATAGATGTAATTCACCATATTAATAGGCTAATGAAGACAGATTATATAATCAAATCAGTATCAGCTAACATCATATTTAACAGTAAAAAAACTGAATACTTTCCCTCTATGATGTAGAACAAGGCAAGGATATTCAGTATCACTATTCTCATACAATGTGGTACTAGAAGTTCCAGGCAGCACAATAGACAAGAAAAAAATGGCAATCAGATTGAAAAGGAAGGAATTAAACTTTCTCTGTCTAAATATGACATAATTTCCTAAATCAAAAATCCCAAGAAATCCACCAAAAAAACCCCTTCCTGGAACTAATAAGTGAATTGAGCAAGGTCACAGGATTAACAAGAAAATAAATTACATTTCTATATGCCAACATGGAACTGAAATCAAAAGCATACTATTTATAATTGCTCCAAAGAAAATTAAATACTTAAGTATAAATCTAACAAAACATGTATAGGAGCTATATGCTCAAAATCACAAAATGCTGATGAAAGAAATCAAAGCAAGGCCTTAGGCTTGCTTAGAAGCCTAAGAGATGCTTAACCGTGTTCATGGACTGGAAAACTGAACAAGATAAAGCTGTCAATTCTCTGCAAATTGATCTATAGATTTAATGCAATCCTTATAAAAACCCCAACATGGTGTTGTAGACACAAGCTTATTTTAAAATTTACATAAAAATAAAAAGGCCCTAGAACGCCCAAAATAATAATAATAATAAAATAGTATTATTCTACTATTATAATATATAATATATAAAAATATACATACAATTATATAATAATAATAATATATTATTATTATTGAGATGGAGTTTCACTCTTGTTCCCCAGGCTGGAGTGCAATGGTGCGATCTCGGCTCACTGCAACCTCCACCTCCCGGGTTCAGGCAATTCTCCTGCCTCTTCCGCCCAAGTAGCTGGGATTACAGGCATGCACCACCACGCCTGGCTAATTTTGTATTCTTAGTAGAGACGGGGTTTTCACCATGTTGGTCAGGCTGGTCTTGAACTCCTGACCTCAGGTGATCTGCCTGCCTAGGCCTCCCAAAGTGCTGGGATTAGAGGCGTGAGCCGCCTTGCCCGGCCCAAAATTATTTTGATAAAGAAAATTATGAAGAATCAGTCTTCTCCATGTTAAAGCTTAACATATAGCTGCAGTAATCAATATGTAGTCCTGGCAGAAAGGCACATAGATCAATGAAACAGCATAGAGAATTCAGAAATAGACCCATACAAATATGCTCAACTGATTTTTAACAAAGATTTGAAAGCAATTCAATGTAAGAGGGATAGCCTTTTCTACGTGGAGCAGGAGTGAACAATGGACATTGCTATGGTCTGAATTTTATTTTCCCCGTATCTATATGTTGAAGCTGTAACTCACAATGTGACTGTATTTTGAGATAGGCTTTTGGGAGGTAATTAAGGTTAAATGTGATTATAAGGGTGGAATCCTAATCCAATAAGATTAATGGCCTTATAAGAAAAGGGAGAGCTGTCTCCCTCCCTGCGCCCTCTCTCCTACCTCTTACTCCTCAGCATGTAATGACACAGTGAGAAGGCCATCTGCAAGCCAAGGAAGCGAGCTCTCACCAGAACCTGACCATGCTGGCACCCTGATCTCAAACTTTCAGCCTCCAGAACTGCTAGAAAATAAATTTTTGTTGTTTAAACCACCCACTGCACAATATTTTATTATGGCAGCCCAAGCTGACTAATGTAGGCATGTATTGGCAAACAACAACAACAACAACAACAACAACAAAAAACCCCAACCTAAACTCCACACCTTATACAAAGATTAACACAAAATATATCATGGATTTAAATGAGAAATGCAAAACTATAAACCTTTTAGAAAGAAACATAGGGGAAAATCTTTGGGACCTAGAAATGAGTGAAGAGTCTTCAGATCTGATACTAAGTGCCTGATCTATTAAAGGAAAAATTAGTGTGTTTTTATCAGCGATAATCAAAATTAAAAATTCTTGCTCTACGAACTACCCTACTAAAAGGATAAAAGACAAATTATGGGCTTGAAGAAAATACTTGTAAATCACTTGACAAGTATTTCTATCTAGAATATATAAAGAACTCTCAAAACTCAGTACTTTAAAAAGTCTACTTAGGAATTGGGCAAATACCTAAACAGACACTTATTAAAGAAGATGTACGGATGGCTGATAATCATGTGAAAAGATGTTCAGCATCATTAGTCATTGGAGAAACACAAATTAAAGCTACAATGAAATATTACTGCACCCCTAAAAATGGCTAAAATAAAAAACAATAATATCAGCAAATGCTGCGAGGATGTAGAGAAACTGAATTATTCAGACATTGTTAGGGGGAATTTAAAATAGTGCAAGTACACTGAAAATGTTTGGAATTTTTTTTTAATTAAACATAAACTTAAAACATATGATCCAGTGATTGTATTTCCAGGTATATATTCAAGAGAAATGTGACATATATTTATCACACAGACTTAGACATGGATGTTCATAGCAGCTTTATTCATAATAATCAAAAGGGGAAACAATTCTAATACCCACCAAATGGTGAATGAGTAATTACAATGTCAGTTGGTGAAAGGATAATTAAATTGTGGCACATACATACAACAGAACATTGCTGAGCAATAAAACTTAATGAAATACTGGTACATGCTACAACATGGATGAAGCTCAAAAACATACTATTTCTACCTCCTGACTCTTCAAAGTCCTTTTGACCTTTTTAATGTGCTTAGCTGAGTGTCTCATGGGGCCCAGAGTGTTTATTGTTAAAAACAAATAGAAAACAAAAGAATATTCAAAGCAGTCTCACACCACATGGATACCAAAGCTCACAATTAGTAATAAGACTGCAGCTCTGTTTTATTGGTTTTCAGAACTGGAGCCAGGCTTAGAGGTACAACTGGGGATGCTTGGCATTGTGCAGCTAGAGGTGAAATTCTTGTAGCCCAGAAGAACCAGAAGAAAACATTTGCCAAGAATGTTTTCCTTAATCAAAGAGGAAATTTCATCAGAGGTTTGATCAGATACCTATAGTGATCAGATAGCTGCATTGTAGTCCCAATCATAACCAGTGCAGACTAGGCCATGTGACCTTGTTATTCTCATGACTCTTAGGGTGGCCTCCAGGAAATCAAAATTTTTCAGTTCTGATGGAAGTATGGGTGCAAAGCTGAAACTTGAAAAAAACTGATAAAAGAGTTTTCCCCAGAAGTGGCCCCTGCAGCTTACTTTGACTCCATACAGTGATCCTGGCCCAGCCCAGACACAGACAGAATTGACAGTTTTCCTTGGCCCTTCTTCTTTTTTTTTTTCTAACTTTCTGGTAGTCACATTTTATTTATTTATTGTTTATTTATTTAAATATATTAATTGACAAAATTGTATATATTCAAGGTGTACAATGTGATTATTCGATACATGGATACATTGTGCAATGATTACCACAACCAAATTAATTAAAACATCCATCACCATCCATGCTGTATATTAGATTCCCAAAACTTGCTCATCTTACAGCTTAAAACTTTTTACCTTTTGACCAACATCTCCCCATTTTCCCCACCCCCAAACCCCTGTTAACCACTGTGCTACTCTCTGTTTCTATGAGTTTGACTTTTTTTGGATTCTACATATAAGTAAAATCATATAGTATTTGTCTTTCTGCATCTGGCTTTGTCACTTAGCATAACGTCCTCCAGGTTCATCCATGTTGTCCCAAATGACAGAATTTCCTTACTTTTTTATGGCTGAATAATATTCTAGTGTGTATGTGTTTGTGCATGTGCCTGTGTAATCACATTTTTAAAATCTATCTGCTGATAGTCATTTAGGTTGTTTCAAAATCTTCGCTATTGTAATCACAATAGCATTAATCAATGCTGAAATGAACATGAGGGTGCAGATATCTTTTTGAGATACTGATTTCACTTCCTTTGGGTATGTACTCAAAAGTGGGATTGCTGGATCACATGGTAGTTCTATTTTTTAAAAAAGAAACCTCCATACTGTTTTCCACAATGATTGTACCAATGATTGTGCCATGAAGAGTGTATAAGGGTTCCCTTTTCTTCATACACTAACACTTGTTACTTTTTAATCTTTTTTTTTTTTTGGAGACAGAGTCTTGCTCTGTCACCCGGGCTGGAGTGCAGTGGTGCGATCTCGGCTCACGGCAACCTCTGCCTACCTCAGCCTCCCAAGTAGCTGAGATTACAGACGTGTGCCACCATGCCCAGCTAAATTTTTTATATATATATTTTTTTGGTAGACACATGGTTTCACCATGTGGGCCAGGCTGGTCTTGAACTCCTGACCTCAGGTGATCCACCTTCCAGAATGCTGGGATTACAGTTGTGAGCCACCATGCCTGGCCTTTTTATCTTTTTGATAAAACCCATCATAACAGGTGTGAAGTGATATCTCATTGTGGTTTTGATTTTCATTTCTCTGATGATTAGTGATATTGAGCACTTTTTCATATACTTGGTCATCGGTAGGTCTTCTTTGGAAAAATGTCTATTTAGATGCTTTGCGCATTTCTTAATTAAGTTTTTTGGTTGTTTTTGCTATTGAGTTGTTTGAGCTCCTTCTACATTTTGGATATTAGTCCCTTATAAGATATATGATTCGCAAATATTTTTTCCCATTCTAATATATTGCCTTTTCATTTTGTTGATTGTTTCCTTTGCTGTGCAAAAGCTTTTTAGTTTAATATAATCCAGCTTGTTTAATTTTCTTTTGTTGTCTGTGCTGCTGGTGTCATATCCAAAAATCACTGCCAAGACCAATGTAAAGAAAGTTTTTCCCTATATTTTCTTCTGGGAGTTTATGGTTTCAGATTTTAAGATTAATGGATTAAGCCTTTAATCCATTTTGAGTTAATTTTTGTATATGGTGAAAGGCAAGGGTCCAATTTCTTCTTTTCTTTTAAATAAAAACAGCCTTGTAAAAGGGGTCCAATTTCATTCCTTTGAAGGTGGATATCTAGTTTTCTCAACACCACTTATTGAAGAGATTTTCCTTTCCTCATTGTGTATTATTGGTTCACCTGTCAAAGATTGGTTGACCATATATACATGAGTTTATTTTGGGGCTCTCTAATCTGTTCCATTGGTCTAAGTCATTACCATACTGTTTTGATTACTACAGCTTTGTAATATATTTTGAAATCAGGGAGTGTGATACCTCCCACTTTGTTCTTTTTTCTCAAGGTTGCACTAGCTATTTAAGGTCTTTTGTGGTTCCACACAAATTTTAGGATTTATTATTCCATTTCTGTGAAAAATGCTATTGTAATCTTGATAATAATTGCATTGCATCTGTAGATCACTTTGGGTAGTCTGGACATTTTAACAACATAAATTCTTCTGATTCATGAACATGAAATATCTTTCCATTTATTTGTGACTTCTATAGTTTATTTCTTCAATATCTTACAGTTTTTAGTATACAGATTTTTTACCTCTTTTGTTAAATTTATTCATAAACATATTATTCTTTTTGATGTTATTGTAATTGGGATTGATATCTTAATTTCATTTTCAACTAATTTGTTCTTAGTGTACAGAAACACACTAATTTTCATATGTTGATTTTGTGTCCTGCACCTTTATTGAATGTATTAGTTCTAAAAGTTTATGGTGGAGTCTTTAGGGTTTTCTTTACATAAGATTATATCATCTGTAAACAGACAATTTAACTTCTTTCTTTCCAATTTGAATGCCTTTTATTTCTTTTTCTTGTCTAATTGCTCAGGCTAAGACTTCCAGTAGTATGTTAAATAGAAGTGACAAGAACAGGCACCCTTGTCTTGTTTCTGATCTAAGAGGGAAAGATTTCAGTTGTCACCATTGAGAGTGATGTTGACTGTGGCTTCGTCGCATATGGCCCTTATTATGTCGAAGTATATTTCTTCCATACCTAATTTGATATGACTTTTTATCATGAAAGGATGTTGAATTTTGTCAAAATTTTTTTCTGTATCTGTTGAGATGATCATTCTGTTAATGTGGTGTATTCATATCTATTGGTTTACAAATGTTAAATTATCCTTTTCTCTCAAAGATAAATCTCACTTGATCATGGTATATGATCCTTTTAATGTGATGTTGAATTTGGTTTGCTAGAATGTTGTTGAAGATATTTGCATCTATGTTCGTCAATATATTCATCAATATTCACTTATATAACAACTATTTACATAGCATTTATATACATAGGTATTATAATTCCTATGTATATAAATAATTATATATTATGTATATAATTATATATTATGTATATAATTATTATATACTATTATAATAATTTAATATGTATATAAATGTATATGTATATAAATTATTGTATAATATTAATTATTATTATTAATATTATAATACAAAGGTATTACAGATAATCTAGAAGTAATCTAGTAATCTAGAGGTGGGCAGATGTGTATAAGTTATATGCAAATACCATGCCAGTTTACATAAGGGACTTGAGTATCCATGGATTTTGGTAAATGCAGGTGGTCCTGGAACCAATCCCCCATGTGTACTGAGGGATGACTGTATATGGTTTAGTGAGGCCTTTGGATTGACTCCACTGCAAAGGCCATGACCCTGGTTGAGTTCTGAGAATATGGTCAAATTTGACTTTGTAAAAGAAGTTAAAGTCATTGTAATGAGGTTTTCATAGGTGAACATGGAGAAGGATCAAAATCAGTTCTTTCTTTCTCCATGGACCTGGTGTAGAGCTGTGATCTGACTGTAATCAAGGAACATGCAGGGCGACCTCACCTGTGGGTTGCCACAGGCTCCCGCAAAAGTCTCAGGATTCACCTGACCCCAGTTTTTGGTTGGACAGACTAATGGACATCTCTGAGGGAATGTAAGAAGTGAGGCACAGAAGACCACATACTATATGATTCCATTTTTATGAAATATCCTGAAAAGGCAAATACATATGGACAGATAGTAGATTATTGTTTGTTTGGGGCCCACAATGGGAACCAGCAGTGAAAATGGGCACAAGGAATTTTTCAGAGATAATGAAAATGTTCTAAAATTTGAATGCAGTTATAGTTGAATAACTCAGCAAATTCAATAAAAATCACTGAGTTTATATTTAAAATGAATGAATTGTATGGTACATAGATTATACCTCAAGAAAGTCGTTAATTTTTAAGAATGACTCAACTTAAAAGTCATTTACAGAAAAACTGTTAACAAATGAATAACATTAGTATGCAGGTAGAGCTTGAAGACAATTCTCAGATAATAGAAGTTGGGCATACTCTTTGTTATATGCCCTCTAGTTCTATCCCAGGGTTGGTATTTCTTGATGCTAAGATGCTGCATTGAAATCAAAATTTAACATGGAGAATCACAAAGGCAGTGGGTCTACCAGTAACACATGGCACATTGTATATTTAAAATTTCACACCTCGTTTGCTCAGAGTTGTCATTATTAAATAATGGGTTTTCTGAGAAAATTACACACATATTAGAATTTCCATGTTAAATTAATGAATTAAGACAGTAGCAGAAATCAGAATGGTCCATTCTATACAAATGTCCTGATTTCACTAGAGACATTTCACCCAGTGCAAAATCCTAAGTGTAGTTTTACAGTTTTACTCAGTTCTCTGGCATTCTCGAATTCGCTTCGAGGCTTGAAAAGTGTGGGAAATATCTGTTTCTTGCAAAGAAGTTCAGCTATCCTCAGGGAATAAATGAGCCAAGCTAGAGAATACTGGTGAGAGATCAACACATGGGTTGCCATTATTTGTTTGCTAAAAATATGTTTACTGTAGTAGAACATATTTTCAGGCAGCCAAGATGTGGAATCCTCAGTTCATTCATTTAACTCTCCATCTGTTCAGTGCTCTGCCACTTTTATTTTTATAACATGAAGATATTTCCATCTCAATAGAACAAGAGATTAAGAATAGAACTATACTGGCCGGGCGTGATGGCTCACGCCTGTAATCCCAGCACTTTGGGAGGCCAAGGTGGATGGATCACAAGGTCAGATTGAGACCATCCTGGCTAACACGGTGAAACCCCATCTCTACTAAAAATACAAAAAAATTAGCCAGGCCTGGTGGTATGCGCCTATAGTCCCAGCTGCTTGGAAGGCTGAGGCAGGAGAATCGCTTGAATCTGGGAGGTGGAGGTTGCAGTGAGCCAAGATCAGGCCACTACACTCCAGCCTGGGTGACAGAATGAGACTCTGTCTCAAACAAACAAACAAACAAACCAAAAAAACTGTATTTTTTGTGTATATATATATAAAATGTAATTATTATATGGCATATCTACATCTGTAAAATATATAGATAAATTATTATATGCAATAGCCTCAGAGGGTTTTATTCCTAAAGATAACTATTTTTTTTCCATTTTTCATTCTAAAAAGAAAACTCTGTCTTTATGGCCATGAATGATCTTATATCAAATATTTGAAAACCATTTATGAAAAAGAGTTGACTCCTATACAAGCTCATCTAAAGGAGCAATTTAGGTAATGAAAAGGAGGCTTCAGTTCCAGTCCTGGCTGTGTCTCATCACATGGGCCAGCCACTTGCCATTTTTAGGCTTCCTTTTTCTCATCTTTGAAGTACTGTAGGAGATTTTAGGGAAGATAATCTGTAAAGTGCCTTTTAGGTCTAATATCTATGATTCAGAGACTTTATTGTTTTTTAAATGGATATTTTCAACAGACTATTGAACAATAAAATGCTATGTAACATCGTGCAAATACAATGGTCTTTGGAGTCAGAATTCTGCCTCTGTCACTTTTAAATTTGTGACCTTGGTCAAGCTATTTCATAGTTCTGAACCCTAGTTTCACTGTTTAAGCATCCCTGCCTCTGCCTCTTTTAAATTTGTGACCTTGGTCAAGCTACTTCATTGTTCTGAGCCCTAGTTTCACTATCATTAAACATGAGGTGAATCCTTCATACTTCATGAGGTTATACTTCACAGAGTTGGAGTATGGTTACCAGTAGCTGCTGCGACAGATAAATCCCCAAGTATCACAAGATTACACAAAAGAAGTTTATTCCTTGCTCGTAAAAGATTACAGTGGTGAAAATGGACCACTTTATGGTCCTGCCATTATTAACACATAGTTCCCTAAGTTGCTGTGGAAAGGGAAAGGTAGGGTGGGGAGGCATATATGCTGTCTAACCACATCAGCTCTGCTCAAATTTCACTGGCAAAAACTAATCACATGGCCACGCCTAGATAAACTTATAGGGATACTTACAAGAAATATTGTTCAGGTTGGGCGGCCAATTTCTAGAAACCACTCCTTACTATGGAAGGGAAGTACACATTTCATGTGGAAAACTAGCTATCTCTACCACAGGTTGTTAGAAAAATTAAATAAGCCTTTATTTGTAAAGTGCCTTGTATAGTGCCTATTATAACATAGGCACTAAAAAATTGCTAGATATAGAGAAAAAAAGAGCTTAAAAATTTAAAATTTATATAATTATAAAAAGTATATAATGCAAGATAAAAAGTGGTATCATCAGAGAGTCCATTTAAAGTGTAATAGGACATTGTATTAATTTCCTACGGTGCTGTAACAAATTACCAGAAACCTAAGGGCTTAAAGCAATAAAAGTTTATTATTTTACAGTTCTGGAGGACAGAAGTTTGAAATGAGTCTTACAGGGCTAAAATTCAGATGCCAGCAAGACAGCATTCCTCTGGAAGTTCTAGGGGAGCATCCACTCTTTGACTTTTCCAGCCTCTAGAGAGCAATCTTTGGCTCATAGCTTTATCAGCCCAGCCTCTGCTTCCATTGTCACATTTCCTTCTCTGACCCAGAACCTCTTGTCTCCCTCTTATAAGTATTAGGCCCACTCAGATGATCCTGAAAATAATCTCCCCATCACAACATCCATACATTAATCGCATCTGTAATGTCTCTTTTGACTTGTACGGTAACATAGTCACAGGTTCTGGAAATTAGGAGGTAGACATCTTTGGAGGGTCATCATTTGGCCTATCACTGTCATCAAAGGAAGGAGAGACACTGGCAATAATTTTGGATTCAGAGAGTGACAGGGGCTTTAAAACCAGCTAAGTCTTGTGCCAACTAAATGACATTGAAATTTATCTCACTTTTCTCTTCTGTAAAATAGGAATGGCATTAGTAATGTAACCAAATGCAGGTCCAACTGCTCACTGCTTGCAGAGTCCAATAGCAAGAGCAAGGTATGGTAGAAACACCTGTGGCCAACAATCATATGAAAAAAAAACTCAACATCACAGATCATTAGAGAAATGCAAATCAAAACCACAATGCCAGACCATCTAACACCAGTCAGAATAGCTATTATTAAAAAGTCAAAAAAATAACAGACGCTGGCAAGGTTGTGGAGAAAAAGGAATGCTTATACACTATTGGTGGGAGTGTAAATTGGTCCAACCATTGTGGAAAGACAATGTGGTGATTCCTCAAAGACCCAGAAACAGAAATACCATTTGACCTAGCAATACCATTACCGGGTCTATACCGGAAGGAATATAAATCATTCTATTATAAAGACACATGCACACATATATTAATTACAGTACTATTCACAATAGCAAAGACATGGAATCAACCCGAATGCTCATCAATGACAGATTGGATAAAGAAAATGTGGTACATATACACCATGGAATACCACGAAGCCATAAAAAGGAATGAGATTATGTCCTTTGCAAGGTCATAGATAGAGCTGGAGGCCATTATCCTTAGTAAATTAATGAAGGAACAGAAAACCAAATACCACACGTCCTCATGTAAAAGTGGGAGCTGAATGATGAGAACACATAGAGAACAACAGACACTGGGGCCTGTCAGAGGGTAGAGTGTGGGAGGAGGGAGAGGATCAGAAAAAATGACTAATGGGTATAGGCTTAATACCTGGGTGACAAAATAATCTGTACAACAAGCCCCCATGACACAAGTTTACCTATGTAACAAACCTGTACTTGTACCCCTGAACTTAAAACAAAAGTTAAAACAACAACAACAAAAAAAGAAAGTGACTTTATTAACCAAAACTAGTCATGAGGAAGTGGCTGGATTCCTATTAAAAGTAATCACTTCAAACCTTAGGCTGGGAAGAGGGGCTTAAAAGGGGGAACTGGCAATGGAAATTATGCGAGATGGGTGCTGAGTACAAGGTCTGTGTGTCTTGTTCCATGGCTATCTGGAGCCACGGTCTGGCATCTGGAGTGAGGGCTGGCATCATCTCAACAATGGCCACGTTATTGACTAACTTCCTTGAGAGAATCTCTGGAATCTTGCAGCTGGGTCTCTATGCGTGGTCTGTCTCAAGATTGGCCCCCTTAGAAGTTCTAAATAAGCACATAATTAGACACAAGCATACAATTATTAATAAATGTGCATGGTGTAAGGGAGTGTATGGCGAGAAAGGGAGGGACTTGGTGTTTCAAAGAAAGTACACATCAAGGCTATATTTTAAGGCTAAGGAGGAGGAAAAATGTTTCTGCAGTAAGCTTCAAGGTTATGTCTTGAGACTAGGGAAAAAAGAAAAAGGAAAAGAGATTTTCAAATGCATTTGCAATCTAGACTATTTGGTTACGGTAGCTACTTCACAGGCCTACTTTAAGGATTTAAGAGATAATGCATGCAAATTGCCTGGCAAATGTACATGCTCAGGACAGGAGAATTCATTATTATTTTACTATTTCTTGGCATAGGCTGGACCCTATCTATACTACTTTGCCATCCTAGGATTCTGTAACATCACAGCTAAAACAGAAACAAGTACTATGGTTTACTTTGTACCAGGAGAGTATAAAGAGACTATCAATCATGTTCAGCATTCTGACCTTTTCTTTGCAGGAAAGCAGATGAATGCGTTTTAGAAAAATTTGCAAATAGCGAAGATTGAGCAATATGGTTCTTCTGCTCTGCTGGCAACCCCTATCTTCCAGAATGTCGTCATGACCTGAGTTTTCTGATGACTGTGGTTTTATTATATACTTGATTACTCACAAAACCATTTAGCAGGGAGTAAGAAAGCTGAAGTATTTTCTCCCATGAGATAGACGGTTACACAAATTGATCACAAGAATTTGGCCACAATGAGCAGGAGTAAGAATGACTTCCTGGAAGGCCATCCCCTAACACAAGCACATCAGGGCTTCAGGGCGAATACAAGGCTCGTCCCCACCCACCCCACCCCACGTTAAGGTAGTTTAGAAGCTTCTTTTGTTATTTCTGCCACAGATATAAGATGTCATTCCCAGGCTGGGCGGGGTGACTCACGCCTGTAATCCCAGAACTTTGGGAGGCCAAAGCAGACAGATCACCTGGGTTCAGGAGTTCGAGACCAGACTGGCCAACATGGCGAAGCCCCATCTCTACTAAAAATACAAAAATCAGCCAGGCGTGGTGGCACACACCTGTAGTCCCAGTTACTTGGGAGGCTGAGGCAGGAGAATCGCTTGAACCCATGAGGTGGAGGTTGTAGTGAGCCAAGATAGGACCACTGCACTCCAGCCTGGGTGACAGAGTAAGACTCTGTCTCAAAAAAAAAAAAAAAAAAAAAAGTCATTCCCAGTTAGAGAAATCTTCTGCAACATATTCCACCACACACTAAAAATTTGTAGGCTTAAGTTTATCATAAACAATTTTGTTTCTAAGAGCAGTGATTATATTAGAGTTAGCTGTCAGGCAGGGTCTAGTCGTCCAGAATGGCTTCAAAGTTCAGCAAAACAACTGTAATAATATACATAAGGACAACTCCATCATAACATGAGGAAGCCCCCTCCCAAGGTTAGCTTTGGATGTGAAAACTCTTAAGAGCAGTCCTTTCGTGTAATCGAAGGAAGTCTGATTGCTCACATAGATGGGGAAGTCCAAAGGAAAGGAGTGAAGGGGAGGGGTCTCCTGGAGAGGGTCCAGAAGAGAGAGGGTAGTGACTACATGAGTCTTTTGTAAAGGGGAAGTCCTGCTGGTGGAGGACAGCTCCCATCAGGAAGTTTAAAAGAGGCAGTAAGACTGCGCCTGAACATACAGGGCACAGTGAAAGAATACACATCTCATTGTACAGGAGTCATCAGACACAGGTGGGAGATGAGACAGTCTTCACTGGCACTAAATCAAATGTCAGTTGGGGTTCCAAGCTTTTTTCCTATTTCTTACTTATTGTCTTCACAATTCATCCATGATATTTGGGTTAGCACGGCAAACTCCAAGGATTCCCGTAAACAAACTTGTACTTGACAGAAAAAATTTGCAAAGCTAACTCAAAATAATAGTTATTATCATAATTATTATTAAAATAGCAATTATTATTATAAGCTTTCTGAAAGATAGTGGGGAGTCAATTGCCCCAGGCAGAAGGAGACATCCAGAAAAATCAGTGGAATCCACGGAGTCTCTTGGAGTAATAAGATTGACTATTTTGCTTTGTTGTTTTATTTGTTGAACTCTTCTGAAGACTGTTCCTGTGTTATTGACCCACATGCAGGAGGAGGTTTCCATCAAGGTACAAACTCCACTTTGAGATGCTAGTAGATAGTCTAATGCTAAGCTGTTCTCAGCTACCATGGCAACCACAGAGCTTTGTCCCTTATTCACAGCATCTAAAGCTTGGGCTTCTTGACATATGTGGTCTTCTGGGAGTGTGACACTGTCTGTGTGGCTCCTCTGAGTTGAGCCTGTTTTAGAGAATTAAAAATGCCTAAATTTATGCCTGTTATACTAAAGATTGTGATGAGGCCCAACATAATAGGTTAAAAAAACACCCTTCCCTCTTGAGGGAAGGCTGTATGAGAAATGTGAATTCTCTAGTTGGATGCAGGGTGACCTGGCTACTATGTGGCCCTAGGACACAGGCCAGGCTACATAGGTTAGAAGAAAGTGGGGTATAGGAGCAGAGTATGAGTGCCTGGTGAGCAGGAGTATCGTCCCAGGAGAATGAGTGGCCCAAAGGTCTTAAAAGGGGGGATTTCTGGTGAGCAAATTTATACCGATGCAGATGTGTGATAGCCAACTTATTTCAAAGTGGGGGTGGAGTAGGGGAGACACAGCTGGATATATTGGTTGGTAGGGGAAGTTGAGGAGGGCAAGGGGTCCTTGAAGTGAAGATTAATGAGGAAGCACCTAGGAAGGTCAAGGGAGTGCTGGGGGAAGTACAGGGGATGGAGAAGATGACAAGTATTTAGTACAAGTATCATAGATCTCCAAAGGGACAGAAATTAGTTGAATAAGTTGTGGTCCAGGCTGGGGCCCTTGGTAGCAAGCCCAGTGTTGCTGGAAGTTTAGCTCTCGGGTGACATACCCTGTTACTGTTACATAGATATTGTCCATCAGGTTCAGGAAAGTAGGGAGTGGAGATGGTGACAGCGAAGTAGTGGAGAGTGAAGGATGGATAGTTGGATGAGGGGGAATCAGAGCTGATGTGGCTGTAAGAGTAGGGATAGTGGAGATGGGAATCCTGATTCAGGTTTTAGATATTAAGGGGAGAAATAAAATGGTAAGACCAGTGGGTATAGATCAGCTAATTTGCAGGGTGATAGCTCATACCAGGAGAAAACCCTATGAAAAGAGAAAAGAGTGAGTCAAGCACAAATCTAAATAATTAAATGGGAGTTCCTTGATGCAGCAGGTTAGGTAATAGGCAAAGACAGACCCCTGTATAGAGTCATTCCTCAGGCTTCGGTATAGTCTAAGCAGGTAAGGTCCTGCCAATAAGCATTAGCTTCTTGTAGGAAAGGGGAATGGAGAGAAATTGTATAGGAGAGGAATGGAGTCACAGAGACTCCATAAGCAGAGTGGATGACACCTGTAATTAAGCAATCACAATAACTATGGTGACATTGTCATCAGTTAGGTTGGGAGCAGAGAGTAAGCACGTTGCATAGATTCAAACTTGGGGCCAAGGGTAAGTCATGAGGCAAGAGTATGGAAGAACCATGGTTAGGTTTGGGAGAAAAGAAGGGGTCAGGGAGCAGAATCTTGACTTGGCAGTGTTCACCATGGAATTGTGTCATCACTCGAGTTACCAGTGTCAAGGTTAGGACTATAAGTCACACTGAAATTATCATTTGGGACACTTTGGTCTGCTGGTCTGAGGTCATTATTCCTGAGACGATGGCCATTGTCTGTGCTGTTGACTACAAGTGACCTGTGGATGGTACCCTTAAGGGCCCTAGTGTGGCTGGGGCAAAGGGTTTCTGATATGAACCCTTGACTAGCCCCAAGATCTTGAGGCAAAGATATACATTTGATAAATTATTACAAATTTGCCTGAAGATGAGTATCCCTTTGCCCCTTAAGAAGTTAAGGAGTACCTTTTACAGGGAAGCTGTGGATTGAGTGACTGCCCCACACAAGTAGGGATGACAGCATCGGCAGAAAGAAGCCTATGGTATTTGACATTGAGTTAGAGTCACAGAATCCCAGACCCAGGCTTGAGCCAAATGAAGCACAGCCAGGCCAAGATAAACAAAAATATTCCATGGTGATATTTTTGGGCTTTTGGCATAGGCTGGCATGCTGGGGAATGCCTATTTATTATGATGGTAGTCATGGTCATTATGATCCTGGGTCTTGCAGTAGTCACCCATTCAAAATAAATATAATGGAATGGAGCCAGAGATGCATCCTATTTAGAAATGTTGGCATTGGAAACTAATTTAAAATCTTATTTTTCTTACCGGAAGATCCACACAATTGTAGGTATGGGACAAGGCACCAAGATTTTCATTCCTAGCAAAGAGGGACTTACAGCTAGCAAACCTTCAAAACTATCATATTAGGGAAGG
The DNA here is from genome assembly GCF_000001405.40 of Homo sapiens. NCBI lineage: Eukaryota > Metazoa > Chordata > Mammalia > Primates > Hominidae > Homo > Homo sapiens. Next base: position 67,983,717 of record NC_000001.11, on the reverse strand, counting down.
ACAACAAGCTTTGGCAGAGAGTTTTCAGGGACACAGTATTACATGTTTGGGGAACAAGTCCTCTCAATTTTTGGTGAGTTCCATAATATTCACTGCTGATCCAGAAGACAATCTAGTGTGGATTGTGCCAGGATTGAAAAGGGGTAGCAGAATCAGAGGTATAATTGAGAAGAGGAATTTTGCTTAAATATTACGGACTCATAGGTGAGAAGCATACTCTTTTGTGGTTTTAAGGGGGAGAAGAAGAGCTCTTGTTACATGTTGGTGGGATGTCATAGGCTCTAAAGCTTGAAATTGCAGATTAACTAAGGCAGTGGGCAAAAGAGAGGTCAATTTGGGAGACCATTATCCATTTGGTAATTTTAAGAGAATTTCCTTGAGTAAGCCATTATGTCTGTCTATTAGGCCACATGCCTGTGGACAATAGGACAAATGAAAGTTCCAAATGATGCCGTGTTGTAAGTAAAGCCCACACCTGAAATGAATGAGCAGCAACATGTGTACCCTGTTCAGAGTCAGTGATATCTGGGGGCACAAAGAGAGCTATCTAAGTTTTGGTGACACCTGTAATTGTGGTGTTGGCAGTAGAATGCTGGAAAGGATAAGACAAGAATATGCATACATAAATATCAGCCATCATTGAGGAAGAGTAATTTTTGCCAGCAGACTGGGGCAACAGTTCAATAAAATCATCTTGCCAATGAGAGAAGGAATGCCCATCTCTTGGTATGGATCCCCATTGGCAATCCCCATTTCCCTTGGTATGAAACCAGTGGTGGGACAGGGAATAGAGATAACATTAGGGGACTTGGGTTTGGGCTAGAGCCAGTAGCATGGCAGTGTCATGATGCTTGACCCAAAGTTACTTGGGTCCCAGGGCTATGATAACCAGAGATCTCATAAGCCCATCCAGCCAAGGACAAGAGCATAGGGTAATATCTGAATTTATTTGAAAAATTTGAGCAAGTTGGTCATCTATTTCATTAAAGACTGCCTCTTCTGTGGGGGCCTTGCCATAAGCTGAGACATGAGAGATTTTAACTATAATGTGTGAGGCCTGAGCAGCAATATATTCCCAAGGTGTTTGAGTTCCTTGGACTCAATGTCCAGTGACACCCCTAGTTGTTGTTTCCCCTTTTTAAATTTTGAAGTTTTGCTGAGCACAAAACTGACCTAGGATCCAGCATCAATGAGGACTGTTAAAAATTGAGAATTATGTGGAGACTAATATATCACCAATGAAATATATGAGCATGTGTCCACAAGAGATGGCCAGGGTATCCAATGACTTTCAGGTCGCTAAGGAAGGCAAAAGGCAAGGGGCTTCCATTGGTGGAGGTCAGAGAAGGCATTTGGTATAGATGTGGGGTTTGCTGGGGCCTATAGGAGGAGGGCCTTGGGTTGTAGCAGTTGTTGGCATGGAGCTGGAGAAGCCCTCGCAATACAAGGAAATAGAATAGCATTAGAAGCAAGGAGCAATAAAATGACCTGTTGGAGTAGAGCTTGCCACTGGTGGACTTTCCCAAAATCAAATCATTAGAGAATCCTAAACCCCTGAGCCTTCAGTGCCAAACATTTGGAATGGGGTCTTGATGGGGATATTATTTGTAAGACCTTTGTTTTTATTTTTGTAATCATTGTGATATTACAAATTTTACTGGGGCAACACTGTGTTTGAATTTGGTATATGGTGGCATCTGGGTCACAGGTTCCTGTGCAGCCAGTAGTTCTCATCTGTTTACAGCCTGGTGGCCTGGCTTATCAAATGCAATAAGGAGGCTCAATCTATGGGAGGAGATACTTGTAAGAATAGCTGGAGGATGTGTGAGTCTAAAGGGGACTGTTTGGGGCTGGCAAGGACCTCTGTTCCTTCAGGGAATTTGCTATAATGATAGATCACAATAGGACCAAATAGAGCAATGTCTGTTTTCTGTAATTATTTGCAACTTTCCTCTAACCTAGTTTGACTACTGAGGACATGCACATTAGGGACAGTGGCAATTAGATGGGCCATCTTTCACGCTACCAACACCCACTGGAGGGAAGAGAAGGTCAGCAGCTAAGGCTGCCCACCCAGCATGAGAGGTTTGGGCTGGCTGTTTGAGGAGCTAGGTCAGAGATCTCGATAGATTGCTAATGCGGAGACACTGGCCATTTGTCTATTATCAGGATAGGTTATGTTGAGTGCTGAACCTGTATGGAAAACATTTAATAATCAATAGTTCCCCCTTTAAAAAAATCAGCTTTATGAAATATAATTGGATTTGATATGCTTATACCTCATGATTACTTCAGTTAAGATAATTAATATATCCATCCCCTCAGATAATTCACTATTTTTGGTGTGGTGAGACCACTTAAAATCTGTTCTTTTAGCACATTTCAAGTAGATAACACAGTATTATTAACTATAGTCACCAGGCTATACATTAGATGACTAGAACTTATTAACCCTACGTAAGATAACTGAAACTTTATACCAACATCTTCCTGCTCCCCACCCCCACCTGCCTCCCATTCTCTGCTCTGCTGCTATGAAGTTGACTTTTTAAGATTCCACATATAAGTGAGATTACACAGAATTTTTCTTCCTGTGTCTGGCTTATTTCACTTAGCACAAAATCTTCCAGCTTCATCAATGTTGTCACAAATTGCAGGATTGCCTTCTTTTTTGAGGCTGAGTAATATTCCAGTGTGTGTGTGTATGCACACTCCCACAATTTCTCTATCCATTCATCTGTCAACAGACACTTAGATTCTTTTCATATCTTGACTATTATAAATAATTATTCAATAAGCACGGGAGTGCAAATATCTATTTTACATACTGAGTTTATTTTCATGAATATATAGCCAGAAGTGGGATTGCTGGTTCATATGGGAGCTCTGTTTTCAATTTTTATCAAAACTCCATACTGTTTTCCACACTGGCTGTACCAATTTACATTCTCACCAATGGTGTACAAGGGTTCCCTTCTCTCCACATCCTTACTAACACTTGTTATCTTCCATCTTTTTAATAATGGCCATCCTAACAGACATAAGGTTATATCTCCTTCTGATATTAATTTGCCTTTCCCTAGTGATCAGTGACACTGAGCATCTTTTCATATACCGGTTGAGTAGGGCCCTTTTTCATCTTTCCGCTAAATATAATCCTTAAATAAATGTTGAATTTCCTAGCAGGTTAAATCCCTGGTCTCAAGCTATATTACAACAGCCGTTCTTTGGTAAAAGCAAAGAAAGATGTATTACTCCCAAGGTGAGGAGCAGAGAAATGGTTCTCTGGGAAAAGGTGCAGAACAGAGTATAGCAAGTGTATCATTTTATGGAGCTATAGTCCCACCAGCCAGAGGGCAGCTTATTGTCTTGAAGCTTAATAGAAGCAACAACAGCATGCCTGTGCTTGTGGCAGGAGTGGTGGTGAGTGCACCTTATTAACTGTTGTGCAGGAGGCAATGGACACAGGCAGGAGATTAGACTTAGAGGGTGCTGGCCCCAAATCAAATGTAGATAGGTCCAAGTTTCTCTCCTGTGGTCTACGTAATATAAAGATGACTAATGTCATAAAGTCTTTGAGATTAAAAAAAAAAGTAGACACACAAAAATATTTAAGAAACTAGAAAGTGAAATAATGATATAAAGTATTATGATTTTGTAGCTGAGTTATTCAAGCTGATACTCATTCATTGAATAACAATTACCAAATCACAATTACAAACACTGGCTGGCATGAATAATGAATGAATGATACAAAACAGGAAATTGCAAGAAACAAATCAAGAAAGGCAATTTCTGAAGTATACTAGGATAAATAAGATATGAAAGACAGATACGTCTATCACATAAAGGGGGAGGAAGAGAGGGAGAAGGAGAGACGGAGAAAGAGATTCATTCTGTAAGATGGTTATAAGTAAAAGAATAATGAATACAAAGCAGAGAATGAGGTATGCCATTTCTCACTGGAGCAGAGGAGCCAAAGATGAGAGGGGGTGGGAATTCTCAACCTTCCCCACTGTACTTAACAATTTCCTCTAATGTCTCATGTTGAGTTTTCATTTTTTTTCACATTAGCATTTAGTCCTTTTTAAAATTCTTGAGATAATCACAGTAATTATTCTGAGGCTAAAATCCACATGATTAGTATATCAGGACTGGCTGTATGAATTTTAGAGGAGAATCAAGGTTAAAAGCTGAGGTTATCCTTTCCTTTTCCAAGCTGGAGATAACTACCTCCCACATCTGAATTTTCACGTCATTTATCTATTGTGCTTTGTCCTCTGGTATTTGTATAAAGTTGAGTCACCTCCAACAGACTGTGAATTCCTAGAAAAGGAGGACCGCATCTCTCTCATCTTTGATCTCCACTGACTAACACAATAGCTAGCATATTGCAGGTGTTATTAAGTGCCGTTGAATGAAGAATGGAAGAATAAATTACTATTAGATAAACTTGCCTATTCCTTGGCTATTTGTTTTGGACATTTCTGTGGTGGATGGGAATGTCTATCCAGAAGAAATCACTAAGCTGGGGATATTAGGGAAGAATATTTGACCACAATTTTTTACATTCTATGAAATTAAAAAAAAAATACCAGTTTTAGTCACAAGTACTGGTGACACACTCTGCCAAGAACTCGGAACACTTGGAGGATTGCTCAGACCTGAGTGATTTTCAAGATCATTTAACAGGATTTGGAGAAAATTAATCAGTTTCAACTGGATATGTATGAAGGGCAGGGGCCAAAGTTGTACAAGGCGGATTCCTGTCTTGAGAGAACATAAGTGTTCTTGGAAATGTAAGACTTGAACAACAAGAGTAAACTTTAAATCAAGAGCCAAACTGAGAGGTCAAGAAAAAGGAGAGGTACCTGAGCACTGAGAATCAAAGTGGAAGGCTGACATTAGTTTCAGTGTGAATTCGTGGAAAAAGAATGAAAGTTGCTGTCATAAGACCCTGGGGTCCCAGTTACATGAATGAATGATCTGTGAAAGTTGCATCCCAGCCAGGAGCAGTGGCTCACGCCTGTAATCCCAGCACTTTGGGAGGCCGAGGTGGGCAGATCACGAGGTCAAGAGATCAAGACCATCTGGCCAACATGGTGAAACCCCATCTCTACTAAAAATACTAAAAAAAAAAAAAAAAAAAATTAGCTGGGTGTGGTGGCACGTGCCTCTAGTCCCAGCTACTCGGGAGGCTGAGGCAGGAGAATCCCTGGAACCCAGGAGGCAGAGGTTGCAGTGAGGTGAGGTCGCACCACTGCACTCCAGCCTGGCAACAGAGCAAGACTCCATCTCAAAAAAAAAAGAAAAAAAAATGTTGCATCCCAAGCTTGTTTTCTCATCTGCACAAGGGGTTAATAATGCATACCATGTTTACTTGCAAGAGTGCTTTGTAAATCAAATGAGGTCATCCATATGAATGTATTTTTTAGGTAGGAATGCTGGGCAAATGACAGTTAATATGGATGGGGCTTCGAGGATGGGTAACATTAAGACTGGCAAAAAGAAAGGGTACAGTGTGCCGTAGAGATGAAGAGCATGAGCTATGAAGCGTAGAAGTAAAAAGGGAGAGTAAAAATTCTAGCCTGATTGGAGCATGCTATATAATGGGGACATATTTATACTAAGAAAAAATCTTAATCTGAAATTCAGATTTAACTGTGTGTCCTGTATTTTTATTTGCTAAATCTGGCAAACCTACCTGGGCTTCCTCCAGCTCCGTTGCTAAAGTACAGCCCATCTATCAAGGGCCAAATGCTATTTCTTCCACTGGGTTTTCTGTTTGTCCTGGTTAGGAGTTTTTTCTCTTCAGCAAGAAGGGAGAAGGGGTAGAACACCTGTGTAATTTAGTGTTTAAGAGCTTCGGCTCTGGGGTCATGTGTCCAGGACTTAGAGTTCATCTCTCTTGTTGACCAGTAGTGTGATCCAGGAAAAATTTTACGTCTCTGGGCCCCAGCTTCCTCTTCTGTATAAAAAGAGTTCCTACACCATGGGATTATTTTGAGGATTAAGTAAACTTCACACACGTTACTTGGCAGAGAGTAATTGTTCAGTAAAATGTTCAGTATTGTTTTCATGGTAGCTTTTCCTCTTGAGACTCTCCTCCTGTCTTTTGCAGGCACTGCTCTCTTCTGATTTTCCACCTGACTTTTCCCCCTTCATGGACTCTTCATCCTTTGCTCATTCCATAAATGCTGACATTGCCCAGGGTTCTGTTCTCAGCCCTTAACTTTTTACTTAGAATGTTTTACCTGCATAATCTCAACAATTCATCCATCCATAACATTCCTGAGCACATACTATATGGAAGGCACCCAACATACAGAAATGGAAACACATAGATCTGCCATCAAGGAACATATAGTTTAGGAATGCAGAGAAGTTTACACAATTAAAATAAAACCCATTTTATCCAGTCCCATGGTGTTCCTAGCATCTATCTGCTACTAACTAAAAATCTTGTATTTCTTTCCCAACTATTTTCCTGTATTCCTAATCCTACTGTCTCCTGGACTAACTGCATAGCTCACAGACACGTCAACCTCACCAAGCCCAAAGTAGAATCCCAGCCCCTTTGTCCTTTCATCCTCCTTACCCTGGTAATTATACCACCCAGCCAAAAAAAATCACTGAGTCTTTTCCTCTTTCTTCTTCCTTCATGCAATTGGAAACAGTGTCTATCTAGTCTACTTTTTACTCTTGTTATTGTTGTTTTGTACCATTTGTGGGGGGCAGAATTCTAAGAGGACCCTTCCTAAGATTTCCTGCCATGTACACACCATGCATAATCCCTGGGACTGTGAATATGAATAATTTTACTCCTGATATTAGGTTAGGTAATATCATATAGATAACTTTAAGGAAAGAGGTTATCTGGGTAATCTAAACATCCAAGTCCTTTAAAAGAAGAGAGTTTATTCAGGCTGGTCACAGAAAGGGAAATCAGAGAGATGCAATCCAGCCAACATGAAGAAAATGAAGAGCTATGAAGTATAGCTCTAAAAGAAAATGAAGATCCATGTCGAGAACTCTAGATGGAGAGGGACAGCTTCTAGCAGCTTAGAGTGGCTACCGTGGGACAGCTACTAGGAAAATTGTGACTGCAGTCCTACAACTGCAAGAAAATAAATTCTGCCAACAGCCTGAATGAGGTTGGAAGTGGACCTCTGGCCCCAGATGAGAGCTATAGCTCTAGCTGACGCTTTGGTTTCAACTTTGTGAGACACTGTCCAGAGAACATACCCACAGCAGGCCCAGTCTTCTGAACTACAGAATTGTGAGCTAACAAATGGGTGCCGTTTTAAGTCACCAAGTTTGTGATGTTTTGTTATGCCATGATAGAAAACTAATCCATCATCACATAGACATGCCACTTTCTCCACTTTTTCATGTCAATGTGGACTTTGTTCTCACCTGGACTACTGCAGCTCTCTCTTCACTAGACTCCTTGTCAGTGCATTGAAACCTTCTCAAATCATGCAGGTTTCATACGATAGAATGATCTCTTTAGAATGTAAATTTGCCCACTGAACCCCATTGCTTAAAAGCCTGCCATAGCTTCACTAAGAGGTAAATTCCGCAATGTTTTAAACACGGTTTAAACATACCTTTAGTATTTTTCCTGTGCCCATCCCTGTAGCCTATATTTAGACCTGCAGCCTCTCCAGGCTGGGTCATGCCCCTGCCCCTCTGCTCTTGCCATTCCCTATATGGACATATCCTTCTCCACCTCTGCCTTTCAAAATGGAACCAGGCTTAGCAACTCTATGCCTTTCTTGGTCATCCTTGCAAAATTAAACTCTTTCTTTTCTATCCCCACAATATCTAATTAAGATTTCTATCATAGCACCTAAAATAATCCTTTGCATGAATGTTTGTTTATATATCTGTAACCCATTGTTGAGAGGAAAGATTATACCTGGTCCCTACAAAAGTCCCACTCGTGGTATTTGGTGCATTCTGGGTCCTAAATAGAAAGAAGATCTATAAATGCTCCTTCAGTGAATAAACAGCCAGCTATTATGCTCCTACCATGTTTCTTTTTCCTTCTTTCAGATTTTGTTTCTTACAAGGCAGTAGGTACAGGCAGGTGCTTAGTCAAGACAAAATCAAATAGGACATTATCTGGGGCAAAAGAGCTACCAACAAAAGGCTGGTAATAAACTGGATGGTTCCTGGTACCAGAGGACAATGCCTGCTCTGGTGCTTTGTCCAGCAGTGCGATACAACATTCAGGTACTCGAGGGTTGAATGTTGATATTATATATTATATGGGCACCTTGTTTCTCTGGCTCCTTCACTTGGTCCTTGTCTTCTAATGTTTCTTTTTGCTGGCTGAGGATAGGTAATGACAAAAAGGGGATAAACTTCATCAGTCAATTTTATTACTCATTAATAGTCCCCAGAATGTTAGGGCAGAAAAATCTTAGAATAATTTGGCCCAAAGTCATCATTTTACAGATGAGGAAGTATAGCTCTAAAAATATGAGTGTCTCCTGTAGGATCTCACCTGATCTGAGCCAGACCCAGAGCCCAAGTCTCTGGACCCCAAAAAGGCACTGAGACCTTCAGGAGCAATGTGAAATTTCCCAGCATAGTTATTTCTGTGCTCCATTGCTATGGCCTGAATATTTGTATCCTCCCAAAATCCATATGTTGAAACCTAATCACCAATGTGATGGTATTAAGTAGTAGGGCCTTTGGCAGGTGATTAGATCATGGAGGCGGAAACCTTCATGAATGGGATTAGTGCCCTTATAAAAGAGGCCCCAGAATTCCAGCATGTGAGGGCACAGCAGGAAAGTGCCCTCTACGAACCAGAAAGTAGGCCCTCACTAGACACCAAATGTGCTGGTGCCTTGACTTGGGACTTCTAGCCTCAGAATTGTAATAGATATCATTTTGTGATGTGTAAGTTATTTTGTTATAGCAGCCTGAAGTGACCAAGACACATACTTAATAAAGTCACATATAGTTCCAACAAAATGTTGCTTGACAAAGATGATCCAAACTTATGGCTAAAATAAAGCATTTGTATATTATTTTAATTTCCTTTCTTAATGCCTTTTTCTGTCACCTAATCATTTTGGGGGAAAGAGAGTTGATTATAATAAACTTCTTACTTTTTCCTGATTTCTTTTCTGATATCTAAGTTCTCAGGATAAATTCCATATGCCCAAACAAACAAAAATCAGCAGCTTTTCCATGCAGGATGAATAACAATTTAGAAGATATAATACAAAAGAGATCCCATTCATAGTGATGCATATGCACAAACTGTATAGTTCATTTTCACACTGCTATAAAGAACTACCTGAGACTGGATAATTTATAAAGAAAGGAGATTTAATTGACTCACAGTTCCACATGGCTGGGGAGGCCTCAGGAAACTTACAATTAAGGTGGAAGGCAAAGGGGAAGCAAGCACCTTCTTCACAAAGCACCAGGAGAGAGAGAGATCCAGGGGGAACTATTAAACACTTTTAAACCATCAGATCTTGTAAGAACTCACTCAGTATCATGAGAACAGCATGGAGGAAACTGCCTCCATAATCCAGGCACCTCCCACCAAGTCCCTTCCCTGACACGTGGGAATTACAATTAGAGATGAGATTTCGGTGGGGACACAGAGCCAAACCATATTACAAACTAAAGTTGATATTTTAAAAATCTAAAAGGCTGGGCACAGTGGCTCACACCTGTAATGCCAGCACTTTGGGAGGCTGCAGTGGGCAGATCACTTGAGCTCAGGAGTTCAAGATCAGCCTGGGAAACATGGTGAAACCCCATCTCTACTAAAAAATACAAAAAATTAGCCAGGTGTGGTGGTGCGTGCCTCTAGTCCCAGCTACTTGGGTTGCTGAGGTAGGAGGATCACTTGAGCCCTGGAGGTTGAGGCTACAGTGAGCTGTGATCATACCACTGCTCTTCAGCCTGGGGTATGTACTGAGGCCCTGTCTCAAAAAAAAGTCTAAAAATATGTAAAAGCTAGATTTTTAAAAAATCCATAAAACCTTATTGACGGTAGTTAAAGAAGAATTTGAAAATATTTAATATTTTGAAGATTATACTTTTTAAAATTAATAAATTTATCACAATTCTCAATAAATTACAAAATATTTTGACAAAGTGATTCTAATATTAACATGGAAGAGTAAACAGATAAGAGCCAAAATACTAAAAAGGATGATTAAGCAGGTAGATAAACATTTTATACCCCATAACTTATTCAATTGAAAGTGTTATTGACTATAAGAGAAACCATTTTTTACATACTATTAAAAATGTTAAATGCTCACAGTTAAGTTGTGATATAATTCTTTTTTTTCTATTGTAAGAGACATTCTGATATCAGAGATCTTAAAATGTTTTTTAAAACCTTAGAATCAATGAAATGTGGTATTAGAATACATTGTAAGTCTGTAAGAATTTGAACAATGTGGTGCTGGTGTAAGAATATAGAGGTATGTCATTATATTGTAAGTAGATCTGTTTGAGACAAAGATATGTGACCTCTTAGAGAATTCAAAGTTGCTGTTTTGAGGGAGCTCAATGAAAGTTAGGATAACACAGAGAAGGAATTCAGAATCCTAGCAGATAAATTTAACAAAGAGATTGAAGTAATTTAAAAGAATCAAGCAGAAATTCTGGAGTTGAGAAATGTAATAGACATACAGAATAATGCACCAGAGTCCTTTAAAAGCAGAATTGATCAAGCAGAGGAAAGAATTAGTGAGCTTGAAGACAGGCTATTTGAAAATACACAGTCAGAGGAAACAAAATTTAAAAATAAAAAAAAAGCATGAAGCACACACATAGAGATCTAGAAAATAGCCTCAGAAGGGTGAATCTAAGAGTTATTTGCCTTTAAGAGACAAATAGGGATAGAAAGTTTATTCAAAGGGATAATAATAGAACTTCCAAAACCTAGAGGAAGATATCAATATCCAAATACAAGAAGGTTACAGAACACCAAGCATATTTTACCCAAAGAAGACCACCTCAAGGTATTTAATAATAAAACTCCCAAAGGAGTTTCAATACCTCTGGTAGCATACTTCTCAGTGGAAACTTACAAGTCAGGAGAGAGTGACATGACATATTTAAAGTGCCAAACGAAAAAACATTTCCATTTTCCTAGAATAGTATATCCAAAGAAAATATCTTTCAAACATGGAGGAGAAATAAAGCCTTTCTCAGATAAGCCAAAGCTGAGGGACTTCATCAACATCAGACCTGTCCTACAAGAAATGCTAAAGAAAGTTCTTTGGTCTAAAAGAAAAATATGTTAATGAGCAACAAGAGGTCATCTGAAGGTAAAAAAACTCATTGGTAATAGTAAGTACACAGAAAAAAAACACAGAATATTATAACACTGTAATTTTGGTGTGTGTAAACTACTCTTATCTTGAGCAGAAAGACTAAAAGATGAACCTAACAAAAATAATAACTTTGACAGCTTTTCAAGACATAGACGGTATAATAAGATACAACAAAAAGCAAAAAGCAGGGGGAAGAAGTTAAAGAGTAGAGTTTTTATTTGTTTCCTTTTTGCTTGCTTGTTTGTTTATACAATCAGTATTAAGTTGTCATCAGTTAAAATAGTAGATTATATTATTTGCAAGTCTCATGATAACTGCAAATGAAAAAACATACAAGAGATACATAAAAAATAAAAAGCAAGAAATTATAACATACCAACAGAGAAAATCACTTTCACTAATAGGAGGATAGGAAGGAAGGAGAGAAGGAAGAGAAGACCATAAAACAACCAGCAAACAAATAACAAAATGGTAGGAATAAGTCCTTACTTTTCAATAATAACATTGAATGTAAATAAATTAAACCCTCCAGTCAAAAGACAGAGTGGCTGAAAGGATAACAAATAAGACCTAAAGATGTGCTGCCTACAAGAAACACGTTTCACCTATAAAGACACACACAGACTTAGCATAAAGGGATGAAAAAAGATCTTCCATGCCAATGGAAACCAAAAAGGAGCAAGAGTAGCTATACTTATACTAGACAAAATAGATTTCAAGACAAAAACTATAAAAAGAGACAAAGAAGGTTATTACATAATGATCAAGGGGTCAATTCAGCAAAAAGATATAATACTTTTAAATATATATGCACCTAACACTGGAGCACCCAAATATATAAAGCAAATATTATTAGATCTAAAGAGAAAGACAGACGCCAATACAATAATAGTTGGAGACTTCAACACTCCACTTTCAGCATTGGACTGATCATCCAGACAGAAAGTCAAGAAATATCAGACTTAATTTGCACTATAGACCAAATGGACCTAATAGATATTTACAGAATATTTCAACCAATGGCTCCAGAATACACATTCTTTCTCTCAGCCCATGAATCATTCTCAAGGATAGACTGTATGTTAGATCACAAAACAAGTCTTAAAATATTGAAAAAAATTAAATAATATTAAGCATCTTCTCTCATCACAATGGAATAAAACCAGAAATCAATAACAAGAGGAATTTTGGAAACTATACAAATACATGGAATTTAAACAATATGCTCCTGAATGACCAGTGAGTCAATGAAGAAATTAAGAAAGAAATTGAAAAATTTCTGGAAACAAAATGTACCAAAACCTATGGGATACAGTGAAAGCAGTACCAAGAGGAAAGTTTACAGCAATAAGCACCTACATCAAAAAAGTAAATTAACTTCAAATAAACAATCTAATGATGCATCTTAAATAATTAGAAAAGCAAGAGCAAATCAATCCCAAAATTAGTAGGAGAAAAGAAATAATACAAGTCAGAGCAGAAATAAATGAAACTGAAATGAAAAAAAAAAAACTAAAAAAAATCAACAAAACAAAAAGTTGGTTTTTTGAAAATATAAACAAAATAGACACACCTTTAGCCAGACTAAGAAAAAAAGAGAGCAGACTCAAATAAATAAAACTGGAGATGGAAAAGGAGACATTAAAACTGATACCACAGAAATTCAAAGTATCATTAAAGATTACTATGATCAATTATATGTCAACAAATTGGAAAACCTAGAAGAAATAGAAAAATCCCTAGACATATGCACCTATCAACATTGAACCACGAAGAAATCCAAAACCTGAACAGACTAATAACAAGTAATAAAATTGAAGACATAATAAAAAGTCTCCCAGCAAAGAAAAGCCTGGGACCTGATGACTTCACTGATGAATTTTACCAAACTTTGAAAGAAGAACTAGTACCAATCCTACTCAAACTATTCCAAAAAATACAGTAGAAGAGGAGGGAACACTCCCAAACTCATTCTATGAGGCCAGTGTTAACCTGAAACCAAAACCAAAGACAAACCAAAAAAGGAAAACTACAGGGCAATATCCCTGATGAACACTGATGCAGAAATTCTCACCAAAATACTAGCAAACTGCATTCGACCACACATTAAAAAGGTGATTCATCATAACCAAATGGGATTTAATGCTATGATGATTCAACATCCGCAAATGAATCAGTGTGACACATCCCATCAACTGGATAAAAGACAAAAACCCTATGATCATTTCAACTGATGCTGAAAACACATTTGATAAAATTCAAAATCACTTCATGATAAAAACTCTAAAAAAACTGGATATAGAAGGAACATCACATCAAATTAAAAAGCTTCTGCACAGCAAACGATCAACAAAGTGAGGAAACAGCCCATAGAATGGGAGAAAATATCTACAAACTACTCATCTGACAAAGGATTAATAACCAGAATACACAAGGAGCTCAAACAACTCTATGGGAAAAAATCTAATAATCCCATCAAAAAGTGGGCAAAAGACTTGAATAGACATACAAGTCTTCTTTCTCAAAAGAAGACATACAAATGGTAAACAGGTATATGAAAGGGTGCTGAACCCTCATTGATCATCAGAGGACTGCAAATCAAAACTACAATGAAATATTACCTCATCCCAGTTAAAATGACTTATATCCAAAAGACAGGCAATAATGAATGTTGGTAAGGATGTGGAGAAAAAAGGACTGACATGGTTTGGCTGTGTCCCCACCCAAATCTCATCTTGAATTGTAACTCTCACAATTCCCATGTGTCATGGGAAGAACCCAGAGGGAGGTAATGGAATCATGGGGGCAGGTCTTTCTCATGCTGTTCTCGTGATGGTGAATAAGACTCATGAGATCTGATGGTTTCAAAAGAAGTTTCCCTTCACAAGCTCTCTCTTTGCCTGCTGCCATTCATGTAAGACATGACTTACTCCTTCTTGCTTCCCGCCATGATTGTGAGGCCTCCCCAGCCATGTGAAACTGTAAGTCCATTAAATCTCTTTCTTTTATAAATTGCCCAGTCTTGGGTATGTCTTTATCAGCAGCATGAAAACAGACTAATACAAGGACTCTCTCATACACTGTTGGTGGGAATGTAAATTAGCATACCCACTATGGAGAACAGTCTGCGGTTCCTCAAAAAACTAAAAATAGAGCTACCATATGATCCAGCAATCCTATTGCTGGGTATATACCCAAAAGAAAGTAAATCAGTATATCAAATAGATATCTGCACTCTCATGTTTGTTGCAGCATTGTTGACAATAGCCAAGATTTGGAAGCAATCTAAGTGTCCATCAACAGATGAATAGATTTTTTAAAATGTGGTACATATATATACAATGGAATACTGTTCAGCCATAAAAAAGAATGAGAACATGTCACTTGCAACAATATGGATGGAACTGGAGGACATTATGTTAAGTGAAATAAGCCAGGCACACAAAGATAAACTTCTCGTGTTCTCACTTATTTGTGGAAGCTAAAAATTAACAAAAATTAATTAATTAATAAAAATTGAACTCATGGAGTTAGAGGGTAGAATGATGGTTACTAGAGGCTGAAAAGGGTGGGGGAAGTGGGGATGGTTAATGGGTATAAAAATATAGTTAGATAGAAATGAATAAAATATAGTATTTGATAGTACAACAGGGTGACTACAGCCAATGACAATTTATTGTACATTAAAAAGTAACCAAAAGAGTATAAATGGATTGTTTGTAACACAAAGAAAGGATGAATGCTTGAGGTGATGGATACCCCATTTATCCTGATGTGATTATTATACATTGTATGCCTGTATCAAAATATCTCATGTACCCTACAAATATATACATGCACTATGCACCCACAAAAACTAAAAATTAAATAAATAAATAGACCCATTTTTATAGAAATATTGAGCACACAATAAAGGTAATCTTTCAAATCAGTGGAGAAAGGATGCCTAATTAATAAATGGTGTATGAGCAGGTAACCATTTGAAAAAACAAAATTTTGAAACTTTTTCTTTTCATAAAAAGAAATAAATTCTAGGTGGATTAAATACAAAGTAAAAAAAAATAGTAGAAATGCTCGAAGTAAATTTATGTAAATCTTTGAATAGTCTAAGAATGGAAAATACCTTCATAAATATTACATCAAAGGTTGAAACAATAAATGAAAATATTAATAATTTTACTTCCTAAAAATATAAACATCAGTATGTTTTTTAAAATGCCATAATTAAAATTATAAGTGGAACTATAAACATGGAAAAATATCTATAATAAATCACTAACAAATTCAATAAGTAAAAGATAAATGTGTAATAATAATAAAAAAGAGATCATTAATAGGTATCTTTTTTTTTTTTTTGAGGCAGGATCTCACTGTTGCCCAGGCTGGAGTGCAATGGTGCGATCTCAGCTCACTGCAACCTCAGCCTCCTGGGCTCAAGCGAGCCTCCCACCTCAGCCTCCTGAGTAGCTGCGACTACAGTTGTGTGCCACCATGCCCGGCTAATGTTTGTATTTTTAGTAGAGACTGGGTTTCTCCATGTTGACCAGGCCAGTCTCAAATTCCTGGGCTCAAGTGATCCACCTGCCTTGGCTTCCCAAAGTGCTGGAATTACAGGGTTGTGCCACTGCCCCCAGCCCAATAAGTACCATATTTCATTGATTCAAGGATGCATATGTTCTATATTTTAACATCTCTAAAATCAGCAAACCTCTTCTAAATTAAATAAAAAAAGAAGTATTTCTGTAATACTTTAGTCGCAGAGGGTTTGTTTCTTTAAAATTTCTTGGTGGTACACAAAATAATGGTCTGTTTTATAACCAATGGTGTCTTAGAATCAATGAAATGCCATAATTTACAAAAGAATAAATGCACATGGCCAATAAACACATACAAATATATCAAACCAATATGCAATTCAATTTACAAGGAACTACAAATTGAAATTAAATACTTTCTTCTGGCCTACCATATCAAGAAATACGATTGAGAAAAACAATACAAGAAATATTTTGTTGGCTACAATCCCAGAAAATGGCTCGTTTTATACTGCTAATGAGAAAGCAGATTGGTACAAACTTTTTGGAGTAAAAAAAGTTGGCAAAATGTATCAAAAGTCTTAATCCAGAATCCTCCTCACCCAGAAATACCTCGTCTAAGAAATTAATATTTCTTTTATTTTCTGGCTACGCAGTGTCCTTTCTCCTTTCTTTTTTTGTTTTGTTTTGTTAGTATTTCAGATTATGAAGCCATCCTTTCTATATGACTATTTCCCATGATTTGCGTTGGACTGATACCTCTCCAGCTCCAGGGCTAAGCCATTCAGTACTTTCCACTCCTCCAGCCATAGTAGTTGATTCAAGGATGGGCTCATGACCCAGTATGGCCCAGGACTTTCATCCAGTTCTAAGAAAGAGAAACTGTCCCTTCTTTTAGCTAGAATCAAATCCAGGAGGACTTGGCTTGGAGCCATTTTGCTACCATGTAAAGCCTGAGGATAAATCCAGTATGAAAAAGGGTAAGGCTGAGAAATAAAAAGGCACTGAGTCCTGCAAGAAATGTTTCAGTACCTGGATCAAACAGCACCAGTCCTGGACTTTGCACTTAAGTGAGCCAATACTTTTATTTACTTTTAAAGTATCTATCTGTATTTGTCAGTTTGGCCTGCTAAAACAAAATACCATGAACTGGGTAACTTATAAATAAATTTAAAAAAATTATTTCTGAGAGTTCTGGAGGCTAGGAAGCCCAAGATCAAGACTCTGGCAGATTTGGTATCCGGCGAGTGCCCACTTTCTGGTTCATAGATGGAGACTTCTTGCAGTGTCCTCACAGGGTGGAAGGGGCAAGGCAACTCTCTGAGGTCTCTGTTGTAAGGGCACTAATCTCATTCATACAGGTTTTACCATTATGACCTAATCACCCACCAAAAGGCTCCACCTCCCAATACCATCACCACTGGGATTAAGATTTCAGCATATGAATTTTGAAGGGGAAATTGGTCTGAATACTCAGACCATAGCACTATTTATTTACTTATTTATTTTGCTTGAGCCACTTTTGAGTTGGATTTTCTGTCACTTGTCAAAATGGTGTCCTAATAGACATATATGCTAAGAATACAGTTAAGAATGTGAACAAAGATTGTGATCTAAGTAGAGACATTGCAGGATTATTTATCATAGTAAAAAACTGGAAACAACAGAAACACCCAACAGCAGAAGATGACTTAATGTCTAACACATTCATAGAGGCACTATGTACCAGGCACTATTGTACAGACTTTACATATTTACTAACTCATCTAATCCTCCCAAAAACTCCATGACACAGGTACTAGTATTATCTCTATTTTGTTGGCTAGGAAACTGAGGCATAAGGAGGTCAACTAATTTGCCCACAATCATCCAGCTAATAAGTGGAAGAGGTGAATTTGAATTCAGGTAGTCTTACTCCAGCAACTGTGCTTTTAACCATTAAGTTTTGCTAGTTCTTTAATCAATTATGGTATATCCACACAATGAAATACGTATCAAACTTTAAAAAATATAGTTAACTGGTATCAAATATATTCACAATATATTGTAAATTTTAAAAAATCAAGTTATCAAATAACATGTAAACTTCTCATTTCTGATCAGGAGATTGGCAGTCATCACTCTCTCCTAACAAGTAAAAACCCAAACAAAATGAAAAATCAACAACTGTTCTTAGATCTGTCAGAGAAGTGGGGTCACAGACATACCCCTGTCCCCAAAACTGAAGAGACAGACACACATATTCAGAGAATCGAGAATCACAATTTACCAGAGCAGAAACTCCTGAATAGAAATCTCCATGGAAACCAGTGAGGAGGTAAGAAAACCTGAAGTGTAATTGATGAATTACTGCAGGATCCCTGTGGGCAAATCCATGAGTTAAAAACTCCAGGGGGACTCATTCATAGAGGAGCTCCACACTTTTGTGAACTTTACCTCCAGAAGCTCAACCAGGTTCTCACAGTGAATATCAGAGAAAAACTCCCTAGAGCTTCATGTCTGGCAGGGAGAAGGGGAAAAGGAACCATTTTTAAATACACCAGAGCATTCTGTTCTTAGCAAGGCCTAACCTCAAGAGAAAATATTTTACCAAGCCTAAACTATTGAGTTTTTTTCCAGAGTCTAACCAACTCCAGCCCTTTGTAGCTCTTCTGTCCCACCTAAGTGGGTGCAAGGAGGTGGGGGGAAACTGATGAAGTACTGTGAAGTCCACAGGCCAAGGCACAAGCTCACTAAAGGGCTGAGACCTAATTATAGGGCCCAAGAATGCTTCCCCTCCCAGACAGCTTAACACCACATGACTAAAGGCCTATTAACAACAGTTGCTTTACAGCAAATCTTTAAAATAACTGTGATTAATATGGAAAGTGCTCTAATGGATAAAGTAGATAGCATGTGAGAACAGATGGGCAGTATAAACAGAAAGATGAAATGCTAAAAAAGCAGCAAAAAGAGCATATTTAAATACAATATTATATATGCATATGTGACCATTTTTTGTTTTCACTTATATTAGTCCATTCTTGCAGTGCTATAAAGGAATGCCTGAAACTGGGTAATTTATAAAGAAAAAAGGTTTAATCGGCTCAGGGCTCCCCAGGCTGTACAGGAAGCATGGCTTGGGAGGCCTCAGGAAACTCACAGTCATGGCAGAAGGGGAAACAGGCACATCTTACATGGCCAGAACAGGAGGAAGAGAGAGAAGGTGGAGGTGCTACATACTTTTAAAGAATCAGATCTCATGAGAACTCACTCTATCACAGAAATAGCAAGGGGGAAGTCCACCCCATAATTCATTCTCCTCCTACCAGGCCCCTCCGGCAACATTGGGGATGACAATTCAACATGAGATTTGGGAGGAGACACAGATCCAAACCATATCATCACTTATCTGCATTTCTTTTTTCTTCAGAAAACATGTGTCTCTTATATAATAAAAACATAATAGTAATAGTAAGAAATTATTCCTCTTTTTTGAAGCTTGGGTTGTTGCTAATTAAGGCTATAATTATCTTGGATAAAATAGGTCAAAAAACGTTGACTGTCAGCAATTTCACATGGCTCAGTGTAATAGCTAACCATCTTTGGCAATTGGAGACAAAGGCTAAAAGTTCAGCTAATTTCATTAGGAGACAGTTTCCTCATCCTTCAGCCTTTATTGCCTTTCTACTCCCTCACTTTATCTCCTGTTTCTAAAGGGTAATTTAAAACAACTTCACTTTCACAAAACTCCTGTTTAAAAGTGTTGTACTGATTATTTGTGTGCTTTATGTTCCCATCCCAACATGCCCTGTTGTTAAGATTTAGGCTGCACATTTCCCACTGTATTGTCCCTCATAAATCTACAGTTCCAGGAGTTACACACACGCACACACACACACAGCTAAAACTAAATTACCACTCTAAAAATTATAACACGAGTATGACACAAAGATTATTCCAATACAGCCAAATAGAGCAATAAAATAAAGTAATAAGAAGTAATAATGTATCTGTAAACACTTAATAGCTGTGTCCTCAAACCCCATACTAGGTATGAAAATAAAATTTCATGAGACTCCTACAAATTCATCAGAAGAAAGAGCTCCCAGTGAAACAAAGCAATGCTCATGGTTGCCAATGGCAGATAAAAGCAGAAGAGAATGAGGAGGAAAGAGAAGAGTTATATCTTGAAACGGCGACTAGCATAGCCATTAGGAATGCTGCTATTAACACAATACCCAAATAACATCAGCAGAAACAAATTGTTATATGTAAATGCTTGTTCCCTGGTGCTGCAAAGAAATAGCACTTGAACATAAATTTAATTCTCTCAGCAAGACAATCTTTATTTCCTGCAGAAAGGGTGCTCATCACAGATGAAATAATGGTGAGAGCACCCTTTCTGCAGAAATAAAGATTGCCTTGCTGAAAGAATTAAATTTATGTTTAAGTGCTAGTTATTTGTGGCACCAGGGAACAAGCATTTATGTATAACAAAAATACAGGTAAGTATTTTCTTCATGTGACAATAAATTGAGATTGGTGATTGCTAGCACTGGCACAGAGGCAGAACAATAACATCAATGAAATCTTTTTTATCCTTTCACTTAGCCATGCTTAGTCTACTGGTTTTCTGTCTTTACACACTTGTCACATCATGGATACAACATGTTAGGTGTAGTTTCTCACAATTACAAAATGTCTGGCGCATAGTAGGTTCTCACAAATGTTAGTGCCTTTCTCTGCCCATTTCCAGTCCTTAGCGCAAGGCATGAAAGAGCAGGAAAAGATCCACTTCCTCATTGCTCACCCAACAGGTATGCTTCTTCAAAAGAAGGATTTTACCAATTTACCAGCTCTCAAAAGAGAGTGCTCCTATTGAGCATACATCCTGCCAGGCCCCCTTCAGAGACAGAAGACTTTTTGTGACTTTGTGTCACATATTGATCTGGCCATCAGCTGTGGCTAAGATAGGAGGGCTGGGTCTACCACGAGAGCACTGCCTGAGCCACAGAAGTTTTTATAAAGAGGACAGCCAAGCCATCTGGGCTTCTGTCCCTGCAAGGCAGCTGTGGATGGATAAGCACCTGACATCTGAGGCCTCAGAGGTTCCTCCTGCAGATCCTTCCCAGTGGAACAAGATGCATTCATGAGCAAGCATTCACAAGAGGGATGAGGAAGAAAGGAATGATGATCTACAGGAAGCCTCTAGCACTGCTAAATCACATGTGAGGTTATCTTCCATTCATTTGACAGGTATTTTTTTGAACACTTACCATGTGTCAGGCACTTTTCTAAGTGCTAGGGATATAGCAGTGGATTTAACAGACAAAAGTCCTTGTTCTCAGTTTGCAACACGCACACAGACACAGACACACACACACACACACACACACACACACACAGAGCGATCTTTTCTCTGTCGTCCTCTACCCTGTTCTATACTCCAGGAGGCTGTCCATTGTAGACTTTTACCACCCAGCCTCCCTTGCCTTCCAGCTTTTGGTGGCATTCAGCCAATAGAAAGTACAACAGGAGATTGGAAGATGAGAGGTGAGAGATATCAGGGTATTTCTTCCCCTTACTCCCAGGGGTTTGGGCCATGGATTCTGGTCATGGCTGCATCCCTCTAGACCACAAGATCCTATCAGGTAAACCCTCCTCTGTGGCCCAAGCTCTCCATGGGATCTGTAACACGTCTCTCTTCTTGCTTCTACAGTACCAATTGTGGTAAAATCTCCCTACTGCTGCTAATCTATGCTCCTTTAACGTTCCTTGTTGG
Organism: Homo sapiens; assembly: GCF_000001405.40. Classification (NCBI taxonomy): domain Eukaryota; kingdom Metazoa; phylum Chordata; class Mammalia; order Primates; family Hominidae; genus Homo; species Homo sapiens. Next base: position 67,962,094 of record NC_000001.11, on the reverse strand, counting down.
TTAACTCTGCTCATTCTGTAAATACTCCTTTACTTAGTCTCTTGAACCACTTTAAAAATATTTCATTATTTATAAAATATAATAAGTGTAGTAGTGAGTAACAATATAAACTTACATGTTGAAAGCAATAATATTTCTGGTTTTGTAACTTTATACGATAAATAATATTAATGTAACATCTTGATCAATCATAAAATTTTTGTTTAGCTCACTTTTTTACAAATTAATTTATTAGGTCATCAAGTTTTATACTTTTAGCCACTTCATTTCAATACATATAATTAAAGAGACATAAATCATTCTTGATAAATACAAGATTGCAAATAATTTTTAGTATTTTTTTTAATTTTGAGAAGGATCTTTCTGCTAATGCAGCTATTCCTGGAGCTGTTAAAAGGATTTTATAGGTGGTGACACCATGGAGATAAATTACAGACAAATTGTTTTTAAATATAAATTTTATTTTCTCTAGAGCTGATGATTCTTATGGAACAATTTTTTAAAAAGGTTTAACTCTTCATACAAATGAGTTTCATGTAAGTCTATACATTTAATTTTAAATGCTAATTTACATAATCGTATTTAAATGTTTCTTCTGGCTTTTTAACTTATGGAGGTTGTATAAGAAACGGAAAGTGGCTCCATGATTTGTATATAATTCAAAATGCATGCTTATACATTCTATCACTGTATCTTCAATTATAAGAAAAAAATCATTTTAAAATTGTCTTCCTTATTGATAATGGGTTCGTCTGAAGATTCACGTGAAAACAGTGTTTTCTGTTGAATGCAATAATCTTCCACTTTAGTTTCTATTTCTAAGCTAGTGAATAGTAAAGCAATGTTATAGTAGTTTTCAAAATCAAGGATTTCAGACTCTGAAGAATTATATCTCCCTGATATGCTTTCTTGCAATGTCAATTTATGGACTTTTATCTTGTTATTATTTGCCCACAAAGTTTACTGGCTGAGCACCAGCAATTTCTGTCCCAGCACTTTGGCCAAGAATTCGTAAAACCTTGGAAGCAGGCTCCAGGGATGGATGGATAGGCAAGCCAACCTCCCATCAGGGGTTCAGGAAGTTTCCTCCATGCAGAGCCACTCTCACTTCTACAGCCATGCCTATTGCTGCTTCTGCTGCTGGCCTTGCATCACCACTGCCAATCCAAGCCTGGACACTGTCTCAGGGCTCCACAGCACAGCAGCTGCCTCATGGTGTGTGCAGGCATATCAGTTGGCCAGGCTGCCCATGCATATAGGCATTGCTGCTCGACCACACTGCATATGTGTGCCATTCTCTAGTGCACTGCCTCTGCTCATGCTCTCTGTGCACACTCCATTGCTACATTGGGCTTCACTTACTACACACAAGTTAAAAGACAAAATTATTAAGAATCTCAAGACAGCAATAGCAGAGGATGAATCCAAGCACAGGTCCTTCAGAGCATGGGGCCCTGGTCAACTGCACAGATCACACACCCATGAAGCCAGCCCTGACCTGACATGTACACTTCATGAAGTGTATATGCCAGTGGAAGACACGGCAACATGAACAGATAAACAAGAAAAGGTATCTTAAAATGCCTGGGAGTGAGCATGAAGTATTACAAAAAAACAAAGCGGGACAAGGAGACAGAGTGTCAGGTGATGGGGTGTATCTACTCTAGTGTCGGGATGGGTGGTCAAGTGAGGCCTTTCTAGTGAGCTGACATTTGAGGAAAGATGTAAGTGAATAGAGAGAGTACATCTTGGTAATGACCAGGAGCAGAGCATCCCCAGCAGAGGGAAGAGCAGGTGCCCAATTTCTGGTATGGGAACCTGCTTAGGGAGTTTGAGTAAAAGCAAGAGGGACAGAGTGTCCAGAAGGGCAGGGAGCAAGGACAAGAGTGGCAGGAAACAAGGTTGGGAGAGGCCCATGGGCCCTAGCTGGACCCTGTATTTTGTTGTCAATGTGTGGGAAGTCGTAGGAAGAAGGATGGCTGAGGAGCAGCAGGATCAGGAGGGGAGTGGAGAGTAGGATGCACAGAGCTCCTCCCGAAGCCTCCTTATACCACTCTCCTCCTCTCTCACTACCTCATTCATTGCCTCATTCGTTAGTCTCCCCCAGTCCTCCAAAAACATCTTTCATGCATAGAGCCCTCACTGATGCTGTTCTTTCTGCCAGACGTTCTGCTGACCACTTTTCTCATGGTGAGCCCCTCCTACTCTTCCCAGCTCAGCTTAAACTTCACCCCAGGAGCTGGCACCCTATCCCATGGGCCTCCCCCACAATCCTGCTGCGGCTCTTTTGAAATTTCCTTCATAGGAAACTTGACCACGGTTTACATCCACACTCTCTGCTTACTTTCTTGACTATAATTGACAACTTTTATCTGTTTATCTGTTTACTTATTTCTGGACTATCTCCTGAACCAAAATGTAAAATCCAAGGGCAGGGACTATGTCTTCCTGTTTGCCACTGCTAAAGCACAGCCTTCTCACAGCATCTGTGACATAGGAGGTGAGAATAACCATCCGCCCAATGAATGAACCTCTCTTCTGTACTTACCATCACAATATGTATTCTGTGGCTTAGCAATTCTGCCACTGCACCTGAAATTATAGAATTTCATTCCCGTGCTTGCCATCAATTAAACGTGTAATTGTTTTAACCCTTAGTGGCATCCTTATCTCCACCAAGGGAACGCTCCCTTGTTATACACAAGCACACACACACACACACACACACACACACACTTTTCAGTTAATCCATCTGTTGTTTCTCTGTTGTGCTTCCAAAGCACTTTGTCCTTACTGCTGTCACAGGACCCACCACCTTGCATTATACTGCATTATAATTATTTTGTTAGACATCTGTCTCCCCTTGATGCTATAAGCCCCTTGAGGGCAGAGAACTAATCCAGCTCACCTGGGTAATCCCAGCTTCTAGCACTGCCCTAACACATGGAGGTGACTCATATATCTTTGGGGAATAAGTAGATGCATTTTAGAAACTTTTTAAATATTGGCTACTTCTATGATCAGATGCAACATTACTGAAGCCCTGCAGTTAAATGAGCATGGTGTTATTTGCATAGTTTAATAATTTTTAAATGAAATTTTAAATGCAATAGTATATACCCTCATGCTTTTAGGGTCCCTTTACAACTTGATATCCCCTCCTATCCCCAATTGTGAAAGAGCACGGTATATTTGCAAAGCCTTGGGCCCAAAACGATAAAATGCTGATCCACAAAGACACCACATTGGCTTTCAGCTGTTGTTATTAACCAACATGTATCGCTTGAAAGAAACAGACTTAGAGTGGGATGGAACAAGGCTCCACTAGATGTCAGCTCTGAAACTAGACAGCTCTGTAATTTTTCCATTACAGGTGCACATGAAAGGCCAATCTCCAATTGGCTAGGTAATCATTATCCTAGGCTGGCAGCCAAAACTGACTGCTGACTCTGCCCTGGCCTGACAGATGGAGCAGGCACAGGGTAGGTTATTAAATTCACTAGGGGCCAGGTGTGGTGGCTCATACCTGTAACACCAGCACTTTGGGAGGCCAAGCTGGGAGGATCACTTGAGCCCAGGAGTTCAAGACAAGCCTGGGCAACACAGGGAAACCCAGTCTCTACTAAAAGAAAAAAAAAAAGCCAGACGTGGTTGGAGGGGCCTATTGTCCTAGCTACTCAGGTGGCTGAAGTGGGAGAATTTATTGAGCCCAGAAGGTCAAGGCTGCAGTGAGCCACGATCATGCCACTGCACTCCAGCCTGGGTGACAGAGTGAGACCCTGTCTCAAAAAAAAAAAAAATTATTAGAGATCAGAGCTGCTCCTCAGAGTGTGGTTAGCTCTGAGCAGGGGTTGCAGTGCACATTGACTCCTTACTGTCTGATTCTCCTGTTGCACTCATTACACTTGGTGATCCTCTGACACAACCCTCTCCCCAGTTTCCTCTCTTTGGCTCCCACTTAAACAATCACATACTGTCTTGGTTTTACAACAAATATTTTCCATGTGAAATTAAAAACTTGGAATCACAGACACAGGAATTATGAAACGAGAGGGAACCTGAAAGATTATCTAGTTCTTCTCCCTCATTGGACAGAGAGAAGGATAAAATGGTTGCAGGCCCATTAGTGGTACCTCTAGAATAGCCCAGCATTTCTGACTCTCAGCCTGTCCAGCCTGGAGGGAATGCCCCAGAGTAGGACTGTCCTGCTGAAAATTCCTTTTCCAGTTCTCAGCAGTGATTATAGGCTGAGTCTGACCAGGTCCTGGTTTTCCTGTTTGTTCCGTTTTCTCATTTAACACCTCAGAGCCTAGCATGAAGACAATATCCTTTCAACCAACCCCACCACAGAAGCGCTAACAACATTCTGCTATTCCACATTATGAGCCAAACATTTCAATTTGTAGGTTCCTCCCAGGTGAAAAATGGATGTGCCACCAGAGAAACTTGTGATGGAAGCATTTTTCCTATACCACCCAGAGAGGACAAGACCAGTGTTCTGTAAATCCCAGAGGAAACTAGGCTCTTACAAGCCCTGAAAGGCCAAGCCAAACCTTTTTCATTGTTCCAAGACATGTGAAAGGAGTTTGATGTACAACCACTCAGGACAAAAATAAGCTTTCTACTCAAATGAAATCCATTTTATGAGATCCCCAGAGCGCTTCTTTTGGCTGGTAGCCTGGGTGCCGAGCTTCAAAAACCTGTGCACCTGGGCACAGTATGCAGGACCCAAATCCAGAGGCCCACTCCTAACCCCAGAGGAAACAGCCCATGCATAACCATGAGCCCCAGCTCAGTCTCCACTCACAGAGTGAAATAAGGAAGAATCCGCTGGGGAAGCTCCCATAAGAACAGATGCCAGAAACCCATTCCAGGAGTCTGTTTTCCATCAAGCAGGGAAGACTAAACATGCTTATCAGCTTACATGCAAAATGATTGCCTACTGCTTAAGAATCAGCTCAAATTCCACCTCCTCTTGATACGTTCCCTAAAGCCCTAAAACAGTATGCATGCCCGCATCCTCTGAGTGCCCCTCTCTGACTCTTTTAAAAACATGAGTCTATATGGCTCTGCAGATCTTTTTCATGTCTTTTATGACATAATATGAGTTAGTGAGTAACCCTGCTCAGATCCAAATTTTCTCTGTCACACCTAAATGATTTGATTTATATATCAGCATGCATATAGCAACAAATATAAGTTTTACTCCTCACTATGCCCCTTCTTTATGCAAGTTATTTAAGCTAATGGGGGTCCAGTTTACTGATCTGTACAATGGGACCACAAGGCCTAATTCACTGGGCTGTCTTGAGGTCTAAGTGAAATAATGTATATAAAGCAATTTGCATGATATTTATACCCAATAAATGTTTCTTCCTCATCACAGTCCCTCTACACAGGCATGTACTCTCCCTACACAGAAAATCTTGCAGCCAGAAGCATTTCCAAATTCAGAATTTTAATATTCATAGCAGCCCTATTGGTTCTGGGGCAGCATGCTATAAATTTAACATATTACTATTTTTGAGGGATATGTCTGAATACCCGGCTTGTATGAAGTCTATAAAAGGTTTCAAATCAGTCTGGCCAGATTTACTGTCAAACAAGAGTTGTAAACTTCTGAATCAACTTTCCATTTTCAGAGTCCCTTGGATTTTGGAAATGTGGCCAAGGGATTGTGGAGCTGTGTTATGATGATTTATAAAGGTATTGGGCCCCCACTAGTTTTGAAGGGCAGGTTTAGCATTTGCTTTCCTTAGTGCCTGACTCATGTTAGGAATTCAACAACCCTTTTTCAATGACTGAGTAAATGAAGGAAAGAATGTACATTACCTAAGAAACATGAGAGTGCTCCTGTTCCTTCATCTCTCACAAGTGGAATTAGTCCTTTTGTTCTTTCTCCATATTTCATCTCCTGCATGTATTCATTTGGCCAGATACTGGGGGATGGGGAAAATACAACATCAGAGTAGACCTATGTTAAGGGCAAGAGTGCCTCTGGCTTGTTCCTCCTTGTGATTGTAAAAATTATTTCCTGGGAAAGAAATATGATTGTATATTATCTTCTAAAAGTTTTGACTTGAATGATTGCTCTGGAACTGGAAAAGAAAGCAGCAACTTTTACTCATGGTATAAATGCTCTTACAGACATAGGTTAAAATTTAAAATTGCCTTGTAGCCAAAGAGCTGAAATGTTTGTGGTTCAGGTTTACCCTAGTGACTGAATATTATTCTCTCACATTTGATGTCAACTAAGCAAGAGCTGTGATAAGAACAGCACTTTGTGATTGTGTAACACAGCATTGAGTACCTTTAAGTGCTGGGCAGGTGTAGAACAAGTCAGAGAAATTGAAGAGTTGAGACAGTGTTAGAATGATCCATGGGGAGGCCGAATGAGAAGGAATCCTGAGCACAAGATGAGGGACGGATTTACCTTACTTGGGAAGAAAGATACCTTTTTCACTAATTTGGGAATGAAAGAAGCTATGGATGGGAATATAGATTGGTTTATAGGTAGGGAGTGTTCAGAGGATGAAGCAGTATCAACTCAGTGCTTGTATTTTCGTGATGAAATAAAGTACAGCATTATCTACAGACTGTGTGGAGGCACGAGGATGGAGTGGGGGACTTGAGCAGAGTGAATTTGGGGAAGGCAGTGTGGAAAGTGTGACAGAACATGCTCTTGAGAAATAGAAGAATGATCTGCTATGGAGAGTTCCATGGACAGGTGTGCTCATGACTTCATAATTATAACAGTGGCCAAAGCTCTGTGGACTTCTCCAGCAATGTTCAGCACCTTGGTATGAGAGCAGGAAAATTACTGGTTCAAGTTGGGGGGAGGGAGGGTTTCCTTGTGAATACAATGGGAATATTCACAAGGAAAATGTTAAAATACACAGGAAAATATTAAAGTGATTGACCATGCACTCTGATCTTAGGATTGAAGGATATGAAGTCATGGAAAGAGATGTGATCTTTCTCTCTAGATCTGTTCTTCCAAAAGGTGGATTCATGTAGTGGTTAAGAATATAGACTCTGGAATTTGACTTTATGCATTCAAAACCCACTTACTACTGGCTGGTGATCCTGAGCAAGTTACTTGACCTGTCTGTGCCTCTTTATTCTCATTTATAAAAAGGGGATGTTAATAGCACTTATCTTGCTGGGTTGTTATAAGGATTAAATGGGTTAGTATACTTAGACCAGAATTTACATAAAATAAGATCCATTTTAAGTATTATCTATTATTCCTCTGGAAGTCTCCATTTCAGTAACTCTATCTCCATTTACGTAGAAGGTCATTATAGCAACTCGGCAGTCATCCTTGACACCATCCTCACTTCCCACACATAATTCCTCTCAATATCAGATCACTTTTATCTCCAAAATTGATGTAAGATCTCACTACTTTTCTATTTCCATTGCCTCTATGTTAGTCTAAAGCACCATCATCTCTCCCCTAGACCGTGGCCATTTTCTCCTAACTCATCTTCTGGCTTTTTCGCTTGCAACTCTAACATCAATTTTCCACACCATAATTGGGCAGTGTTTCTCAACCTCACTACTGGCATTTGGAGTCAGATAATTCTTTGGGGTTGGGAGGGTATCCATGCATCTTAGTGTGTTGAACAACATCCTTGGCCTCTACAAACAAGATACCAGTAGCACCTTCCTTCTCCCCCAGTTGTAATAATAAAAAATCTCTGCAAACATTGCTAATTGTCCTCTAGGAGACAAAATCACCACAGTTGAGGACCATTGCTATAGGAAGATAGTACACAATCCAAAAAGATACAGAATATATATAAAATAATATGTCTTGAAAAAGATCAAAAGTAGAGCACAGATACCCCAACTCTGATATTGGTCCTCTTTCCATTAGGACAAACTCCCTCCCAATGTTTACGTTAAGAAACACACAATTTGGGCCAGGCACGGTGGCTCACGCCTGTAATCCCAACACTTTGGGAAGCTGAGAGGGGTGGATCACAAGGTCAAGAGATAGAGGCCATCCTGGCCAACATGATGAAATCCCATCTCTACTAAAAATACAAAAATTAGCTGGGCATGGTGGCAGGCACCTGTAGTCCCAGCTACTCAGGAGGCTGAGCCAGGAGAATCACTTGGACCCAGGAGGCAGAGGTTGCAGCGAGCCGAGATTGTGCCACTGCACTCCAGCCTGGTGACAGAGCGAGACGCCAACTCAAAAAAAAAAAAAAAAAAAAAAAAAAGAAAGAGAAAGAAAGAAAGAAAGAAAGAAAGAAAGAAAAAGAAACATACAATTTAATACCAACATAAGATGATTCTGTTATATGACAAAAGAGGATTAAGGTAGCTAACCAGCTGACCTTAAGATAGGGAGTTACCTTGCATTACACTGGTGTGCCTATTATAATCACAAAGGTCCTTAAATTACAATATTATATCATATATTATTAATAGTTATAAATAACATATTAGCAATATATTATTATAATCACAAAGAGAAGCAGAAAAGGTCAGAGTGATGCAATGTGAGATGAATTTGACCTGCTGGCATTGGCTTTGAAGATGGAGGAAGGAACCTTGAGTCAAGAAACACGAGCAATCTCTAGAAGCTGGAAAGGGCAAGGAGACAGATTGTTCCTGAGGGCCTTCAGAGAGGAATGCGGCCTTCTGGCCCCTTGACTTTAGCCCAGTAAGACCCATTTCAGACTTCTGAACTACATAACTGTAAGATAATACACTTGTGTAATTTTAAGCCACTAAGACTGTGATAATTTGTTGCAGCAGCAATAGAAAACAAAATACATAATCTCTTTCTAGCTGTGCAGTCTAAGAGTTAGTTAAGTTCTCTAAACAGAAGTTTCCTCATATATAATAATAACAATAATAATAATAATAATACTTAACCCTCGGCTGATTGTGAGAAATAAATGAAGAAATGGAAATAAAATGACCAGATTAGTTCTGGACTGAATTGTGTGTTGCCCAAAATTCATATGTTAGAGTCTTTAACCCCCTATACCTCAGAATTTGACTGTACTTGGAGTTAAGGTCTTTAAGGGAGTAATTAAGGTTAAATTAGATCACATGGGTGAGACCCCAATCCAGTATGACTGCTGTCCTTATCAGAAGGAGAACCACCAGAAATACTTGTGCACCAAGAAAAGATCATATGAAGACACAGTAGAAGATGGCCGTCTGCAAGCCAAAGAGAGAGGCCTCAAGAGAAACCAAGCTTGTCAACACCTTGATCTTGGACTTTGAACCTCCAAAACTGTGAGAAAATAAATTTCTGTTGTTAAGGCCCACTCAGTCAGTGGTATTTTGTAGGGAAGCCCTAAAAGACATACAGCTGGTCATACTAGAGAGTCAATAATACTAATTCTTATTATTACTTGTTCCTTCTTAATAAATATGGAAAATAGTACTACTTTGTGGGATTGCATTAAGGAAAACAGGTGATATAAGAAACCTGGGCTCTCCTTTTGGCTCTGAATCCCTGGCAGCAGCATCTTGCCAAGATACACACGTCACATGTGCTCTATGTCTTTTTTTTGTGTTGGTATTTTCTCTCTTTTGGTTAATGATGGTAGATTGAACACATGTGTCTTTCTTCTGATCCTTCAGTCCCATTAAAAATATTTTGAAAGGGATTTTCTTTTAAAGGTATAAACCTTTGAGAACATGAGAGGGAAAAAAAAGCAAAAAAAAAAAAATCTTTGAAGCTGGAAGACAAAAGGATAAAGGGCAACTGACTCAGCAACCTCAGAACATTGAATCCTCAGCCAGCAGTGAGGGAGGCCAAAAGCAAGCTGATAGGGACCTTAGAGATCCAGGACTCCATAATTGGCAGCATCAGGGATCTGTGAAAGTGTGAGGAGATGGGACAGAAGTGGGGGCTGAAAACCACAAGATCGGTTGGAAATCTATTTACAGTGCACTTAGACTCCTGGATAACCTCTATTGCTTCTCAAAGCTGACAAGTGCCCCTTTCCTTGAAACAGAATACAGAAACTGACTCTCTGGAGACAGTGAACCAAATGGACTCTGGATTGGTGGCCATCTAGCCCCCATTCTGGGTGTAGGGCAGGGATAATGTACTGGAAACAGTAAGGTTTGATGAAAATCTACATATTGAATTCTAAGGACTCCTTATTCCCTTCTCCACCAGGTCCTCAGAAGGCTGGCAGTCTCCAGGCTAGATATGGAGCTGGGGATGGGAGACTCAAAGAACAGCCTTCTTTGAGTAACCTAACCAGTCAAAGAGAAAAGACACAGAGATACTGATGTTGCTGATTGTGACCCTTCTGCCATGAAGCCCCCAGCCCCACTCATGCTCTTTCAAGTCTCTGGTTGGCTTTTTAATATCCTTCTCTTAAATACATGCTGACAGCCCAAGATTGGCAGATACTTGAAGAAAGACTCTACCTAAATGATGCAGACCAAAACTAATCAACAGTGAAACAGGGAATTTGTAGAAAACAGAAACCATATAGGAAAAAATAACTTAAAAGAGAAAAGTAACTATCATTAATCTTAGGAAGCTTTTAAAGCATGTTTTTCAGCAACAATGAAGTGGGCATCCTACCTCTTGGTGACCAACCCACCTCCATCTCTCTGATGATGAGCCCAAGTACTGGATGTGTTCAACTTCACTAGTTTAGACAGGGTCTGGAGTGAGATGGTTCTGGGAAGTGGAGGCAGAAAAGCCAATGGTCTTATTCACATGAACCTGGTCCACCAACTACAGCTGCTAAATCAGGGGATGAGATGAACAGAGGATGAGGGCCTGAGCAGCTCAGTTTCCAGACAGCATGGAGGGCTGGCAGTTCTGACTGCTTTATGCATATGCACTTAATTTGCTTCCCTGGTCCTTCTAAGTGGCAACTCATTAACACCTCCAGGCTGAGGGCTCACATTTTATACTCTAGTTGAATATGCAGTAGCATAATGGAATGTCTACTATGGCTGCCTCTCTGGAAAAGCTGCCCTATTTATTCAGCCACCCTGGAGAAAAGTGGCAGATTTTTTCTTGCAGTGGCAAGAAATACCCGTATGCTGCTTTTAAACACCTTGGAGGTTTAACTTTTTAAATGTTATTCATTTATGCTACTTTGTAACATTATATGTTATATTAATGTTACATATGTAATGATACATGATATTGGGAGGACAGATATTATTATTGTCCTCACTTGGCAAATGAGAAAACCAAGATATAGAGATGTACAAATGATTTGCCTGCAGTCACACAGCTCAACAAGGATGAGGCAGGGAAGTCTACCTTGACTGTAAACCTTGAGTTCTCTCTACCACATCACATAATTATGAATTTACAATTATATTTGCTTGTTTCCATGTGAGTCTAACCCAGTTTAGAACCAGCAGAGGAACAGAAAGATGGTATGGCATTGCTGAGAGTCTGTGAAAGAAGCCATTAAGGTACGGAAAAATTGAGATGTATGACCAATGACATTGAAAACATTAAAAATTTCCTAGAGTGAGATTCTTCTCCAGTAAGAAGCTTGGATGATCTGAGCCCCGGTACTGGGAGTGGGATGCAGAGCTGAGCGCTACAAATGTAGTTATAAGCCGCAGAGTTTCCTTCATCACAGGACACTGATCACGGGAAGTTTGGGGCCGAGTGAGAAATAGGCTTTATCTCTTATGACTACATTCAGCAAGTGGAGAATGATTCTGGGGCAAAGTCCAGGTGCAGCAGGAAAGAGTACCATGATCAATTTGCAGTGTCTGTCGAGGACTCAGGAGGGCTTTGAAAGCTGTGGCTAAGAGTGTGTCATCCCAAGGCAGGAGTCTGTCAGATGCTTCCTCCAGGATGATAGAGCTCTCTGCCCTCCCTCCACTTGCTTAAAAGCAAAACATAGATTTACAAAGGCAAAAGATACCTTGTCCCCTCTCCACCAGGGTGAACACAGGTTAACCACTGAAGACAGCTTTAGACCTTCACCACCTGGAAATGATACCGGAGGGATTTATATTAACAAGCTTTACAAACCAGCCTTTATCTGCCATTTGTTTACCTTTCCGCACATTGCCAGCTGTAGAGATTCAAAGCCCTTTTCCTTTGTCTTGTCACTTCTCTAAAAATGTACTGTTTTTTGAAAATGCTACTTAAGCTGGAATTCAAAGCCACTTCTTCAAGAACTACTCATTCTCTGGGTATCTCTCACATATATGTGACATATGAATGTTAATAAGCTTCTAGTTGTTTTTCTCTTGTTAAGCTGCCTTTTGTAACAGGAGTCTGTTTCATCTGCAAACCTATGGGGGTTACTATTTTTTGCCTACATCACTATCATACTTCTTGTTGTGTGTATGTTAGTGCAGGCATGTGAGGATATGAGTGTTTTGTTGCCTCCTCTTTGCCCCGCTGGTGAAAGAGGGAGTGTTGCCCTAAGACTCTGAGAATAGCCAAGCACACAACACCTGACGTTGGACCCATGCGATTGACAGCAGTTCATTAGTCACATATACTGACAGCCTGGGGTAGAAGGCACTGCATACCCTGCAGGACCACACAGGGGTTATACTCAACAGAATGAACAAACAGGGCTTTGGGAGGCAGGCTGTGTTGTGACAAGGGGGTGAGGTGGCCCCTGATTCCTGTGGGAGGGTGTACTTTGTTGTTTGAATAATTCCATGGGCTGGTAGGGAGGTGAAACCTGTTATTTTAGGTTGAGGGCCAGGTTAATGCAACTGAGCTGGCTGATAGAAGAATCTTCCCTACTGGGTGCAGGGCAAGGGGCACATCTGACAAGAGGAGGGGGACACAAAGTTAGGCCTCCAGGACTCTGTGAGGCTCAAAGATTTCAAGGCAGCTCCAGAAATTTTAAGCCTTCCAATACAGCATGTGTAAAAGGGGGTGAGGGAGATAGTGAGCAAGATGAATAATCCTCGAGAGTTTAGTAGAAAATAAAGAAGGGTAAGCAGATTATTACTTACTATGATAAATGTTAGGGTATGGGAATGTTCCTGTGGGGACCTGTAAGCAGGACATCTAAGATTTGGATTTTGTTTTTGAGGGGATGAGGCCAAGAAAAGTAACATTTTACCAGTGGTGTGCTGGTTGAGAGGAGCTGGCAGTATCCGGGTCTTTCAGACTCCTAAGCCAAGCTCCTCTCTCTGCTATACCAGAATGCCTTCTCCTTCCAGATTTATCACATTTATTAGCACCATGCTTGACACATGGTAGAAATTCAATGAATCTCTTTAGCAGGAATGTATTCCTTAAAGCAAGTCTAAAGGTATGTGGTGAAGCTCAACCAAAGGAAGGCAGGGAAGGTTTAAATCTGTTAGGTTAAGGAAAGGAAGCTAAGAGGCTTTTCTTTTCTTTCCTTTCCTTTTCTTTTCTTTTACTGGACACCTCCTATGTATTTGCAGTCATTCCAGTAGGCACTCAGCAGGGTCTGTAGTTCATTAGGGTCATATTCCACTGGAAAGCACAAACAAAAAAACAACAGAGAACGATGACAAATGGGGATAGGTGCTCTAAGGGAAACTAACTGGTCACAAATATAGAGAAAAGCCGGGGGAGGAGAAGGGGCCCTACTCTGGATTGCATGGGGGAAATGGAGAAAGGTCTTTCTGGGAGGTAAATTTTAAGCAGAGCCCTGAAGTATAAGAAAGACCCTTGAATGTGAAAAGTGGATGGTCCACTGATGCAGGCAGAGGAATTGGAGTGTGTAAGGACTCTGAGGCAATAGAAACTAGAAACATCTGGGAAAATGTGAGACAACTCACATGCCAGGAATGTAGAAAGCAAAGAAGGGAATGGACAAGAAAGAAGCTGCAAAGGTCAGCAGAGATACATAGACCGTGACAAGGAGTTTGGATTTTTTTCTGAATGCAGTGGAAAGGTTGAAGGATTGTAAGCAGAGGCAGTCCATAGTCTAATTTACATTCTAACAAGATCACTCTGGCTGGCATTGAGATAGACATATTATAAGTGGAGGAAGGACAAAGACAGTAGCAAGCAACTGGTGAGGAGGGTGTTAAAGTTAAGGCAAGAGATGCTGGTGGCCTCTTCCAGGTGATGGTGGAGGCGGGAGAACTACATGGTTTTGAGATATCCTGTATTTCAGTGGTGGAATCAGTAAGAATCGCTAGTGAATTGGATGGTAGTTGGAGTAAGGAAGAAAGGAATTCAAAATGGTACCTAGGCTTCTTACTTGAGCAAATAGATTGATGGTGGCACCTTTTTTGGAGATGCAAAAGACTGGAGGAATGAGGTTTGGCAGGAAAAAATCAAGGCTCACAGACAATGCAAAAATTAGTAACTTGCTTAAGGCCACATAGCTAAAGAATGAAAGAGCTTGAATTATAATCAATCCTGTGGCTCTATTTGTAAGTAAATCATTACAAATTTACCATGGTTCAATCTTGGCAAAAAGGAAAATAGATCCATTATGATTTAGAAGCAATTACACGAAGCTGCAGTCAAGCCTTTGCTCTTTTGGAAATAAACATAAGGGGAGAAAACAGGATAAGGATTGCTGTTGATGGACATTTCAGTTGATTTCATATCTTGGCTATTGTGAATAGTGCTGCAAGAGACATGAGGAGGCAGATATCTCTTCAATATGCTAGTTTCATTTCCTTTGGTTATTTACCCAGTAGTGAAACTGTTGGATCATATGGTAGTTCTCTTTAAGATTTAGAATAAAAGGAAGGAAAGAAAAAGTGGACTAGAATCACAGTGGGGCAAAGCCAGCTGTTTCCACAACACCCGTTGCTGTTCGCTACCCCCTGACGGGCTCATACTTCCTAGAGCCTGGGTACTGCATGCCAATGAGGCCACCCTCCCTACACAGCCCTGCTGGCGGCTGCAGCCTCCTGAGTCTGGGCCAAGCTGGTCTGAGTTGGTCCTCTCCTGGCTGTCAGGTTCCTACCCTCGGAAACCTCTCCATGCTCAGCCAATCGCCCTCCCCAGACATTTCTGCCACTAGAAGCCTCAGACACCCTATGATTATCGAAGAGAACCTATGGATGGCCTGAGAGGAGGTAGAGGTCTGTGGCTGTCCACACCTGCCCCCAGACATTACCTTACTGAGACAGAACATTTCCAGAAATGTTAGAGATTGGGAAACAAGTACCAAAATTCACAGAATTAAGGGCAGAACTGAAATAAAAACTTTTAATAGTATTACAATAATGGCTATAGTTTATGGACCACTCATTGATGCCAGATACAAAGCTTTAGTCACACTATCTCTATTAAGCCTCACAGGCACCCCAGGAAGCAGGTATGATTAGGATCCCCATTTTGAAGACAATGAAGGAGGCCAGGGAAATGAAGTCTCTGTCCCCATGTCACATAAGGAGTTGACAACAGACCCAGAATTCAAACCCAAGTCCAACTGAGTATAGAGCCCTGACACTCAGGTTTTGTCTTGTACTAAATTCCTGGCACCCCTGCACCTTGCTCACAGGTCTCAACCCTGATGGCAGCTATATATCACATACTGGAACTTGCCACTTGAATTAACTAGACACTCCCAGTGAAGGTAATTGTCAGTGGCTTTAAAAATCAGAAGCAAACATGAAAACAAGAGTTTCTCCAAAGGTTAATTAATTCAACTCAACCTATCAAATACTTCTTGAATATCAACTCAGTAATAGACACTGGTTTAATTCTGCAGGGAATGTGGGGGATAGCGGGAGGGGTAGACAAGACGCCAGAAAGAGGGAATAAAATAGGAAGGCATTTAGTCCTTATTCTCAAAGAGCTTTTTCTGTAGGTGAAAACATCCAGTGATCAGAACTGGACCTACACAAGTCTTTTAAATAACTTAGCTGGGGGAAAAAAAGTCAGATAAAAATATTATCCAAAATGAACGCAAGCCAGGCTGACATTTCACTGGGCTCAAGTGTCAGGGACAGCGATACATACCCCAGTCTCCCCGGCTCTGCTCTGCCTCACCATGGTAACCGCCAGGGCCCTCATCTGCCAGATGGTTTTTTTATATCCTCTGAGTGTAGCTGGGGAGGAGGAGAAAATGCATGACTGAATGGCTAAAGTACCCTCACTCTCTCTGCAGCCCAGCAGTCCTAGATATGTCTCTCAAAACGAATTCCCTTATAAGCAACACATCTTGAGGAAACTAATAACTCCCACTGTGTATCAGAAAATGACTGTCTTGAGCAGATACAGAGCAAATCCCAAGCATTCCAGCCTGTGGGACAGAGCTGCAATGGTGTATTAGTTCGCCAGGGCTGCTATGATAAAGTACCACAGACTGGGTACCTTAAACAACTGCAATTTCTTTTCCTATAGTTCTGGAGGCTGGAAAATCCAAGATCAAATTGTTGGCAGGGTTGGTTCCTTCTGTGGCCTTTCTCCCCGGCCTTCACATGGCTGCCTTCTCACTGTGTCCTCATATGGTCTTTCATTTATGGGTGCAACCCTGGTGTCTCTTTGTATGTGTCCACATTTTCTCTTATTATAAGAACACCTGTCAGGTTGAATTGGAGCCCACCCTAAAGATTTCATTTCAACTTAATCACCTCTTGAAAGGTCCTATCCAAATATAGTCAAATGCTGGGGTACTCAGAGGTTGACACTTCAATGTATGAATTTTGGTGGGACAGAATTCAGATGGGGCGGGGAGAGTCAGGATCTTATATGGGTGTCCTCCTATAATACCCATCAGGTCCTGGTCCCTTCCTTCAATCATTTGAGGGGCACTTGTTAAAAATTCAGATGCCTAGGCACCCCAGAGACCCATTCACTGGCCTGGGGGTAAAGCCCAGGAAGCTTGGGGATTCCAGAGATGAAAATATCCTTGACCTCAAGAAGCTTCCAATCTAATAAGTTGACATGTACACAATTACACTATAGCATTGCAAATGCTTTTTACTAAGACAGAAACTAGATTAAATGGGAACATTACCTAAACAGTGGTGAAATCTTCCTAACGCAGTCAGAAGGGGCTTCTCAGGGGAGAAGACACTTGAATGGAGCCTTGGAGAAGGCAATAAGAAGGTTCTGCCAGCAGAAAAGACAGATGTGATCATTCTAGAAAGAGGGAAGAGCAAGTGCAAAGGCATGGAAGACTAAAAAGTCTTGGTACTTTAGTAGAACAGTAAATAGCAGTAGAGCTGGGTCTTAGGATAAGGGGGCATAGGGAAGGAGGCCATGGGTAAGAAGCAGTAGAAAATTCTAGAAAAGTCAGTGAGGCTAGGATTATGAAATGGCTTGTGGGTCAAGCCCCAGATTGGACTGGCTTTTATAGAGAACAGGGAGCTGCTGGAAAATTTAAACAGGGAAGTGACTGGTCAGATGTGCATTTCAGAAAGATCATTCCATGGAGGTATGATTCCACCACCTCTCTCCCCCAACTTCCAGCATGACTGCCTCCACTCTTCCTCATGCTCCTGAACCAGCAAACTTCCTTAAAGGCAAATCCCATCATAGCCCTCAAGCAAAATCCTTCAAAGATTTTCCATGGCTTTAAGAGAAAAGGTCAAACTCCTTAATGTATAGGGCCCTTCATGGCTAGACTGTACTCAGCCTCCCCTCCATCATCATCTTTTTTTTTTTTTTTTTTTTTTTTTGAGACAGAGTCTCACTCTGTCACCCAGGCTGGAGTGCAGTGGCGGGATCTCGGCCCACTGCAACCTCCAGGCTGGAGTGCAATGAGGCAATCTCGGCTGACTGCAGCCTCCACCTGCTGGGTTCCAGCGATTCTCCTGCCTCAGCCTCCTGAGTAGTTGGGATTACAGGTGCCCGCCACCACACCAAGCTATTTTTTTTTTGTATTTTAGCAGAGACAGGGTTTCACCAGGTTGGCCAGGCTGATCGCAAACTCCTGACCTCAGATGATCTGCCCGCCTAAAGTGCTGATATTACAGGCTTGAGACACCACACCCGGCGGCCTGCTATCATCTTGAATCAGTGGAAGTTCTCCAATGTATTTTGGGTTTCTTGGCATGTGCTCTTTCTAATGCTCTAAATGTTCTCTCTCTACTACTTGTTGTTCCTTCCTATTCACCCTGCAACACAGTTCAGACATCCCTCCCTGAGAAGACCTTCTTGGTGAATCCATGGTTCCTCACGAAAACATTGGGCTCTACCTATGATTATCAATCGCATTGTATTTTAAACAGTGTATAATTAACCCTTTTTTCACTACATCATGAGCTCATTCAAAGGAACTATATATAGTTTTGTTGTTGTTGTTGTTTTTGAGATGGAGTCTCACTCTGTGGCCCAGGCTGGAGTGCAGTGGCATGATCTCGGCTCACTGCAACCTCCGCCTCCCAAGTTCAAGCAATTCTCCTGCCTCAGCCTCCCAAGTAGCTGGGATTACAGGTGTGCGCCGCCAAGCCTGGCTAACTTTTGTATTTTTAGTAGAGCTGGAGCTTTACCATGTTGGCTAGTCAGGTCTCGAACTTCTGACCTCAAGTGATCCGCCTGCCTCGGCCTCCCAAAGTGCTGGGATTCCAGGCATGAGCTACCATGCCCAGCCCAGAAACGATGTTTGATCTCTGTAATCCCAGTGCCTAGCATAGTACTTGCATATTGTCAGAGCTCAATCAATTAATTAAATAAATAAGCATTAAAAGATGAATGAATGAAGCCCAGTGGGCAATAAGAAACTGGATTCTTCCTGATTCTCCCACTAGTCTACTATGGGACCTGGAGAAATTCATTTCACTTCTCTGGACTTCATCTTTTCCATTTGCATTATAAGGGTATTTGTCTAATCTTGAATCTCCATGCCAATTCTAATATCTTATGACTCCCAGCCAAGGTACCAGCAGCTCTTGCTTTGTTTTTATTTTTGTTTTCCTATTTCAGAAAGGCTTCAGTTTCCCTCACTTCCAGGGGTCTAATCCTTGCCACTTGTCAGCTATGTCAGTCACTATATTACCTCTGATCCAATCCTTACTTTTGCATCTTTCCCAGATTCCTTCCTGGCCTGTGCTTAAGCCATTAGCTTTGCCTTCCTCAACAAACCCTTTTCATCATCAGAGCCTCAAAGCAATTTTCTCCCTTTGTGAAACTTTCCCAACCATGCCAGCCCCTAGAGCTCCCTCCTGTCTAGGCATTGATCACCACAGCAGACAGAGAAAAAAGCTAAAGTATCACTGCATCAAAAGTAAAGGAACAGAGGGGTTATTCATTTATTTAACAAATATTTGTTGAGCAACCTCTGTTTTCTTGTATTGTACAGTTGCTAGGGATACAACAATAAGCAAAATATACATAGTCCTGCCCTATGGAACCCATGTCTCTGCAAATGTTGGACAACAAAAATGACAAATATGAGCACATCACAACAATCTATTAACTGAGGAGTGGGGAGAGATGGGAGAGACTATTACAAAGGGGTCACAAGAAACCTGCAGGGATAGCAAGATCCTCATTATCAAAATTATGGTGATGCTTTTATAGGTTTATACATATGTCAAATATGTAAAATACATGCAGTTTTTTGTTGTCAAGTATACTTCAATAAAGCTGTTAAAAATAAAGTCATCAGAATGAGGATGGAAATAGGATTTTTTGTGTGTATGTGGTGTGTGTGTGTGTGTGTGTGTGTGTGTGTCAGGGGTGGGGAAAACAGGAAATTGGCAGGAGGCTTTTTAAACATTGGAATGGAGAATAAACCTGCAAGATATTTCATCATCTTAAATATCAGAGCTTAGAAGTTGTTTAGGGCCATACTTTCAGTTTCCACTTGGGGATCTGAGGCCCAGAGGGCTATGATGGTTTTCCAAAGGTCCTATAACACATTTCTGGTCATTAATACTATGAATAACACCTACCTTCACTTAAGCAAACACTAAGAACTAGGCACTGTAAGAGGTGCTTGAAGTCCATTATCTCACTGGTCCCCACAATTTCCCATCTAAGTAGACATCATTATTTCTTCGTATGAGGAATGAGAAACCAGGCTTAGCTAAATACCTTGCTGAAAGTCACATGGTTAGAAAACTGAAGAGCTGTGATTTAAATCTAAGTTAGCCTGAGTCCAAAGACTGAGCTTATTTTATTTTAATAGAACCAAACATTAATAATTATCTACAAAGCATTTTGTTCTAAGTAGAAGGTGAATATTATATAAATTTTGTTTTGTAAAACACTGGGCCTTTGGGATGATGAGAATGTTTTGGAACTAGATGGAGAGGATGGTTGCACAACACTCTGAATGTACTAAATGCCACGGAAATGCACACTTTAACGTGGTTAATTTTATGTCATGTGAATTTTACTTCAACTAAAAAAATAGATGTTTAACTTCAGTAGAAGTAAAACACGTCTTTCTTCATCATTAAAATCAGTGAAATAAAGTTATTTCTAGCCCTATGTTTTATTAACAGAGCTATTAATTTGAAAGCCCTCTGGAAATGAGTTTTCTTAAGAGCTGCAGAATAATAATATACAGCAAATTAGAGCACATTAACAGAGCAGGGGTACGGCAGAGAGAGCTCTTAACCGCAGCTAGCCGAGCTTCATGGAGTCAGGTGGGCTGGGAGTTTACCCTCCATATAACCTGGTGGGCCTTTTTGCTGTTTGAAAGCTTGGTTTCCTTAAAGTGAGGGTAGTACAATCTGTTCTGCTTGTCTTAAAGACCTATTGTGAAGCTCATATCAGAGAAATAGCTGGAAGCTATTTGTAAATCTAAAAATTGAGACAAAATTGAATCATTATCATTATCGGCAAAACACCGTAATTTGAGTGAAAAGCTCCTTCATTGCAGGGTGCCTGGTAAAGAGCAGAGGTGATGTTCACAGCGCATCTAAGGGAATCTGACAGGCTCTGTGGCCGTGAGTCTGACAAGCTATCACTCTGACAGGCTCTGTGGCTCATTTGTTCAATGTGATACAGCAAAAGTGATACTGTGCCTGTTGCTGGTGTCAGTAGTTAAGAAACTGGAAGCTTCTAATTTCTGTCTCTTTTGGTTGGTCTGGGGAAAGCCAGTCACCATGTAAAAAGTCTGACTATCCTAAGACCCTCCTGATATGTGGAAGCCCAAGCTAGCCATGTGGAGAGGCTTGGTAGACAGAGAAAGAGATGCTGTTCCAGCCATTTAAATCCAAGCACCTGATATGTGAGGGTACCACTTTGGACATCAGCAGATGCAATGTGAGGAAAAATGGAGGAACTCAGCAGAAAGTATAACTGAAGCCCTTGACAGACGGCCCTAGTTGAGCTAGCTCTCCTAGTTCTTGGGGCCACCCCAGCTAAGGCCCCAGTCATTGTGAAGCAGAGATGAGTGCACTGCCTAAATCCTTCCCCACAGAAGCATGAACATAATAAAATGGTTGCTGACTGACTCCACCGACTTTGGGGGTGGCTTATTATGCAGCAATAGATAACTAGAACACTGAGAGAGCAGAAAGCATAGGGGTCATAGAAAAAGATTAAATTTGATTCCAGGCTCTTCCACGTACTTATTGTGTGCTCTTGACCACCTTAATTACCATCTTTGAGCTCAGTTTCCTCATCTATCCAGTAGGAATAATCACACATACATTGCAGGATTCTTGTAAGGAATATACAAAGTGTATGCAGACTTGCAGCTGTGAAGAGCACTTAATAAGTGGTAGCTATAAGAGATACCATTTTAATTCTTGCTGAGCTTTCAGTCCTCCTTCATGGAAAAAAGTAGAAACATTTTTGGGAACCTTGCTGCAATTAATTTTTTAGTCTGATTTCAGTTGAATGTAAACAAGCCACCAGGTTGCTTTCCTAGTCAGAGCCCTTTGCAAGGACTGTGTCCTGCTGGCAGCTGCTTTTCCCTGGGGGTGGCACCTCCCACACCCCCAGCATGCCTCCCAGTCCTCCTTGTCCCATGTCCCTTTGAACCTGAAGCTCTTTGTTAGATATCCAGGGCTGGAGTACCCCAAAAGGCTTCCAGAGTTAGGAACTATAGGTCAGGATTACAGTGTGGAAGTTCAGTCCTTTTGACCCTTCTAGCTAATTAAGCTCCTGGCTGAGAGTCTGGCAGAAAGAAATGAGATTCTGATTTGCAGCCAGCTTTAAACTAGAAACTCTGGCCAATCAGTTCCTGTGTCACAGTTGTCAGTCCTGGATGGGGCCGGCCTGGATCTTTGGCGATGATATTTGGCCAAATATCTGCTCAAGCTTTCTCCTCTGTCCCTCCATTTGCTTTCTCCTATCATAGCTGCTGTCTGGCAAGGGGACAGTGTGGGAGAGCAGGCTGATAGCCCACCCTGCCTCACCCCCAAGGCTCTTTAATTTCCTGTCCCTCCAAAATCCAAGCAGTCTCGTAGGACCTGTTTAGAAAAACTGATTTATCAGTTCCAAATATCAACAGCAGTATTGCAGGGGATCAGGAGCAGCCAGGCTAAAGACTGGAAACGTGGCTTCTTTCTAAGTGTATCTATTTAACCAGCCAGACGTTCCCTCACTTCTTGTTTCCTCCTCCTATAACAAAGTAAAATGGGGAAAAGATGAGGAGCTGAGGGAACAGAGAAAGTGAGAGAGACCACCCCTCTTGGGCCTCAGGCCTTGCTTGCCGCAGACACTTGAGGGACCTGAGTGGCTGTGAGCAGCCCGAACTGCCACCCTCTCAGATAAAAGGTGTCATAGTTGGCCTCTGCCCTATTAAAACAGCAGTGAAGCACTGCAGTCTTCACATTTATTTCCCCCTCTTCCTGTAAACACAGTAACCCCTTAATTAGTGCCCAGCCGTCTCTGACATCAGACAGCAGCTCTCCTATGGGCAGCAATCCATTTAGCATCAGCTAAAACCGGCCTGGCTTCCAGGAGCAATTTGGGACCCCAGACAGCTTTCTCTGGAAAGAAAGAGCCAGAAGGGAGCCACAGCAGTGAAAAGAGAAAAATGTTCACATCAGCAGACCACAGCTAATTTTCTCAGGAGCTGCTGGCTGTTCACACAGCCCTGAGAGTAGCACAGGGTCATGGGCAGGCTCACTGTGAGGCACCCCTTCCCTCTGCATCTCCTTGAAGGGAACTCACATTTATTGAACCAGGGGCCTTAGAGAACCCTATTACATGTGTCCGCTTTTATCTCCAGTTTGTAAAGGAAGAAACTGAGGCTCAGAGAAATTTTCATCACATAGTATATTTGTTTCAATTAAGAAAAAAAGAAAAACAGTATACCACAAACTGGGCTACTGAAAACAATTCAAATTTATTCTCACAGTTCTGGAGGCTACAAGTTTAAAATCAAGGTGTCAGCAGGGCCAACCTCTCAGAAACATCCAGGGAAGAATCCTTCCTTGTCCCTTCTAACTGTCCACAGTTGCCAGCAATCCTGGGTATATCTTGGTTATAGTGGCATAACTCCAACCTCTGCCTCTGTCTTCACATGGTCACCCCCCAACCCCAGCACCATCTCTGTGTCCAAATTTCCCTCATTTCTAAGGACACCGGTCATTGGATCAGGGCACACCCTAGTCCTGTGTGACCTCATCTTAATTTGATGCACCTGTAGGGACCCTATTTCCAAATAAGGTCACATCCGCAGGTTCCAAGGCAGATGCTTTCAACCTAGTGCAGCTGTAAACAACCAAGCTCAGATGGAAGCGTAGGTCTGTCTGAAGCTGGTCTTCTTTATGCCCAACAAACTGTTGTCAAGAATGTGTGTCCAGGGAAACCTAGAAACTTAGTCCCTTGACAATAGCTATCCCTTCTCATTTGGGGCCTTCATAAGCTAGGCAGGCATGATGTTCCACCCCATTCTCTAAGCCGCCTCCGGGACCTAGCCCTTCTCCATGGGGATTGCTCCTTCACTCCTGTCTTGCTAAAGCCCAGACTTTCCTCCTTGTCCTTCTTGGGCTCCATAAGCACAGTCTCAGAAAAAAGTTCCTCTGGGACCTGGCATCCAACAGCCCTAAAGCAGACAGATATACCTTTTATAAGGAGCATGGCGGTGCTTTGGTCAAGGATAGGCCACGGTAGGATGTTGATATCCTGTATGACTTACCGAGTTTAGAGTGCAGGCATATAACTCCACTTGTTACCACAGCCATGTAGCCATAACATGGGAAGGCCATCCCTTGGCCCTACATCACTATTGTCTGTAAAAGGTATAACTGTCCTGCTGACACTGTGCATGGGGCTTTTGGGGCTTGGCTCTGCTCAACATGGCTTAACATGACGGGTGCACTGACGCCCAGAGAAAGAGAGAGAGCCAAAGCTTTCCGCCTTGCAGAAGGACAGGAAGGAGCCAGGACACAGCTCAGCTTGCTCATGCCCAGAGAGAGAAAGAGTTAAGCTGGTGATCCTGAAGGCAGGGGTGAGCCAGCCACGCAGCTGTGTGTGGGGGCGGCCGGCTCAAGCAGCCGAGACAGGGCAAACAATGTCAAAGTAAGCTGCTAGTGAGAAAACTGTTGATGAGAAAGTTGCTGAATAAAACTACATTTCATCTGCCTACGGCCCCTCAAGTGTTCTTTCTGCCCATCCACCCACTCCCTCGAACTTCAGCATGGGCTGGACCCAGACCCCAGGATCTGACACCTATAATCAGCTCACAAACAAGGTCACACTTCTTTCTGCCACCCTCTCTGGCACTTCAGCAAAGGACGAAGTTTGTCTCCCCAGTTTCTGCCCACATTCTGCCTTCATGCCACTCCTTTGTGGCTGCTTAATGTTGGTGGTTGGTGGGTGGGGGGGTTGAATTCATATCCCCAAACCCCAAACCCTCTAGAACACTCCTGCTGGTTTGTTATGTACTCTCAGCTTAGTATTAGCAGCTTAAGAGGCAGCAACGGTGGCACTGATGGTTGATTTGTGGTGTCAACCTGAATGGATTAGGGGATACACAGATACCTGGTGAGGTGTTCATTATTCTCAGTGTTTCAGTAGGCAATGAGCCCTTCCCTCTTCTGCTGAAAGGGAAGCCCAGGTGGTTTTGCTTTTGACTAGAATGATTGGACAGCTCCAGGTGTGTCTCCGAGGGTGTTTCCAGAGATCGGCTTGTGAGTCAGTGGACTGAATGGGAAAGAGCCAACCTCAATGTGGACAGGCACCATCCAATCATATGGGGGCCCAGACAGAACAAGAAAGCAGAAGAAGGGTGAATTCTCTCTCTCTCAGAGAAAGGATGCCCTTTTTTTTCCTGCCCTTGGGCATCACAACTTCAGGTTGTCTGGCCTTTGGACTCAAGGATTCACACCACCCCACCACACCCTCCCACCCCCCCACCCCAGGCTCTTCAACCTCTCATTAAGAGTTACACCCTCAACTTCCCTGGTTGAGGTCTTCAGTCTGGACTGAACCCCTGTACCAGCTCTTCTGGTTTTCCAGTTCGCAGACAGTCTATCATGGGATTTCTCAGCTTCTGTAATCAGATGAGTCAATTCCCCTAACAGATTCCTTTTCATATTATCTCTGTATATATACCATCAGTGTGTCTCTCTGGAGAACCCTGACTACAACAATGACATTATAGAATAATCATGTAATATAGAATGAGGCAAACTTGGGTTTGACCTTGAACCTTGCCTCATTTTAGCTGTACCATAAGTTACCTATCTTCTGGGGGCCTTGGTTTCTACATGTATAAGATGAGTAAAATAATATTTACTTGATTGGGTTGCACTGAGAAACAAACAGGATAATGTGTGCCAAGCACCTGGCACATCATAAAGTGCTCAACAAATGTACAGTAGGTGCTGTCAGAGCCTCCCCTCAAGCAGATCTCCTCACCCCTACCATTTCAGTGCACTCCAACCCAACTCCCAACCACCACCATCTGCATTTCCTTGCTTTTCTCCTCCTGCCGCAGCCTGCCTTCCCACCAAGAAGGTAGGCCTGAAATGCCAGGGAACAAATGCTCCCTGGGAGCAGCCCTTGGCAACTAACTATCAGGGCTAGTATGTAAAGACCCTGCTCCCTCGACCCTTGAGTGGGATGGCCTTGAGCTGTATGGCTTACACTGTTCCCAGAGGTTCTCCACTGGGACTAAGCACCAGTCATCCACACTGATGGCTGGCTTGTAAAGTGCCCTTTCTTGGCTGTGTTGCTTCTCTGTCACTCTTCTTCATGCTTCTCCCCATGATCCCTCTTTACCTCCTAAACTACAGTAGTCCTCCCTTATGGAGATATGTTATGAGACCCCCAGTGGATGCCTGAAACTGCAAATAGTACCAAACCCTATATATACTGTATTTTTTCCTATACAGACATATCTATAATTAGGCACAATAAGAGATTAACAACAATTACTTCTAATAAGACAATTATAACAATATGCCATCATCACAACTCTTGTGCTTTGGGGACATTAGTAAGTAAAAAAGGGTGACTTGAATAGAAACACTGTGATACTGAGAAAGTCTATCTGATAACCAAGCTGATTCCTAAGTGACTAAGGGGAGGTAGTGTATACAGTGTGGATATGCTGGACTGAGGGCTTACTCACATTACAAGACAGTATGAGATTTAAAATTTGGGATTGTTTATTTCTGAAATTTTCTCCTCAATATTTATGGACCACAGTTATCCTGGTAACTGAAGCTGTGGAAAGTGAACCCTTGGATGGAAGAGACTACTGTATTGGCTCCCAAATCCTCAGCTCAGGGTTAGCTTCGGGGGTACTTCAAACTAAAACAAAAATAAAACTCTTGCTATTATAACCACATACTTCTCATTGGTAAGACTCTCTAATGGTTAAAAATAATTCATCATTACATTGAGCTGAAATCTGCCTCCAGGTAGGTTTAACTAACTATACATCATTTGAGAACCAAAATGTGGCCATATGAAGCCAGCCACCCCTGACCTTTTGAGCTTAAGATCCAATAATCTCTCCTTTTTTGCTTAAGCAATTTTGAGTTGCATTTCAATCACTTCCAACCCAGAGAGTCTTAACAACTACACAGTTGAGCCAACACTTTAAATATACGATATGTGCCATTGGTTCCACAAATATTTGTCGAGCAGCTACTCTGAATGCAGTTTTACTTTCCATATTTCTTTTGACCTAAATATTATAGACAATTAACAATTTTCCACATGGACTGAAAGATCAAGGAATGCTTCTCCAGGGAGTGACAGTTGAGCTCCATTCTGAAGGACAATAGAGTTTGACTGCAGCAGCAAAGCAAGTTCCAGGAGGAAGAATCAGCACATGCTGGTTCAGAGAAGTGAGAGAGATTAAAACATATTTGGTAAAGTGTAATAGTACAGATGATCAGAAAAGAGCTGCATCAAGTCTTAAAGCTTTAGTTTCCTCATATCTTAAATGGCTAACTAGCAGAAGTTAAAGTTAGCCATTTAGAAGTACTTTTAGGATTACATGCTAAACATATACAGTCATGCATCACTTAACAATAGGGATAAATTCTAAGAAATGCATCATAAGGTGATTTTGTCATTGTGTGAACATCACAGAGTGTACTTACATAAACCTAGATGGTGTAGCCTACTACACACCTAGCTTATATGGTGTAGCCTTTTGCTCCTAGGCCATAAACCTACACAGAATATTACTGTACTGAATACTGTAAGCAGTTATAACACAATGGTAAGTATTTGTGTATCTAAACAGAAAAGGTACAGTAAAAATACAGTAAAAAAGATAAAAGATGATATAACTGTGTAGGGCATTTACCATGAATGGATCTTGCGGGACTCAAAGTTGCTCTGGGTGAGTCTGTGAGTGGATGTGAAGGCCTAGGACATCACTGGACACTACTGCTGAATTTATAAACACTGTATACTTAGTCTGCACTACATTTATTTTTAAAATCTATTTCTTCAATAATTAACTGTAGCCTACTATAACTTTTTACTTTATAAATTTTTAATTTTTTAAACTTTTTGACTCTTGTAATAACATTAATTTTAAAACACAAACATTGTACAACTATACATAAATATTATCTTTCTTTATATCTTTATTCTATAAGCTTTTTACTTAAAAAATTTTATTTTTTTTAACTTTTTGAACTTTTTTGTTAAAAATGAAGACACAAACACACATGTTAGCCTAGGCCTACACAAGGTCAGGATCATCAGAATCTCTGTCTTCCCCCTCCACATTTTGTCCCACTGTAAGGTCTTCAGGGGGGAATAAAATGCACAGAGCTGTCACCTCCTATGATAACAAGGCCTTCTTCTGGAAGGACCACCCTGATGCTGCTTTACAGTTAACTTTTTTATATACAAGTAGAAGGAATATACTCTAAAATAATGATTAAAAAGAATAGTATAGAAAATACATAAAGCAGTAACATAGTCATTATCATTATCAAGTACTATGTACTATACATAATTGTATGTGCTATACTTTGATATGACTGGAAACACAGTAGATCTGATCTGTTTACACCAGCATCACTACAAACATGTAAGTAAGGCATTGAACTGTGACGTTACAACAGCTACAATGTCACTAGGTGAAGGAAATTTTTCAGCTTCATTATAACCTTATGGGATCATCATTGTGTATATGGTCTGTCCTTGACCAAAATGTTGTTATGCAGCATGACTGTATAAAGCCCCTAGTACAATCTATAATGTTCCACAAATGTCAGTTTATTTTCTAAGTGCTCATATATTATACATTTTATGTTCTACAACTTTCCTGAAGGTTTCCATTAAGCTCACTGAGCTAAGTAAATTACTTCAGATGATAACTTCCATCCAGAAGAACAAATTAAGAGAACCAGAAATGATAAATAAGAAGGTTAATATAACAAAAGCTATAAATATTCAATAGTTTTCCTTCCTTATCTTCTTTAGAAGATAAAGTTATATAAAGTAATAATTATTACAATGTATTGTTGAGTTTAAACATTTATAGATGTAATATGTATAAAAATAATGCCACAAAAAGGGAGAAAGGGGAATAGAGCTAGATAGGAGTAACATCTGTATCTCACTGAAATTGTTAGTATGAACCTGAAGCTGATTCTGATAAGATAGTATATGTTAAGTCCTAGAGCAACCACTAAGAAATAACTTTTAACAAGTAAAACAGGCTGGGTGTGGTGGCTCATGCCTGTAATCCCAGCACTTTGGGAGACCAAGGTGGGAGGATCACTTAAGGTCAGGAGTTGGAGACCAGCCTGGCCAACATGGTAAAACCCCATCTCCACTAAAAACACAAAAATTAGCTTGGCATGGTGTTGTGCGCCTGTAATCCCAGCTACTCTGGAGGCTGAGGCACGAGAATCGCTTGAACCTGGGAGGCGGAGGTTTCAGGGTAAAACAAATCATTAAAGAAATTTAAATGCTACATTAAAAAATATTCATTTAGTGCAAAAAAAAACACATAAAAAAAGTAAAATGGCAGATGTAAATCCAATCATATCAATGTAAATAGATAAAACAATCCATTCAAAGGGAAGAGACTGTCAGACTGGATTTAAAAAAATGTTTTAACTATCTATTGTTCACAGGAAACAGTTTAGAATCAAATACACAAATAGGTTGAAAGCAAAAGGATGAAAAAGGACGTTATGCAACCATCAACCATAATAAAGCTGAAGTGACTATACTAATATCAGACAAGACAGATGTTAAAAAATATTATTAGAGAAAAAAAGGGACCTTTTTCAGTGATAAAAGATTGGATCCATCGGAAATACAAAATAATTATAAACATATATGCACCTAGTAACAGAGCACCAAAATACGTGAAGTAAAAATTGCAGAAATAAAGGGAGAAATAGATATTTCAACAATGGTTGAAAATTTCAATACTCCACTTTAAATAATGAACAGAAAAACTAGACAGAGATCAACAAGAAAATAGAAAACTCAAACAACACTGTAAACGAACTACATCTAACAGACACTGATAGAACACTTCCAAAGAGAGCAGAATATACACTCTCTTCAGTACGCATGGAATATTTTCCAGGATAGACCATATACTAGACCATAAAAACCTCAATAAATTTAAAGGGATAGATATAACAGAAAATATATTCTTTGACTACAGTGGAATGAAATTAGAAATCAACAACAGCGGCTGGGCACGGTGGCTCACACCTGTAATCCCAGCACTTCAGGAGTCTGAGGCGAGCAGATCACCTGAGGTCAGAAGTTCAAGACCAGCCTGGCCAATGTGGTGAAACCCCATCTCTACTAAAAATACAAAAATTAGCTGGGTGAGGTGACAGTTTCCTGTAATCCCAGCTACTCAGGAGGCTGATGCAGGAGAATCGCTTGAACCTGGGAGGCAGAGGTTGCAGCGAGTCGAGATCGCGCCATTGCACTCCAGCCTGGGCAACAAGAGTGAAACTCCATCTCAAAAAAAAAAAAAAAAGAAAGAAAGAAAGAGAGAAAAAAGAAATCAATAACAGCAATCTGGGAAAAGAATTTAAAATGTAGAAATTAATAAATGGGTCAAAGAAGAAATCAAAAGCAAAATTGGAAAACACTTGGAGATAAAGTGTTTATAAAATGAAGACACAACATATCAAAATTTATGGGATGCAGCTAAAGTCATGCCTAGAGGGAAACTTATATTTAGAAATGCCCATATCAAGAAAGAAGAAAGATCTCAAATCAATAACCTATCCTCCCACCTTAAGACACAGGGGGAAAAAACGGCACACTAAACCCAAAGCACGCAAAAGAAAGAAAATTATAAGGATAAGAGTGAGCATTAATGAAATAGATAATGGAAAAACAATAAAGTAAATAAAACAAAAAGTTGGTTCTTTGAAAAGATCAACAAAATATAAAAACCTTGAGCTAGACTGACCAAGAAAACGTGAGTGAAGGTTAAAATTACTAGAATCAGCAATAAATGTGATAACTTTATTGCCAACATTACAGAAATAAAAAGGATTATAAAATACTCTGAAAAATGTTATCCCAATAAATTAGATGACATAGGTGAAATTGACAAATTCCTAGAAAACATAGACTATTGAATCTGACTTTAGAGGAAATAGACAATCTGAAGAGACTACAACAAGTGAAAAGATTAATTAGTAATCATAGTTACCCACAAAAAAAGTCCAGGTACAGATTGCTTAACTCTTGAAGTCTACTACATGCTCAGAGACTTAATATCAATTCTTCACAACTTTTCAAAAAAAAAAATACGTTCAAGTCATTCAGTAAGGTCAATATTACCTTGACACCAAAATCAGACAAAGACATCAGAGGAAAACTATGGACCAATGTTTATGAATATGGATGTAAAATATTCTCAACAAAATACAAGCATACCTAATCTAGCAATATGCAAAAATAATTATACAACATGATCAAGTATGATTTATCCCAGGAATGCATGGTTAGTTTAATATTTGAAAATCAATTAATATAATACATCATCTCAATAGAATAAAACATAAAACCACATGATCATCTCTATAGATACAGAAAAAGGACTTGACAAAATTCAACATTCCTTTATAATAGGAACATTCAACAATGTACGTATAGAAGATAATTTTCTCACCCTGATAAAGAGGAACTACAAAAAACTCACACCTACTAACATACTTACAGTGACAGACTACGTGTTTTCTCTCTAAGATCAGGGATAAAACAAAGATACCTGCTTGCACCTCTTCTATTCAATATTGTACTGGCAGTGCCAGTACAATAGAAAAAGAAAGAAAATGCATTCAGATTGGAAAGAAAGAAGTAAAACAATTGCCATTTGCAGATGACATGATCTTGTACATAGAAAATCCTAAGGAATGCACTAAAAAACCACTAGAACTAATCAGCAAGTTCAGCAAGGTTGTGGGATACAAATTAATATACAAACATAAATTGTATTTCTTTATACTTGCAATGAACTGAAAATAGTCCACTGTAAACAATTGTTTTTTCTCCTTCCTTCCTTTTCTCCTTTCCTCCCTCCCTCCTTCCCTCCCTCCCTTCCTTTCTCTCTTTCTTTCTTGCTTGCTTGATTGCTTGCTTTCTGTCTTCCTTTCTTGCTTTTCTTTCTTCCTTTCTTTTTTTGAGACAGCATCTTGCTCTGTCCTCCAGGATGGAATGCAATGGCATGATCATAGCTCACAGCAGCCTTGAACTCCTGTGCTAAGCAATCCTCCCACCTCAGCCTCCGAGTAACTGGAACTACAGGCACATACCACCACACCTGGATTTATTTTATTTTATTTATTTTATTTTATTTTACTTTACTTTACTTTACTTTACTTTATTTTATTTTATTTTATTTTATTTTATTTTATTTTATTTTATTTGAGATGGAGCTTTGCTCTTGTTGCCCAGGCTGGAGTGCAATGGCACGATCTCGGCTTACTGCAACCTCCACCTCCCGGGTTCAAACAATTCTCCTGCCTCAGCCTCCCGAGTAGCTGGGATTACAGGCATGAACCACCATGCCCGGCTAATTTTGTATTTTTAGTAGGATGGGGTTTCTCCATGTTGGTCAGGCTGGTCTCAAACTCCCGACCTCAGGTGATCCGCCTGCCATGGCCTCCCAAAGTTTTGGGATTACAGGTGTGAGCCACCACGCCTGGCCTTTTTGTGTGTGTGTGTGTGTGTGTGTGTGTGTGTGTGTGTGGTGATGGGGTCTTGCTATATTTCCTAGACTGGTCTCAAACTCCTGGGCTCAAGTGATCCTCCTGCCTTGGCTTCCCAAAGTGCTGGGATTATAGGCACGAGCCACAGTGTGTAGCCCAGTCTTGCCTTTTTAGTAAAAAGATAGGGTAAATATTTCTCTCATGGTTCTTTTACCTATTGATATTTGAAATTTTATGGAAATTTCTCCATGTATTGATTTTTGAAAATACTTTTTGAATTCTGCTATGTTGCTAGTCTGTGTCTGTGTGTGTAGACACCTGAAGGAATGTTGACAGTATATTCTCTTGTGAATTTCAGGTTATCGTCTACATTATTGACTCTTCTTTCTGTGTCATGCCTGTGGTCAAATCCTCATAAGGAATATATCAGGAAACAAGCTTCATTTTTACCTTATAAAATAAACTATGTCCCAACATTTTCTAAGTTTCTTCTTTGCAACTCAGAATACATTTTTGTATTATCCTTAGAGTAGCCCACAAACATCCCTTAACCCTAAATCTGGCCAAAATACTGCCAAGTAAATTTCATTTACTTGAGAGGCTTGTCCTCAGTAAGTACTATTGAGTATTTCCATTATCAATCTGTCAATTTTCATGGTATACACTGCATTGATTAGTTGTTTTTCTTTGTGTTTTTCCCAAAAGTATGTCAGCTCAGCAAGAGCAGGAGCTGTGTCTACCCTGTTCACCTCTGAACCTCCAATGCCTAAAACAGTGTCTAGCACATTGTAGAGGCTCAGTTAATATTAACTGAATGAATGGATGCATTCGATTAGCCGCCAGTATAATTAAATCAGACTCAACAATTAAGCATCCAAGTATAAGAAGAAAACATGAAATTTTAGAATGAGCACTCAGTGCAGAGGAAGGAGGCCTTGTACAAATCCTCTAACATCGGCTAGCCATGTGATCTTTGGCAAATAACTTTGCTTCTCTGAGTCTTAGTTTGCTCAGCATAAAATATCTCTAAAGTCCTTCCCAGAGATAAAATGGTATGGGTATTTGGATTTACTTATCTTGTATAATGCTACTTGAGGAAGGACAGTTGCAATCAGAGAAAGATGAAGAGGTAGAAGAGAAACTTTTCCAAAGATTCTGAAGGAGGCTTCTGAGGACTTTGGAGGACTTTGCAAGTGATGACTGTTAGTCTAATATCTTCATTTTCCCCACACACTTAATGGCTCTCTTTTTCCTAGCTTGAAGTATGTCATTAGAGCATCCTTATGCCCATCATTTATAATTAGGGCCACTTTTAAGTTCATGACAAGTCCAGAGAAAGAATTTTTGTGGTATAATTAGGTTAGAGGCAGAAAAGAACCTGGGTAAGATGTGTGTGTTCATGTGAGAATGAGATGGCTTGAGATGAAGCAAACTGGTTCAAAAGCAATGAATGGCAGGAAAAAAAAAAAAAGCAACAAGAGGGAAAATGACCCTCTTGAGGATAAAGAAATGAAGTGGTGGGGAAGAAATGCTGAATGAGCCAGTTATTCATGCTACGCATCCAATGGCAGTATCACCACAGAGTGACTGGGGCCAGCAGAGTTTACTTCCATGTGAGAGAGGAGACAGCAGCTGCTTTTTTTTGTTGTGTGTTAAGTTTTTTAAAATAAAGGACATTCTCTTTTTGCTCATACCTCAATTCTTGTGCAACTGGGGTGCAATTTTGATGTCTTAATCTATCACATATAACTTCTCTATATCTTGACATTACAGTAGGTATGTGCTAGTTGCCTCTGGGGAAGAATTTGGCAGGACTGAAGCCAGAATCACCCTAAAATCTCCCCAGGATAGCCAATTTGTCCTAGAGAATACGAAGGGAGAAGGCTCTCCTCCGGTTCACAAAGAGACAGCCCAGGCTGGGTGGAAGAAGAGGAGGGCAGAGAGGTCTATGGCTCCTAGAACAAAAGGAGCTCAATGTGTCAGAGCCACAGAGAGATATGGACCTAGTCTGTGCCTCCTGGAAAGCTGCAGGGTGGGAGTGCAGAAACAGAAAAATGATTCATGCCTTCTGGATCCTAGATAGTCCCAGTAAAATCCCGGGTGTCCTCTAATTCAATTCTGGGGTCTAGAGAGCCGTGGTGAAGCCTGGGTTCATATGTGTCGCCACAGCACCTGGGCACGGGAGAGCCAAACCCGATATGGTTCCATCCTCCCTGACACAGCTATGCCTCCTGTCCATGCAGAGAGGAGTCAAATCCTCCAGGCATCCTCTACACAGTTCTGTCCTCTGTCTGGTGCTCTATATGTGGTGTGTAAATTTAGGATCCAGATGAGCCCTGTCCTTCGCAGCAATCCTAGGTGCCATGTGGCAGGCCAACAGGGGAGGATATTAGGGATGGTAACTGTGTCATAGTTTCAAAATTCTTTTCAGTAATTTATCTTAAAGTCATGTTAAATTAAGTAACAGATAATCATAAGATGTCTGAGTAATTTCTAAGTAACCTAAAATAGTGAAACATTGTTTATTAAATGTAAGTTTACATTTATGTACTTTGACATCTTATTTTTAAATGCTATAGAAAAGATAAATATATTTAGATCTATTAATAATGAAAAAATTGGGGAAACATCTTTCTAAAGAATTATTAAATGATTTTCATCTACAAATAGTCATATTAAACAGTTCAAAATTACCTCCCAGCTTGTCACTAGAAACTGGGGTTACTAAGAGTTAAAATTCAAATTAACACATGTAATTAAAACTACTAAACTAAAAGAAATAATTCTATATGCAAGGTATATAAGAAAAGCGAGATATGTTTTTGATTATGAAAGTTATAAAGGCATAAAAATGTACATTTGGGAAAAAAATTTGTCTAGTTTAGAAGTTATTTAAAGGTTGCTTCCTATTGAAAGAATAAAAATTATATAGATAAAACTAAATGAACATAGAAAGGTATGAAAAGAAAGAATACAAAAAAATTGTAAGAGGTTATTAAAAGTTTATGGAAATCTTGTGTGGTCAAAAGTTGACTAAGATAGAATGAATTTTATAAAGTATTATTTAAATTAGCTTTGGTATTGATAATACACTAATACAAAAGTAAAATTTGGTTTTCTCTTTTGAACAAGATTTTTGTGTGGTATTAACATGACAGTAAAAGATTTTTGTTCACCTTTTAAGCAAACTGCAAAAATAAAAATAAAAAAAGGAGAGAAGGAGAGACAGATTCTCATATTGTCTTTCTTAGATCTTTTGATTGGAAAACTGAGTTTCCTCTTAAAGAGTAAAAATGTTTGCTTCTTAAAAACCTTTTAATTATAACTTTGGCTAAATGAATGACTATTACTTTACTCTAGTGACTCTAGTGACCTGTAATCCTATTCTGATTGTTCTAAACCCTTGACATTCTTGATAGGCTTCCCAAAATCATGTTTCAAACTTTAAAATTGTCTTTTTTTACCTTAAACTAACTTTAGGGTGTTCCAAAGGGCCCCAAAAGCAGCCAAAAGAGATAATAAACCAACTTATTTAATATGTCAAATTATATGGGAAGCATTGTAAAATAAGAAATGATGTTTAACATAAAATAAGAAATGATGTTTAACATTTCAGTTATATTTATGTAAATGTTTTATTATACTTTGGGATGCCAAGGTGACAGGATCATTTGAGGCCAGGAGTTTTGAGGCTAACCTGGGCAACATAGCAAGACCGCATCTCTCTCTCTCTCTCTCTCTCTCTCTAAAATAAACAAACAAACAAACAAAAAACACATGGTATATGTTATCAGTCATAATTATGGTTATTATGTTAAATTATTGTTGGCCATAGAAATAAGCAAGTTCCTTGTCAATTGTGTTTTTAACTATACTGTCTTAAGTCTTATTTCCACAGTTAATTCCTTAATTCTGATGCATTTTCTGAAAGCTCTTTGTAAGTAAGTAAAATTCTAAAGTGTGTGTCTTCAAGGAGTTTTATGAAAAATATACAAAGGACCCTGACAAGCACTCTTGACTACAGGTTTCTGATAACTGTAGGATTTTATCATTCAAACTGGGTAAGAATCCTCAAACTCTAACGATTGGTTTGTAAAACTCCTAACTCAAGCAGGAAAAGAATTAATTGAGCACCAAGAAAATACTTTGCCAGATTTTCATGCTAAATTAGCTGGTACTGAAATTGTTTTGATATGCAATTTGAATGAACTTTGTGGTCCAAGTCAAATTACCTATGATAACCCATCTAATGAAGAGTGCTATGCACCTGAATTGGAGAAAGAAAATTGGTATTTAAGAGGATAGAAATCCAATGTTGAGTATGGACTCAGGGACAGCCTGCATGACCACCTGGTCCTTCCTGAGTTCTTAAAGCTTCCATTATTAAAAGTTCTGAACTCTATGGCTCATCATGAAAGAGATAAAATGATCCAAATTATATTTTTAAAAATTGATGTGATGACTGTTTTAAATAGCTAAAATGGTTTATGACCAATGTCTGGTTTGACAAACCCATAATCCTGAGAAGACACACAATCAAAACTTCAGGTACCTTTCTGCTACATGATGGTCCATTTGAACATTTATAGAGGAATTTCATTCAATTGCCATTTTTGATGCATGTTTTCTAACTGTATAGAAGCTTTCCCATGCAGGAAGGCCAATGCTAAACAGTAGCTAAAAAGTTATTAGGAAATGTTTTCTTTATGAAGCATTCCGGGAGAAATCTCCAGTGATTGAGGTACTTGTTTCATTGAACAAGTTGTTAAACAGTTAAATGAGGTATTACAGATACAATAAAATTCGGCAGAGCTAACTAAATCAACTGGATTGCCTTGTTCAAAGGCATTGCAGATTGATGACAACCAGATCTACCTGCAGTGGAAAAGATAAGTTGACCACTTATGAAAGAGTCACTGGAAGGCCTCTGCTCCTAATAATAGAACCTCATATATCTCCCACTCTCCTAACCTCTGTTACAACTAAATGCTACATGGCTTTAATGTATTATGCCAAAGTGTATTTTCACCCGGTAGAGGAAGTTTTTCATCATCCACTGACCGTGGACAAATCTTTCACAATCTAGAATCCAGAAATTGGGTCATCTGGAAATGACATAAGAAAATGACCACCCTTGCCACCCACACTGCAGCAAAACTTCAGGACCTCAAACCTTGGGTCTGTAATCTCACAACTTAGAAGGACCCCTCCAGACTCTTGAAACTGTAAACACATTGGAAATCTTACAGTAAAACAAATCATTTCTCCCCAGAAGCAATGGCATCTTAGATATGGCCAGCTTTCCCAGATCAAGATTTCTCTGCCATCATCAAACTCTTACCTCTCTTAATTTTTCCTTTCTTCTGCCCCTATGAGCAACTGAACTGAAAAGGGGACCTTGTGTACGCCCATGGGGTACACTTTTATTTGTGGAGGACTTGAGAGTCAACCTTATACATGGGCAACCTTATGTCTTGATGGATGGTAGATGAAGGACCAATGTGGGCTAGGAATTTGAATGGTATTTTTGTTGTTTCATAGCTAGACAGAACATTTGTCCACTCCTCTTAACCTATATAATAAGTTAAAGAGAACATTTCCAGGAGACCTTCGTCCTTCTGAGTGGGCATCATTTTTTGATCCCTTTTGCCGTGGCTTGGAATAAATATAAATGAGGCAATGGTTAGAAATTTATCCCTCATAATATGCAGTAGAGCAGATTCTACTGCAAAGGCTATGGTTGCACAACAGATTTCTTTAAATTCTCTTGCTAAAGTTGTAGTAGATAATAAAATTGCTCTAGATTGTCTACTGGCCAAACAGAGAAATATCTGTGTAGTTGCCAACACTTCTGTTGTACATGGAGGAGTAATATATCAGGTATTATGCAGACTCAGTTGTAGGAAATTAACAAACAAGTTGCTTGATTAAAACAAGTATAGGAGATTAACAAACAAGCTGCTTGATTAAAACAAGTAAACTTTTTATCTGGCTCATTCTTTGATCTATTTGACTTTAGTTGGTTTGGTTCATGGAGACCCTGGCTAAGGAGCATACTCCAAACTATTGTTATTATCCTCCTGATAGTCATAATGGTAGTCTCCCTGATATGCTGTATTCTCTCAAAAGTTTGAAATGTATCCATGCAGCCATCCATAGAATACCAAATAGTCTCTTTTGACTGGAACAGCAAAAACTCAAAGAAATACATGATCTTGTGGATGGACCCTGTAACCTATAAATGACATGTTGACTGGAAACTCAAAATGATGGTAACTGAGAGTAGTGCTAAAGCCCTAAGTCTGTCACACCCACATCTAGGTGAGAACCTGACCAAAAGGGGGGAATTGTTAAACAAAATTATGGCAGGCCATTTTTTTGGATTGAGTTCATGCATTAGGCCCTAACAAAGCAGACCTAAACAAAATGGAGTCACTCTTGCTAAATGCCATATAATCAAATCGAAATTTTAAGGAAGCAGATAGATCCTAAAACAGACTAGTTTTGTTTTCTCTGAAAACAGAAGATTTCAACATAATAAGGAAGTTTTTTTCTGCTCTCTTATAAAAAAGTAACCTGAAGTAGCCTGATATTAACTAGTTTTTTCTATTGTTCTGTTTCCTTGTTCCCACCTTACAAAACCCACTGTTCTGTTATTACCCAGAGGGAGTTGAGACCATATAAGTCCATTTGTGATGGTGACAGAGTGACATTAATATCTACAATGGGGAAATTGTTATATCAAGTTTAGCTCAAAACTACCTCCTTACATATGTTAAGTTCGGCCTAAAGGTTTCTCCATGCATATATCCTATTTTATGTTACCTTTTTTTTTTTTTTTTGAGACAGAGTCTCATTCTGTCACCCAGGTTGGAGTGCAGTGGTGCAATCTCGGCTCACCGCAACCCTCAGGTTCAAGTGATTCTCCTCCCTCGGCCTCCCTAGTAGCTGGGATTACAAGTGTGCACCACCACGCCTGGCTAATTTTTTGTATTTTTTTTTTTTTTTTAAGTAGAGACGGGGTTTCACCATGTTGGCCAGGCCGGTCTTGAAATCCTGACCTCAACTGATCCACCCACCTCGGCCTCCCAAAGTACTGGGATTACGGGCATGAGCCACTGTGCCTGGCCTATTTTACCAACAATTTTAAAACTAGTTTTAACT
This sequence comes from Homo sapiens, assembly GCF_000001405.40. Classification (NCBI taxonomy): domain Eukaryota; kingdom Metazoa; phylum Chordata; class Mammalia; order Primates; family Hominidae; genus Homo; species Homo sapiens. The sequence continues at coordinate 67,922,521 of NC_000001.11, read as the reverse complement.
AGTTGCTCAATTAAACTCTGTTAAATTTGTCTGAAGATTTTCTTTTAACAGCTTAAAACTGAACATTGACATTCTAGGTTTGATGGAGAGGACAGTCATGGAAGAATGTGATAGGACAAAGGTATGAGCTACGTATAGTAAACTGGGGCAAACTTGGCAGGGCCTGTTCATTCAGATTCCTCTCAGTATCCCTCTGTCTTCAGAGATAAGAAGGCTCCTTTCCTCCAAGTCATGAAAGGGCATCTCCCACATGAGGCTCTTACGGCTGCTTCAGGGGAAGGTCAGAGAGTTCTTCCTGCACCTGCTGTTTCTCAAATTCCTTCAGCTTAAAATATTCAATATGCCAAAGTACCATATTCTGTGGTTCAGTGTGTCCTGAACCCCATCAACCTCTTGGTTTCCCTGAAGAAAAAAATGAATGAGCATGATACCTGAAGCTAGACTATCCCTTAATCTATTCATTCATTTATCAAGTTCCTACTATGCAATAGACACTGTATTACACAATAGCGATTCAAAGGTAAATTAATCAGCTTCCTTTCACTCATGGGCACAGCCTTCTGATGTATAGGAAATCTTCAGGTTGTCTGTGTCACACAAAGCCAGGGAACATTGTTCACATTATGAATACATGCCTGGAAACCACCTCACAGGCTGCGCAAGGAATTATGCAATACAGTGAATGGTCCTGCCTTAAGTTTCTCAACTCTAACATTCAATGCACTTTGAAACAGAGCTTTAGGTAAGTTAAGCATGGATTTTTAACTTGGATAAAGCTAAATAACAAGATACTCATTAAAAAGATCTTATAAGCTTTTCAGTCTCTTAGATTTTAGCCTTAAGCAAGTCAAAAATCAAAGAAGGTGACAAAAGTAGTTCCTATTTGGGCACATTCCTAGTCTGTTTAATTCAGACCAGAGCCAAAAATTCCAATGGTTCAAGATGCCTCTGGATTGACATTGCCCAAAGGATGTTCCATGAAACACAAATAAAAGAGTTATTTGGGCAAGGCTTCTGAGGTCAAATAAGTCTGGGAAACACTAGGTCGAATGTTTTTCTTTATTGTAGAAAATCTGAATGACATGGAAGTGCTAGTAAGCCACGTGGATCTCAAAGAGAAGGGAATAGTATGTATTAGATCAACCAAACACTTTCTTCAAGAAGCAGCTGTCAGGCCTGGCCTTCTGTCAAAGACACTTGGGGCAATCTTCTTCCAGATGATTCTTTGACCTTGGCCAGAACCGCCTGTCAATGCACTTACCAGTAAGGGATGTTATATATGGCAATAAAGACTTGGATGGGGGAGGCACAGAGTGTCCCTCAGGGAAAAGGTAAACTTGAATTTTCTGATATTCTGTGGCACTGACCTTTGAAGAATAAGAACTGAGAGCACATGTTCAGCTCCCTGAGAATAAGAATCAGGTTTTCTTCCTCAGTATTTCAGGCAACACTCAGAGTAAATTAGTATTCAAGAAGTGTTTGTCCAACCCCATTAAAAAGCGGGCAAAAGATATGAACAGACACTTTTCAAAAGAAGACACCTATGCAGCCAATAAGCATACTCAACATCACTGATCATTAGAGTAATGCAAATCATAACTACAATGCGATACTATCTCACACTAGCCAGAATGGCTATTATTAAAAAGTCAAAACATAACAGATGCTAGTGAGGTTGCAGAGAAAAAGGAATGCTTATACACTGTTGGTGAGAATGTAAATTAGTTCAACCATTGTGGAAGACAGCGTGGTGATTCCTCAAAGACATAGAAGCAGAAATATCATTCAACCCAGCAATTTCATCATTGGGTATATACCAAAAGGAATATAAATTGTTCTATTATAAAGACACACACACATGTATGTTCACTGCAGCACTATTCACAGTAGGAAAGACATGGAATCAACCTAAATGCCCATTAATGGTAGACTGGATAAAGAAAATGTGGTACATATACACCATGGAATATATTATGCAGCCATAAAACAGAACGAGATCATGTCCTTTGCGGGGACATGATGGAGCTAGAGGCCATTGTCCTTAGCAAACTAACGCAGTAACAGAAAACCAAATACCAGCATGTTCTCACTTATAAGTGGGAGCTGAATGATGAGAACACATGGACACATAGAGGGGAACAACACACACTGGAGCCTAACGGAGGGAAGAGGGTAGGAGGAGGGAGAGGATCAGGAAAATAACTAGTGGATACTAGGCTTAATACCTGTGTGATGAAATAATCTGTACAACAAACCCCCATGACACAAGTTCACCTATGTAACAAACCTGCACGAGTACCCCGGAACTTAAAAGGTAAATAAAATTTTTTTAAAAAGTGTTTGTCAAAATAAATGTAATGTCTTAATATGCATACACATCGCTGATTTTACATGGGCATATGGGTTTCTATGCATGAGCAACCGCATTCATTTCATTCATCATAAGCATTTTGCCATATTATATTTCTAGCGCCACAGGCAGAAAAAACTGCTTTTATCATTTTCACAGAGAATATAGTACTTCCTGGTTCTAATTTCCTCTAAAAGCCAAAACACTGTAATCAGGAGGAAGAAAATCAGCCCTGCTGCTGAGGCTGAGAGGCACTTACAGGTAATCTGCTCAGCATGGAAATTGTTTCTCTCATGGCTGTGCCTGCCCTGAAACTTCCAAGCCCTGGTCTTAGCTACAAGAAAACAGATGGAGGGGCAGCAAATGTTACCCTTGTACCCTGGCTGATTGTGAACTAGCACAGAGCAGCCCCAGAAACAAATACACATCGATTACATTTAGCTATTCCTTTAAGAAGAAAAAGCAGCCATGACCTGCTGTGGGTCAAATTTTGCAGATAGTATCATTTTTCTTCTGGGTTTTAGAGGATTTTCACATTCTAAGGAAAAAAGGAGAGACTATCTTCTAGAGAGACACAGCCTGCAACCATCGTTTCCTCCATTCTCTCCGGGCGTGTGCCAGCAACAAGTCCAGCATGTTAAGTATTTTGTGGGGCTATTTTTCTTTTCTAAAATGTCAGTGCTATTGTAATCTAAAAGAAGAAACCAAGCCCCTAGGGGAGCCGTTGGTGAGAGGCTTAGTCATAAGGACACAGATATTGATTCTTACCTCCATTCCCTGAGCTCGGCAAGGACCTGGAGCTTTAGAGAAAAAGCCTTGATTTATTACCTCTATCTTTCGACTGAAATCTCTCCATTAACAAGGCCGAGCTAGTTGAAAAAAAAAAAAACTTACCGTGAAATATTTTTAATATACCTCAAAGTAAGGTAATTCAATAATCATGTCATTGTTTTGTCTATCCCCACTCCTTTCTCTTGCTGAAATATTTTATTTTATTTTATTGAAACGGAGCCTCGCTCTGTCGCCAGGCTGGAGTGCAGTGGCGCGATCTCGGCTCAGTGAAACCTGCGGAGGTTTCAAGCGATTCTCCTGCCTCAGCCTCCCGAGTAGCTGGGACTACAGGCATGTGCCACCACGCCCGGCTAATTTTTCGTGTTTTGTTTTTAGTACAGACGGGGTTTCACGTGTTAGCCATGATGGTCTCAATCTCCTGACCTCATGATCCGCCCGCCTTGGCCTCCCGAAGTGCTGGGATTACAGGCGTGAGCCACAGCGCCCAGCCTTGCTGAAATATTTTAAAGCAAAGCCCAGATATCATGTCATTTTGTCCCTGCGTACTTAAATATGCATTTCTAAAAAGAAATAGCCAAACTATCTCATTCAAAGTATGATATAATTCAGTGGGTTATCACATTTGAAATGCTATTATTTTCAAATTCTCCAATTGTCTTCTTTATGGTTATTTTATTCAAATCAGGATATTAAAAACGGTGACTACATTTGGTCGTTTAGTTCGTAAGTTTCTTTTAATCTACAGCAGTAACCTTCCCTCCCCTTTTTTAAATGGTGATTGACATGTTGAAAAAGGGTTGAGCTATTTTAAAAAAGAAAAACAACGATAATATCATTCCCTCTCCTTTCCATCCTCCCCTCTCTACCTAGAAAAGGGGGAGCATTAATATCCATAGCAGAGACCACTTGTTACCAATATTATTTCTCTCCTTCTTCAAAGTAATGGAATTTGAAGCTGGGCCCATGACTGTCCAATATAAAGATGACAGTTCCCAGCCACCCTTATAGTTAAGTGCGGCCATGTGTGCAGAAGTGAGGGTGAACTTTCTAAGTTCCAGAAATTGTGTTCTGCAAGGAGAGAGGCATGCTTGCCTCTTCCTCATTCTTCTTCCCCACTGCCTGAACTGCAGCCATGGGGTGACCATGCAAACAGGACAGCACCACAGGAATGGCAAAGCCACAGAAGAGCAGGTAGCAGGGTCGCTGCTGATTTTGTGGAGCAGAGCTGCCATTCCAGCTCAGACTTTTACATGAGAGGTAAATGTCTACCTTGTTTTTTGTTATTTGTTTTTTGTTGTTGTTGTTTATTTGTTTTTTGTTTTTTTGAGACAGGCTCTCTGTCTGTCACCCAAGCTGGAGTGCAGTGGTGTGATCTCAGCTCACTGCAACAGCCACCTCCCAGGCTCAAGCGATCCTCCCACATCAGCCTCCCAAGTAGCTGGGACTACAGGCTTGCACCACCATGCTTGGCTAATTTTTTATTTTTTGTAGTGATGGGGCTTCGCCATGTTGCCCAGACCAGTCTTGAACCCCTGGGCTTAAGTGATCCTCCCACCTCGGCCTCCAAAAGTGTTGGGATTACAGACTTGAGCCACTGTGCCCTGCTCAATGTCTACCTTGTTTAAGCCACTGTTACTTTGGGACTCTGTCACATGCAGCTACATGTATATGCTTACAAATTCAATATCCATATTTCATATGTCTTCAACCTGTCTTCCTGTGCTTTGGGGAATGTATTTTATCTCATTAATTCTGGATTTCCTCCAGTGTTAAAAGAACAATAATATTAATTCCTATCTCAGAGCATTGAAAGAATTAATTCATGCATGCATTTATTCAACAGATATAAATTGAGTATCACAGGTCACTTACTGTGCTGTGCAGTGGGCATATAGTGCTGAATAAGACATTCTTCCTGCCCTGTAGAAATTGACAATCTATTAAGGGAGGCAACAAGTTACAGATAATCACTTTAAAGTGCAATCATTTTACAATAAAAGAAATTAGGCACAGTGTGCCATGAAAACACAGAGGAGGAACATCAGCTTTGAGGCCTGAGAGTAAGGCAGAATTAGATTAAAAGGAGTTTGCTTATTAACCATCAAGAGTGCCTACACCCATCAGGAGCTAAGCCTTGGTTGCTATTCCTACTTATTCATCTAACAAATGTGCTAAATGCTGTGCATATAGCAATGGCTAAGACCTGGTCTGTGTTCTGCCTGGGGGAAGTACACAGTCTAGTGAGGGAGACAGATGTTAAGAGATAAATTATAAAATACAGTTGGAAGCATTTAAAAAGGATCTTAAATGTAGAGGTAGAAGAAAGGGCACAGATAAAAATATTAATAATAATATTAACCTTTGCTGAGTACTCACTAAAACCTCAGCACTAGGCTAAGCACTTTGTAAACATGCCTGGTTTTCAATGGCAATCACGGTAACACAGCATTTGAGCCAGGCACTCTTCAAAATACGTTGGATGCATTAATTCATTTATTCTTCACAATAATAGCCCAAAGAAGCAGGTAATATTATTATCCCCATTTCTCAGATGAGAAAACTCAGGCACAAGAGGTTAAACAACTTGCCCAAGGTTGTGTGGCACACCAGGATAAGAGCTTGGGCTCTCAGGCTCCAGCTTCACACTTGGCCACTCTGCTGGCACTGCCCCCGCAGAGCACCTCTCCCCCAAGTGGAGGGGAGAGAAGGCTTCCGGGGAGAGACAAGCTGATAAGGACCTGACCTCAAGTAGAGCAGTGGGGAGAAGGCAGAAGAACCTCGCTATCTAAAGGAGACCTGACAGGATTTGATGACTTGTTAGACATTGGTGAGAGTAAAGGGCAGGCAGAGTGAGGTTTCTGAAGAGAGACCTTGGGAGGGTCTAGCATAGGAGGATGAGACGATGACAATGTCATTAATTAAGAGTATGAGAGGAGGACACGTGTCTTAAGGGAAAGAGAAAGAATCTTGTTTTGATCATGTTCCCTCTGAATGGCCCCATGAATATTTAAGCAGAGATTAAGAACTGGAGCTCAGGGAAGAGGATAAAGCCAGAGAAAGAGACTGCCTAATCATTAGCACGGTGTGGCTGGTCATACAAGCCATGGGATGAGATCATACATGGAGTGTGTGTATGTGTGTGTGTGGCAAGAACAGAAAATAACCAAGGATAGAGCCAGAGGAAACCCCCAGCATTTAAGAGTAGACTAAGGAGGGCTGGGTGCGGTGGCTCACGCCTATAATCCCAGCACTTCGGGAGGCCAAGGTGGGTGGATCACTTGAGGTAAGGAGTTCGAGACCAGCCTGGCCATCATGGAGAAACCACGTCTCTACTAAAAATATAAAAATTAGTCTGGCGTAGTGGCACGCACCTGTAATCCCAGCTACTTGGGAGGCTGAGGCAGGAGAATCACTTGAACCCAGGAGGTGGAGATTGCAGTGAGCTGAGATCGTGCCACTACACTCCAGCCTGAGTGACAGAGCAAGATTCCATCTCAAAAAAAAAAAAAATAGTAGACTAAAGGAAGTGAGACCATGAAATAGATAGTGTTAGGCGAAAGTTTTCTCTTATTAACATGAACATGGATGCTTCAGCAGCCATCTTATAACCATTGTATAACAAGGGTGGGAACGATTAAGAGAATCACAGATATGTTGATCCTAACATAGGGCACCAAATTGCACAAGTAATCGACTTTATATAGACATTGAAAGAAACAACATTATTCAAGAACCTACTGTATGTTGTTTTGCTTAAAGTTGAAGTTTCCAAGAACCTATTGATAATGTTGAAGAGTTATTGTACTCATTAAGCAGTAGAGATTATTCTTAACTATAAAATGAGAGTAATTGTCACATAGGATGGTTGTGAAAGCCAAGCCTAAAACAGCATTTGTTGCATTCTCTACACTCATTAAGCAGATGTGGCACCAAGATACAAGGCTGTAAAATTTTCTTGGCCATTCACACAATAATTTGAGAATAGAATCAAAAAAAGCAAATTATATCTCCAGAGCAGGGGACCAATTATGAGGGGTAGGGTAAGGAGAATGGGAGAGTAAATGGAATGAATGGTGAAAATACAAAATTTCCTTGCCATTAGGTCCAAGGTGGGGAGGGAATGAGATGAATCCAGGCCAGTACTGACACACTGTTGACACACCACAAGATCCTCCCATCTTGTGATGAGATTGAGTTCTCTCAAAGAGGACAGACTACAAGACCAGTAGTTTAAAAGGGATAGAGGGGTTACATCTTGTGATCAGAAAAAGGGATTCTCCTACTTTAAAATTTCATAGGTGAAGTGGTTTCAAATAGTGGCAAGCCCAGAAGTAGATGGTTGTAATGCAGTGGAAGTGGAGGCTACTGACAAAATAATCAAAATTAATAGTTTACATTTTATTTTAGTACTTGTCTAGCAGATTCCAGGTGTACTGGTTTACTAGTGCTGCCATAACAATGTACCAACTGGGTGGTTTAAAAAACATAAATTTATTTTCTTACAATTGTGGAGGCTAGAAGCCCAAGATCAAGGTGTTGGCAGGGTTGGTCTCTTCTGAGGGTTCTCTCCTTGGCTTGTAGATGTTTCTTTTCCCTATGTCTTCACGTGATCTTCCCTCTGTATTTCTGTGTCATAACCTCCCCTTCGTATATGGACACCAGTCATATTGGATTAGGGTCCAACCTAATTCAGAGATCTTAATTACTTCTTTAAAGACCTTATCTCCAAATACAGTCATGGTCTGAGATGCTAGCAGTTAGGACTTCAACATATAAATTGTAGGGTTGGAGGACACAATTTACCATATAACACCAAGCAACATGTTAAGCTTTTCTCTATATGAGTGCTGTTTCTCTATACATCATCTAATTTTTACACCAGCCCTTTGAGAACAAAAGCATTATTTTCAAGTTTATGTATTAAAAAACGAATAGAGAGATTAAGCTACTTGCTCAACGTCTTAGTCAGTTTGGACTGCTATAACAAAATACTGTAGAATGAGTGGCTTAAACAACACACATTTATTTCTCACAGCTCTGGAGGCTGGGAAGTCCAAGATCAAGATGCCTGTAGATTTGGTATCTGCTGAGGGCCCTCTTCCTGATTTACAGATGGCTGCTCCCTTGCTTTGTTTTCACATGGTAGAGAGAGAGATCTGTCTTCTTCACTTTTTATAAAGACATAATGAGGATCCTTCTGTCATGACTTAATCTAACCCTAATAACCTCCCAAATGCCACATCTCCAAATACCACTACATTAGGGATTAGGGCTTCAACATGTGAATTTTGGAGAAACACAAACATTCATCCCATAACACCCAAGTACACACTGCTAATACCCAGTGGTGCTTGTATTCAAGCTCCACTCTGATTCCCAAGCCCATGTGACTTCTTTTCTTTCTTTCTCCTTCCTTTTATGTAAAATTTACACCCTATCTACTTTAAAATGGATTAGAGGAAGCATCTTACAATTATATCTAACATGAATCAAAAATACTTTTTATCCCCAAGCTGTGTTGTAATAGGTAATAAAAAAGAGAGGAGGGACTAATAATGATGCAAGGGAATCAATAATGAAATTTGAAGAAGACCAGTATGGGGAGAAGAACTAAGCAATCTCTTGAGGAGAGCTGAGGATGAGGCATAACTCCAGGATGCTGCATTTCTGATTACCTAAAGTATTTGTTTCTATTGTTGCTATATTAAATTATCACAAAGTTGGTGGCAAAAACAATAAATATATACTATCTAGCAGTTCTGGAGGTCTGAAGTTTGAAGTGGAGTCTTATGGGGCTAAAATCAAGGTGTTGGCTGGGATGCGTTTTTTCTGGAGGCTCCAGAGGAGACTCTATTTCCTTGACTTTTCCAGCTTCTAGAGGTCTCCTGCATTCTTTGGCTCATGGTCCTTTACTACATCTACAGAGAGCACTGCTCCAACCTCTGCCTCTGTTCTTCTACCTCCCTTTTCTGACTGTGACTCTCTTCTCTCCCTTTTACAAAGACCCTTGTGATTACTTTGGGCCCACTCACATAATTGAGTATAAACACCCCAACTAAAGATCCTTAAACTGCTCATATCTACAAAGTTTCTTTTGCTACATAAGGCAACATACTCATAGGTATCTGGAATTAAGGCATGGACTTTTAGGGGGGACTGTCACTCATCCTACCATGCTGTTGTCCAGTGTTTAGTTCAACTAGGAAAGAAAGTACAATGGAAATTATTAAGGCAAGTTGCAGTTCTCAGCATTTTAAAACTTTTACAAGAAGAAATTAGGAGTGTAAGCACTGATAAAGCAGTCGAATAATGTTCCTTTATATAATAAAGTGTACAATATGTGTGGTGGAGCAATCAGATGGCTGCTCTTTAATGAACATTCCTAAGTATAAGATGTATGACTCATATTATGTTAATGTTTGGGAGCTTTAAAGCAGAGCATAAATTACGTTCATGATTCTTCCTTTATGTGAGATATGAAAGGTGCAATAAAATGTTACTAGTGTCAAGCATAGGATTTGATTATTTCACTACTTCTTATAGTAATAATGATTTTGGGTGAGCAAGGTGTACGCTCTCATCTGGATAAATTAAACAATAATTTCCTTGTAGGGTGGTTCAGAGCCTAAGTGGAGGTAGGGGTGGTATGTGAGAGCACTTTGTAATGGGCACCTTAATTAGATTACCCATGGCTGCACCATCGTTCATCAGTATTTGATACCCACTTGTCTTAATCTGTTTTGTGTTACTATGACAGAATACCTGAGACTGGGAAATTTATAAACAATAGAAGTTTACTGGGCTCACAGTTTTGGAGGTTGGGAAGTCCAAGAGCATGGCACCACCAGCATCTGGTGACAGCCTTCATGCTGTGCCAGCCCATGGCCGAAGATGGAAGAGGAAGACAGGGCAGAAAGCAAGGGGGGGCTGAACTTTATTTTATAACAAACCTGGTCTCTCAATAACTAACCCATTTATGAGATAATGACATTAATCCATTCATGAGGGCAGACCCTTCTGACTCAATCACTTCTTACTAGGCCCTACTTCCCAGCACTGTTGCACGGGGGATTCTGTTCCCAAAACATGAACTTTAGGGAACACATTCAAACTGTAGCATGATTCCTTCCAGACTGATAGGAAAATTGCTCTTATCCAGCCCTCTTGATGTTAGAAGGGTCCAAATAACTTGCTTTAGCCAACAAAATGTGATTGAAGACTCTCCAGCTATACTTCCTCTGCAGTGGTGATTGTAGGAGCAAGCTTTGACATAAAGTGTGACAAGTACAAAATGCCTGAAGTCCTGAGCCTGCATATGGAGGACAGGCATACTGAAAAGAAGCTCAGAGTCAAAGAAGACTGTATATGAACAAGAAAAAGATTCTCGTTTAAAGCTACTAAAACTCTCGGGGTTGTGATCCTGTAGAATTAAACAACTTAATCTGACTAACATACTATTACAGAGATAAACCTTCAAAGGTGGAAAAAGCTGTCTTGAGGGAATTTGGTGCTAAACTGCTTCAAAGTTTCAAGGCTTTCAGGCTAAGTATGTGTAGTAGCAGTAATAAGGGTAATATAACTGTTGTTGGTGCTTATGAAACTCAAGGCACCATCGTAATTACTTTACATTGTTTGTATCATGTCCATATCGTTAACACTGGTATCTGCAGTGCCAAGAACAATGTAAAACACAGCGGGCATATAAGTAAATATCCGATGAATTAATACATTTCTGCTTTCTATTAGGAAAGAATTTGGGCATAACTTGAAGAAAACTAGAGTTTGATTAACAGTGAGTGAGCAGGTAACTTGCCTTTACATGGGCAGTTACTCGTTTTCATGTTTACACTTTAGTATTTATTGCCATTATCAGCCAATGTATTGAATGCTTACCCTCAGTAGAATATGTGTACTTCAATTTTTAATCATTTGCCTATGTGTTTTAAGACTGTTATATTAAAAAAATAAAGCATAAAAAATAATGTCCTTATTTCGTACAGGAAATGGTAAAAATATTAATTTATATTAGACATTAATAGGTCAGTAATGCTTGTTGCAATCTCTAGACTAACCATTAAAATTAGTAAAATAATGTGTAAGAAACTTATTTACAAAGAGGAAAGAACTGAATAATAAAAACAAATAACTCAAAAGAAGGCAAGAAAGGAGAGGAGAAAGGAACATGGAACGGGTATAAGTAGAAAGGTGTGGCAAAATGATAGTTGTACACCTAAACATATCTGCAAATGCAGTAAATGTAAACATAATAAATATTTCAATGAAATACGTAGATCATTAGACTGAAGGGAAAAAATGCTGCTTATAAAAGACACATTTCAGATGATTCAGAATAGTTACAAAGATGGCAAAGACATGGAGGAACTCTAAATGCATATTGCTAAGTGAACAAAGCCAGTCTGAAAAGGCTACATCCTGTACGATTCCAACTAGATGACATTATGAAAAAGGCAAAACCATGAATACAGTAAAAAGGCCAGTGGTTGCCAGGGTTAGGAGGGGGAGGGTCAAATGAATAAATGGAGCACAGAGGATTTTTAGGGCAGTGAAACTATTCTGTATGATACTCTAATGGTGGATACATGTCATTATACATTTATCAAAATCCGTAGAATGTCAATGCCAAGAGTGACCCCCTAAGTTAAACTGTAGATTCTGGGTGATGATGATGTCTCATTGTAGTTCATCAGTTCTGCCCCACCTCATGGACTGCCCCTCTCCACCCACAGGTGGTCACCATCCTGAACCCTGTGTTCATCATTCCCTTTTTCTCTTCAACTTGTACTTTCTATGTGTATACAAAGGATATATTTTTGCCTATTTTTGAACTTTACATCACACCTGAAATCATATTGATGTATTCTTCTGTGAGTAATTTTATTTTGTTTAATAATGTGTTTTTGAGACTCATCCATATTGATGTGTGTAGGTGGCATCAACCATTTTCATTACTGTAAAGTAGATTGTATGACTTTACAGAAAAACAAATTTATCCATTCGTTTTTGACAGACATTTGGCCATTTCCATGTTTCTTTTTTAAAGAGACTACGCTGGGAAGAATCCTTATTTATTTCTGTAATATATCCCTCACCACCTCACAATAAAGAGGTGAGGAGTTACTTCCTATTTCTTCTAGAGGCCCTCATGGTTCACTAATCTACAGATCTTAAATTCCTGTTAAAACAACCCCCATAAAACTCCTGTATCACAGTAGCCAACAGCTGATGCATTGCCTACAATTGGGCATTTAATAATTATGTGTTTCATTGAGGTGGAAAGCACTGGGCTTTTTAAAAGTCCTACTGCAGCTATGGGAATACTGAGAAAGGATTTAGTAATTCTAACTGAAGAGCTGGGGAAGGCCTCACAGAGAAGAGTGTTTGAGCCACAGCCCGTAGGATGGAGTCAGTCTTGTTAGGCAAAGAAGAGGGTCAGGCATCCAGGCTGATAGAAGAGCATGAGCAAAGGCATGTTCAGGGAACACTGGGAAATTTAATGGCAGCATAGACTTATAAGGTTGATGAGGATAAAACTGGAGAAAGGGCTGGAGTCAGATCATGGAGAATCTTGAATGTAAAGTTAAGAATTTGGATTTGACTCTTTAGGTGATTGGGAGCCACTGAAAATTTCTGCAGAAAGAACTTCAGCTGTCCTTTAGAAAATCAGAGAGACAAACTTGGAGGCCAGTGAAGAGGTACTGCAATACTCAAGGTGAAAAGTAATGGATACTTATCATAGAGAGTAACAGCGGGGAATTAAACAGGAGGGGCTAGGCTAGCAAGTCATCAGGGAAGCTCAGACTTGACTGCTGATTTTCTAATTAGTAAATTGAGATGGTTTGTATAACTTAAGGATTACTAGAAAAGTCATGGGACTGCACATTTTTTTTAATCCAGTGGTAGGGGAAGAATTAGTCCTATTAAATAAATGTATAGCAACATGGGAGACACAAATTGGTTTGTAGTAATATCCTGAGTCATGCATTTTTAATATACTGCTTTCTCTACAGTCCTTCTTATGCATTCACCATGAAACCCGGCTTGATATATCCCTAAGGGCAGGTCAGCATCCTTAGTAAATGGGAATATTCTCATTTATTCATTCAACAGATATTTATTGATCATTCACAATATGCTAAATGCTCTGTATGTAATGAATAAGACACAGTCCTTGCCCTCAAGTTGTTTACTGTCTGGGTGATGTGGGAGTCACATAGGAGAGGCTGTCTCAATGAGGTGGATGGCAGTTATGACAGAGGCAAGCAAGGTGTATCCACAGACCACCGAGGAGGCAACTAACTGAATCTTGAAGGAATGAAAAAGCATTAGCAAGAAAAGCAAGTGGTCAGTGAAAGGAAGGATAGTCAAGTCAAGAAAAGTCTGAATAAAAGCCCCAAGGTGAGAGAAGGGTTGGTATATTCAAGGAAACAAATCACTGTAGGGTGGGAAATAAGAAAGAGGTGGAAATGTGAGAACAGTATTTCACCCAGACTGTGCAGCCTCCCAAACCATCGCAGGGAGTTGGGACTATATCCCAGGGTAATGGAACCACGAAAATCTTTTAAGCCAGGAAGCAACAGTCTTGTGTTTTAGAAAGCTCACTCTGACTGCAGGAAGTGGGGTGGATTAGAGGGCGATGAGGCTGCAGCATGGGTGTTTACCATTCATAATGTGGCTGTTTCTGCCCAGAGCACCCTTCTGCCTATAGAAATCCTCCTCATTCATCAAGATTCAATTCCTGAGACATCTCCTCTGCATCTCCCACACAATCACAGTTAATGATTGCTCCTTCGTAAGTATCTCCATTATCCAGGTGCATGTACTTCAATTTCTGTCAGTTAAGTCCAGCTCTACAATACTTCCTGAAATACCAAAAGAATGAGAGCACCCTTTGTAAATTATAGCGTTATAGAAATGTTTGCAAAGTGATGACAGTAGCAATGAAGTTGTTTGCCTTTCTAGCTAGACTGAAAGATCTCTGAGAACAGTGATTGCGTATTAAATCTTCCAAGTCCAAATGTTTCAGCTTGGTAAGTCTTCACATAAAATGGTCTTTCATGCTGGAGGGGCACTGAGACATATAGTAGAAAAGACTGTGGAGCCCAACAGACATGGGTTGGAATCCCAGCTTCTGACTAGTGTATAGTTTTGAGTTCTTTTTACCTCTTGGAGCTTCAGTCTCCATATATGTAAATAGAAATAAATCTAACCCATAAGGTTGTTGTGAGAATCAGAAGTAGCATATAGAAAGTACCTGGCATGGTACATTGTACAAATTAGGCAGTACATATAATTGCTACTCTTAAATTGCCTCCATTTGTATACCCATGCTGGTGAAACCAAGTCCCAATTTAGAAAATGATACTCTGGCTTCAGAAGGAGGAAATCATGGCAGACGGAAGGCAGGACTAGATTTCCCCTCCCACTCGGATGGGCAGAGCAGCATATAGAGTCTTGCATCATGAACTTTTGCTCCAGAACAACTGCAGGAATAAATCAGGAAAGCTAACAGAACCCACAGACCCTCTGAAGGAAACGGATTGCTCCTGCAGGACGCAGGAGACACCCCAAATACTGTGCTGGTATCCACAGCTGAGAAACCCACAAATGGTTCACATCACAAGACTCTGTGCAGACAACCCCCAGTACCAGCCCGAAGCCTGGTAGACTTGCTGGGTAGCTAGATCCAGAAGAGATAACAATCACTACAGCTCAGCTCTCAGGAAGCCACATCCTGAGAAAAAGGGAGAGAGTACTACATCAAAGGAACGCCCTGTGGGACAAAAGAATCTGAACAACAGCCTTGAGCCCTAGACCTTCCCTCTGACAGAGCCTACCCAAATGAGAAGGAAACAGAAAAACAACTCTGGTAATATGACAAAACAAAACAAGGTTCTTTAACACCGCCAAGAAATCACACTAGCTCACCAGCAATGGATTCGAAACAAGAAGAAATCCCTGATTTACCTGCAAAAGAATTCAGAAGCTTAGTTATTAAGCTAATCAGGGAGGCACCAGAGAAAGGTGAAGCCCAATTTAAGGAAGTAAAAAAAAAAAATGATACAAGAAATGAGGGGAGAAATTTTCAATGAAATAGATAGCATAATTAAAAAACAATAAAAACTTCAGGAAACAATGGATGCACTTATAGAAATGCAAAATGCCCTGGAAAGTCTCAGCAATAGAATCAAACAAGCAGAAGAAAGAACTTTAGAGCTCAAAGACAAAGTTTTCGAATTAACCCAAGCCAACAAAGACAAAGTAAAAAGAATAAGCTGGGAAAACTGGCTAGCCATATGCAGAAAACAGAAACTGGACTCCTTCCTTACACCTTATACAAAAATTAACTCGAGATGGATTAAAGACTTAAATGTAAAACCTAAAACCATAAAAACCCTAGAAGAAAACCTAGGCAATACCATTCAGGACATAGGCATGGCAAAAACTTCATGACTAAAACACCAAAAGCAATTGCAACAAAAGCCAAAATTGACAAATGTAATCTAATTAAACTAAAGAGCTTCTGCAAAGCAAAAGAAACTATCATCAGAGTGAGCAGGCAACCTACAGAATAGGAGAACATGTTTGCAATCTATCCATCTGACAAAGGGCTAACATCCAGAATCTACAAGGAGCTTAAACAAATTTACAAAAAAAAAACTGCCTCAAAAAGTGTGCTAAGGATGTGAACAGACACTTCTCAAAAGAAGACATTTATGTGGCCAACAAACATATGAAAAAAAGCTCATCATCACTGGTCATTAGAGAAATGCAAATCAAAACCACAGTGAGATACCGTCTCATGCCAGTAAGAATGGCAATCATTAAAAAGTTAGGAAACAACAGATGCTGGTGAGGATGTGGAGAAACAGGAATGCTTTTACACTGTTGGTGGGAGTGTAAAGTAGTTCAACCATTGTGGAAGACAGTGTGGTGATTCCTCAAGGATCTAGAACCAGAAATACCATTTGACCCAGCAATCCCTTTACTGGATATATACCCAAAGGATTATAAATCATTCTACCGTAAATACACATGCACATGTATGTTTATTGCAGCGTTATTTACAATAGCAAAGACTTGGAACCAACCCAAATGCCCATCAACAGTAGATTGGATAAAGAAAATGTGGCACACATACACCATGGAATACTATGCAGCCATAAAAAAGAATGAGTTCATGTCCTTTACAGGGACATGGATGAAGCAGGAAACCATCATTCTCAGAAAACTAACACAGGAACAGAAAACCAAACACTGCATGTTCTCACTCATAAGTGGGAGATGAACAATGAGACACATGGACACAGGGAGGGGAACATCACACACAGGGGCCTGTTGGGGAGTTGGGGGGCAAGGGGAGGGAGAGCATTAGGACAAATACCTAATGCATGTGGGGGCTTAAAACCTAGATGATTGGTTGATAGGTGCAGCAAACCACCATGGCACATGTATACCTATGTGACAAACCTGCATGTTCTGCACATGTATCCCAGAACTTAAAGTAAAATTTAAAAAAGAAAAGAGAGAGAGAAAATACGAACAATGCCTCCAAGAAGTCTCAGATTATGTTAAATGACCAAACCTAAGAATAATTAGCATTCCTGAGGAAGAAGAGAAATCTAAAAGTTTGGAGAACATATTTTGGGGAATAATCAAAGAAAACTTCCCCATCCTTGCTAGAGACCTAGACATCCAAATACAAGAAGCTCAAAGAACACCTGGGAAGTTCATTGCAAAAAGACAATCACCTAGGCACATTGTCATCAGGTTATCTAAAGTTAAGACAAAGAAAAGAATCTTAAGAGCTGTGAGACAGAAGCACCAGGCAACCTATAAAGGAAAACCTATCAGATTAGCAGCAGATTTCTCAGCAGAAACCCTACAAGCTAGAAGGGATTGGGGTCCTACCTTCAGCCTCCTTAAACAAAACAATTATCAGCCAAGAATTTTGTATCCAGTGAAACTAAGCTTTGTAAATGAAGGAAACATACAGTCTTTTTCAGACAAACAAATGCTGACAGAATTTGCCACTACCAAGCCAGCATTACAAAAACTGCTAAAAGAGCTCTAAAATTTGAAATAAATCCTGGAAGCACATCAAACAGAACCTCTTTAAGGCATACATCTCATAGGACCTATAAAACAAAAATATAATTGAAAAAAAAGGTATAAAGGCAACAAATAGCACGAAGAATGGAATGGTACCTCACATCTCAATACTAATGTTGAATGTACATGGCCTAAATGCTCCACTTAAAAGATACAGAATTGCAGAATGGATAAGAATTCACCAACCAAGTATCTGCTGTGTTCAAAAGACTCCCCTAACATGTAAGGACTCACATAAGCTTAAGGTAAAGGGGTGGAAAAAGACATTCCATGCAAATGGACACCAAAAGCTAACAGAAGTAGCTATTCTTATATCAGACAAAACAAACTTTAAAACAACGGCAGTTGAAAAAGACAAAGAGGGACATTATATAATGATAAAAGGCCTTGTCCAAGAGGAAAATATCACAATTTTAAATATATATGCACCTAAAACTGGAGCTTCCAAATTTATAAAACAATTACTAATAGACCTAAGAAATGAAATGGACAGCAATATGATAATAGTGGGGGAATTCAATACTCCACTGACAGCACTAGACAGGTCATCAAGACAGAAAGTCAACAAAGAAACAATGGATTTAAACTATACCATGGAACAAATGGACTTAACAGATATTTACAGAACATTCTACCCAACAACCACAGAATATACATTCTAGTCATCACTGCATGGAACTTTCTTCAAGATAAACCATATGATAGGCCACAAAACGAGCCTCAACAAATTTAAGAAAATTGAAATTATATCAGGCACTCTCTCAGAGCACAATGGAATAAAACTGGAAGTCAACCCCAAAAGCAACCTTCAAAACCATGCAAATACATGGAAATTAAATAACCTGCTCCTGAATGACCATTGGGTCAAAAATGAAATCAAGATGAAAATTTAAAAATTCTTTGAACTAAACAACAATAGTGACACAACCTATCAAAACCTCTGGGATACAGCAAAGGCAGTGCTAAGAGGAAAGTTCACAGCCCTAAATGCCTATATCAAAAAGTCTGAAAGAGCACAAACAGACAACCTAAGCTCACACCACAAGGAACTAGAGAAACAAGAACAAACCAAACCCAAACCCAGCAGAAGAAAGGAAATAACCAAGATCAGAGCAGAACTAAATGAAATTGAAACAAAAAAAATACAAAACAAAAGACAAATGAAACAAAAAGCTGGTTCTTTGAAAAGATAAATAAAATTGGTAGACCATTAGCAAGATTAACCAAGAAAAGAAGACAGAAAATCCAAATAAGCTCAATTAGAAACAAAACAGGAGATATTACAACTGACACCACAGAAATATGAAAGATCATTCAAGGCTACTATGAACACCTTTACGTGTATAAAGTAGAAAACCTAGAGGAGATGGATAAATTCCTGAAAGATACAACCCTCCTACCTTAAGTCAGGAAGAATTAGATACCCTGAACAGACCAATAACAAGCAGCAAGATTGAAATGGTAATTTAAAAAATTACCAGTAAAAAAAAGTCCAGGACCAGACAGATTCACAGCAGAATACTATCAGATATTCAGAAGAATTGGTACCAATCCTATTGACACTATTCCACAAGATAGAGAAAGAGGGAATCCTCCCTAAATCATTCTATGAAGCCAGTGTCACCGTAATACCAAAACCAGAAAAGGACATAATTAAAAAAAAAAAAAAAACTACAGACCAATATCCCTGATGAACATAGATGCAAAAATCCTTAACAAAATACTAGCTAACCAAATCCAACAACAGATCTAAAAGATAATCCACCATGGTCAAGTGGGTTTCATACAAAAGTCAATATGAAACCCACTTGATCATGGGTTTCACACAAGTCATACACAAGGGATGCAGGAACGGTTTAACATACACAAGTCAATAAATGTGGTACACGACACAAAAAGGATTAAAAACAAAAATCACATGATCATCTCAATAGATGCAGAAAAAGCATTTGACAAAATCCAGCATTGCTTTATGATTAAAACTCTTAGCAAAATTGGCATACAAGGGACATATCTCAATGTAATAAAAGCCATCTATGACAAACCCACAGCCAACATAATACTGAATGAGGAAAAGTTGAAAGCATTCCCTCTGAGAACCGGAACAAGACAAGAATGCCCACTCTCCCCACTTCTCTTCAACATAGTGCTGGAAGTCCTAGCCAGAGCAATTAGACAAGAGAAAGAAATAAAGGGCATCTAAATCGGTAAAGAGGAAGTTAAACCGTTGCTGTTTGCTGATGATATGATGGTTTACTTAGAAAACCCTAAAGACTTCTCCAGAAAGCTCCTAGATCTGATAAAAGAATTCAGTAACGTTTCCAGACACAAAATTAATGTACGCAAATCAGTAGCTCTCCTATACACCAACAGCAACCAAGCTGAGAATCAAGTCAAGAACTCAACCCCTTTTACAACAGCTGCAAAATAAAATAAAATAAAATGCTTAGGAATATACCTAACCAAGGAAGTGAAATACCTCTACAAGAAAAACTAGAAAACACTGCTGAAAAAATCATAGACAACACAAACAAATGGAAACACATCCCATGCTCGTGGATGGGTGGAATCAATATTGTAAAAATGACCATATTGCCAAAAGCAATCTAAAAATTCAATGCAATTCCCATCAAAATACCACCATCACTCTTTACAGAACTGGAAAAAACAATCCTGAAATTCATATAAAACCAAAAAAGAGCCCGCATAGCCAAAGCAAGACTACGCAAAAAAGAACAAATCTGGAGGTATCACATTACCTGACTTCAAACTATACTATAAGGCCAGAGCCATCAAAACAGTATGGTACCGATATAGAAATAGGCACATAGACCAGTGGAAAAGAATAGAGAACCCAGAAATAAACTCAAACACTTACAGCCAACTGATCTTCAACAAAGCAAACAGAAACATAAAGTGGAGAAAGGAAACCCTATTCAACAAATGGTGCTGGGATAATTGGCAAGCCAGATGTAGGAGAATGAAACTGGATCCTCATCTCTCACCTATACAAAAATCAACTTGAGATGAATCAAGGACTTAAAGTCCTGAAACAATAAAAATTCTAGACGATAACATTGAAAAAACCCTTGTAAACCTTGGTGTAGGCAAGGATTTCATGACCAAGAACCCAAATGCAAATGCAATAAAAACAAGGATAAATAACTGGGAGTTAATTAAACTAAAGAGCTTTTGCACAGCAAAAGGGATAGTCAGCAGAGTATACAGAAAACCCACAGAGTGAAAAAAATTTTTTTACAATCTATATATCTGACAAAAGACTAATATCCAGAATCTACAACGAACTCAAACAAATTACCAAGAAAAAAAACCATTAAAAAGTGGGCTAAGGACATGAATAGACAATTCTCAAAAGAAGTTATACAAATGGCCAACAAACATATGAAAAAATGCTCAACATCACTGATTATCAGGGAAATACAAATCAAAACCACAATGCGATACCACCTTACTCATGCCAAGAATGGCCATAATCAAAACTTAATAGATGTTGGCATGGATGCAGTGAACAGGGAATAATTCCACATGGTTCATGAGAATGTAAACTATGGAAAACAGTGTGGAGATTCCTTAAAGAACTAAAAGTAGAACTACCATTTGATCCAGCAATCCCACTACTGGGTATCTACTCAGAGGAAAAGAAGTCATTATAAGAAAAAGATACTTGCACACACGTTTATAGCAGCACAATTCTCAATTGCAAAAACGTGGAACCAACCCAAATGCCCATCAGCCAACGAGTGGATAAAGAAACCATGGTGCATAATATATGATGGAATACTACTCAGCCATAAAAAGGAATGAGTTAGTTGCATTCTCAGTAACCTGGATGAAATTGGAGTTTGTTATTCTAAGTGAAGTAGTAACTCAGGAATGGAAAACCAAACATAGTGTGTTCTCACTCATAAGTGGGAGGTAAGCTATGAAGATGCAAAGGCATAAGAATGACACAGTGGACCTTAAGGACTCGGGGAAATGGTAAGGGGTGGGTAAGGGATAACATACTACAAATTGTTTACAGTGTATATTGCTTGGGTGATGGGTGCACCAAAATCTCACAAATCACCGCTAAAGAACTTACTCATGTAACCAAACATCACCTGTTCCCCAATAATCTGTGGAAATTAAAATGTAAAAAAAAAGAAAGAAAATGATAATCTGAAGAAACAATATATGAATAATAAAAGCTTCAATAAAAAAATCATTTTTCTCAGATAAAATTCAATGAACATGTCCCAGAAAGACAAACATGCTCCTCATAGTGACACTATATTCAAACAGAATATTCTGCAATGATGAAAATGTTATAAATCCATAATGATGAATATGTGGCCAGTAGCCACATGTGGCTCCTGAGTTCTAAAGATGTGACTAGTATAAATTTTTAATTTTAATTTTTTTCATTTTTTTTCCTTTTTAAAAAATTCCAATAGTTTTTGGGGAAAAGATGCGTTTTGGTTACATGGACAAGTTCTGTAGTAGTAATTTCTGAGATTTTGGTGCACCTGTCACCCAAGCAGTGTACACTGTAACTAGGGTGTAGTCTTTTATCCCTCACCCCTCTCCCATCCTTTACTCTGAGTCACTACAGTCCATTGTATAATTCTTATGCCTTTGCATCCTCATAACTTAGCTCCCACTTATGAGTGAGAACATAAAATGTTTGGCTTTCCACTCCTGAGTTACTTCACTTAAAATAATGGTCTCCAACTTTATACAGATTCCTGCAAATGCCATTATTTCATTCCTTTTTATCTCTGAGTTTTATATATATATATATATATATATATATATATCTCACATTTTCTTTGTCCACTCATTGGTTGATGGGCATTTAGGCTGGTTCCATATTTTTGCAATTGCAAATTGTGCTGTTATACATATGTATGTGCAAGCATGTTTTTCATATGACTTATTTTCCTCTGTGTAGATACCCAGTAGTGGGATTGCTGGATCAAATGGTAGTTCTATTTTTAGTTCTTTAAGAAATCTCCATACTGTTTTCCATAGTGGTTGTACTAGTTTACATTCCCACCAACAGTGTAAAAGTGTTTCCTTTTCACCACATTCACACTAACATCTGT
The DNA here is from genome assembly GCF_000001405.40 of Homo sapiens. Lineage (NCBI taxonomy): Eukaryota > Metazoa > Chordata > Mammalia > Primates > Hominidae > Homo > Homo sapiens. The sequence goes on along the minus strand of NC_000001.11, from coordinate 67,900,144 downwards.
TATTTTTTGATTTTTTGATTATGACCATTTTTGCAGGAGTAAGGTGGTATCACATTGTGGCTTTGATTTGCATTTCCCTGATAATTAGCGATGTTGAGCATCATTTCATATGTTTGTTGGCCATTTGTATATCTTCTTTTGAGAATTGTCTGTTCATGTCCTTAGCCCACTTTTTGATGGGATTATTTGTTTTTTTCTTGCTGATTTGTTTGAGTTCATTGTAGATTCTGGATATTAGTCCTTTGTCAGATGCATAGTTTGCAAATATTTTCTCCCCCTCTGTGGGTTGTCTGTTTACTGATTATCTCTTTTGCTATGCAGAAGCTTTTTAGTTTAATTGGGTCCCATCTATTTATCTTTGTTTTCATTGCATTTGCTTTTGGGTTCTTGGTCATAAAGTCTTTGCCTAAGCCAATTTCTGGAAGGGTTTTTTTGATGTTATCTTCTAGAATTCTTATGGTTTCAGGTCTTAAGTTTAAGTCTTTGATCCATCTCAGGTTGATTTTTGTATAAGGTGAGAGATGAGGATCCAGTTTTATTCTTCTACATGTGGCTTGCCAGTTATCCCAGCACCATTTGTTGAATAGGTAGTCCTTTCCCCACTTAATGTTTCTGTTTGCTATGTCAAAGATCAGTTGGCTGTAAGTGTTTGGGTTTATTTCTGGGTTCCTTATTCTGTTCCATTGGTCTATGTGCCTATTTTTATTCCAGTACCATGCTGTTTTGGTGACTATGGCCTTATAGTATAGTTTGAAGTCAGGTAATGTGATGCCTCTAGATTTGTTTTGTGGTTGTTGTTGATTGTTTAGTCTTGCTTTGGCTATGTGGGCTCTTTTTTGTTTTCATGTGAATTTTAGGATTTTTTTTTCTAGTTCTGTGAAGAATGATGATGGTATTTTAGTGGGAATTGCATTGAATCTGTAGATTGTTTTTGGCAGCATGGTCATTTTCACAATATTGATTCTAGCCATCCATGAGCATGAGATGTGATTCCATTTGTTTTTGTCATCTAGGATTACTTTCAGCAATGTTTTGTAGTTTCATGGTAGAGATCTTTCACCTCCTTGGTTAGATATATTCCTAAGTATTTTATTATTATTATTATTATTATTATTATTATTATTATTATTATTTTGCAGCTGTTGTAAAAAGGGTTGAGTTTTTGGTTTGATTCTCACCTTGGTCATTGTTGGTATATAGCAGTGTTATTGATTTGTGTACACTTATTTTGTAACCTGAAACTTTCCTGAATTTATTTATCAGATCTACGAGCTTTTTGGATGAATCTTTAGGGTTTTCTTGGTATATGATCATCTCATCAGCCAACAGCAACAGTTTAATTTCCTCTTTACTGATTTGGATGCCCTTTATTTCTTTCTTTTGTCTGATTGCTCTGGCTAGGAAAATTTTCCTTCATTTACATTTAAGTAGCAACATATTACTAGTGTATGGCAGACATAAGTGACAGCAATACCTTAATGTAAGCATACCCTGCGAATGACCCTATGGTCTAAGAAGAATGTGTTTAGAGTTCCAAGATAAGGAATCCGGGAGTGACCAACCCAGAGATTCATTCCTTATCTATGAGGAACATCCAAACCCCCACCACTACCGACACATGCCCTCTGCCCATCCTGTGGAATGCAGCTCATACAGGGGCTCAAGGCCCTTTGTTTTGGGTTGAATGAAGGTTACCAGGTGGAGGTTGCTAGGGAGAGGATACTAAGTGAAAATGCTATATAAATTGCATACTTGTTAAAAGTGGTGGCAGTTCTCCTCTCTAACCCACTGCCACCAGATCTCCCTGTGTGTAAGTTCCTTCAATAAACCCTATGTCTCATTCACTGGCTCTGGGTCTCTTCAGCCTCTTGAACACAGTGCCATCCCTACTGAAGTCAATAGGGGTCTGACAAGAACGAGTAGATACCATGCTGGACTGTGTAAGTAGATGCTATGCACTGGGCTAGCCCTCAAATTGTGTGTTTTGGTGGGGAGAGCTTAGGAAAGGCATGAAGGGGCAGGAAGGATGGATGGGGAGATCTGTTTTCAAAGCTATACAGAAAAGTTATGTGAGTATGAATACAGTCATTACAAGAAGTTATAAGAAGGAAGCCCCAAGTGGCCAGGAAACTAGGTAATAGGGGTTAAGGAAGGTAGGTCCCACACCCCAGGATAAGGACAGGGATGATCCTTGCTATGTGCAGAAAAAGAGAAAGCAATTCCCCGAAGCCGGTGCCAAACGCAAGCTCTATCTAAGTATAACAATCTTATAGTGTCCTTGCAAATGAATTACATCAGCAGGTCAGACAGTTTGATATGTAAGGGTTTTATGGTTTTTCTTCCTGTCCTTCAGCTGAACTCTAGATTTTACTCCACAGGGAATACATTTCTGGGGAGTGGTGAGCAAATGTCAGAGATGGCAGAGAAAAGATGAAGTGCTAGAGGAATGTTTTGCCTTTCAGAGGAGGAAACACCTGCTCTGAATTCTCTCCTCCCAGAATATGGGGCATGCAGTTCACTCCAGGGCAAGAGAGGAAAGGGACCTGAGACCTTGCCTCCCTCTCCTGCCCCTCCTGCCTGCCTGCCTGCCTGCCTGCAGCAGGAAGACTGTCTATTACATTCCAAGTCCCCATGGAGACAGTCCCAGAAAAGTTCGCCTTCCAGCCTCTTCGTGGGACCATCAGACAAGCCAGAGGGGAAGCAGGCAGATACCACAACCATTGGCCACGTGGAGGAGGAGTAGCAGGCAAGCTGGAGACTGAGAGAAGAGAAGAAAGAGAGTGACAGGAACAAGGGCCGCATGAGGCAGGAGTTTCAGCTTGGTGGCATCTGAAACGTCTCGAAATTCTGGGGAATCAAGAGACTGTTATCCTATGAAACCCACACCCACCTCCTCTCCTGGTTTTTCTCCCTAAGTTTTTCTTTCTAAAGTTAAGCTTGCACATAAAAATGTAGCTCAATTCAACAAATGTTTATTGACCATCAATGATTAGCCAGGCCCTGAGAGGTTATGTATGAATTCACAAAATCCCCGCCTTCCAGGAAGGAGACAGGAGGCATGCGATAACTGTTGTCTGGGAGATACAGACAAAGCACAGTGGGAGCGAAGGAATAATACTGGTCAAACATCCAGGGCAGTCTGCACAGAACAGTTGGCACTGGAACTGCACCAGAGACATGGAGATGCCCTCAATGATAGGGGGCAGAGTGGTGCAGGGCAGCCGTGGTGTAGAAAGGACAGGATGTGAGAGGAAAGGAGAATGGTGGGCAGTCGGGCAGGAAGTGTGATGATAGCAGCACCTGGAAGCGGCTTTGGATGCCATGCTGAGTTCTTCAGACGGCAGGCGAAAGGTAGAGGGGAGCCAGAGAAGATTTTTAACAAAAAAGTGACATGCTCATTTATGTTTTATTTCTAAAGACGAGAAGACCTGGTCCCTCTTGTTAGGTTTGCAGAGTATAAATGACAAGCTACAGGCTTTTAGAAGGATGCTAGGGCAGTGGTGCAGAGATCAGAGTGGAATTCGAGGGACTACAACAAGGAGGTAAGTTAGGAGGCTGCCAGCCATGAAGCCTTAAACTAGGAGGGTGTGGATGGAAACAGAACATGGTTAGGTGGGAGATACTGAGTTAGCTGAATCAATGCAACTCAGTGACCCATAGGGTGGGGATGCAGAGGGATTATGAGGAGGGGCTGTATGAGGAAACAGGAGGTATGCAAGGTGAATTCCACAACCTGTTTGGAGGGAAATGAGAGGATCAACTCCATGTCTCTCCTACTTGCCCGGTAAAGTGAATTGGAAAAAAAAAAAGCATGAGAAATCTGAGGAAAACCATCTATATATCGTTAATATTGATCATCCTCCTGGGGAAGACCATCAATCATTTTACCAACCTATCCCATTAGCTCTGGATCTGCAAGGCACGTATATGCACACACTCACATACAAATGTGCCCACGCATGAGGCAAATATCTTTGAATTGCTACTTACTCTTACTGACCACCCTTAAATTGTTGTTGTCTAGGGGCAGTCATTCTGTATTCCACAAGGCAATATCTGATATTGAGGAAAAAATGAGTAGCTCAGAATTTACAAACATTATGGTATGTCCACTCCACAGGAAATACATTTCTGGGGAGTGGTAAGCAACTGTCAGAGACGGCAGAGAAAGGCAGGCATCCAAGATAAGCTTACATTTGGGTTTGCCAAATTTACGCAGTGAAGGCTAAAAGGAGGTAACCAGCAAATCAGGATAACACTATAATAGTTTTTAAATTTTTTGAATTTGGTGTTCAATGGTTCATTTTTTTTTAAATGGGCACTATTAAGAAAGTGAAAGACAACCCACAGAATGGGAGAAAATATTTACAAATCGTATATCTAATAAGGATCAAGAATGCAGAATATACAAAGAACTCTTATAAGTCAAAAATAAAAAGACAATCAATTTTTTTTAATGGGCAAAGGATTTGAAGGGACATTTCTCCAAGGAAGTCATATAAATGGCCAATAAGCACACGAATAGATGCTCAACATCATTAGTCATTAGGGAAATGCAAATCAAGACTACAATGAAATACCACATCACATCCACTACAATGGCTATCATCAAAAACATGGACAAAAACAAGCCTTGGCAAGCATGTGGGGAGACCAGAATCCTCGTACATTGCTGGTGGGAATGTAAAATGGTGCGGCTACTTTTGGAAAACTGTTTATCACTTTATTAGAAACCAAACATAGAGTTATCACATGACCCAGCAATTCCACTTCTAGGTATATTCCAGGAGAATTGAAAACATATGTTCACATAAAAATTTATATATGAATGTTCATAACAGTATAGTTAATAATAGCCAAAAAATGGAAATAACCCAAATGTTTATCAACTGATAAAGGAATAAAGAAAATGTTTAAGAATATTAGTATTATATTACTCAGCCACAAAAAGGAATGAAGTAGTGACTGATACATGTTACAACATGAATGAACCTTGAAAACATTATGCTAAGTGAAAGAAAGCAGGCACGAAAGGCCACATTATATGAGTCTTTTTGTATGAAATGTCCAAAGTAGGTAAATCCATAGAAATAGAAAGTAGAGAATTGGCTGACAGGGGTTGGGGGAAGGGAGTGGAATGCAGAATGATTGCTTAAATGGTACAAGTTTCTTTTGGGGGTAATGAAAATGTTCTGGAACTAGGTAGTGGTGGTGGTTCCACCCTTGTGAAGATACTTAAATAGCTAAATTGTACACTTAAAAAGAGTGAATTTAATGGTCTATGAATTACATCTCAATTTTTAAAAAATCAGATGACTTCTTGGTCAGTGATCTAGGTGCTCTTTTGAGAGTAATCGCTCTTGCTGCTTTTAATATACACTATGATGTACCTAGGAATGTATTTATTTTAATTTAACCTGCTCAGAATTCATTGTTCTGTCTGAATTTGAGGATTACAGTCTTTCATCAATTCTGCAGTCATTATCTTTTCAAAAATTTGCCTCTTCACTATTCTCTCTCTTTTCTCCTTTTGAGACTCCATTTAGACTCATGATAGATCTTTTCATTCTGTTTCCCATACCTATTAACCACTTTTTCATATTTTCCATCTTTTTGTCTCTCTTTGCAGCATACTGGTTGATCTCTTTAGATTTATTTCTCAGGTCTGTTTTGAGCTATATCTAATCAGCTGTTAAATAATCAATTAAGTGTCTAATTTAATTTATTATTACAATCCAAATAATATGAATTCAGTCTACATGAGGCCATATTATGTTTATTAATGCTCAACTGAGTATTTCACTTCTCCAGTAAGTATTTAAGCTCGAGATAGGCAGTGTTCCCATGTATCCTCTGTCAAGAAACAGTGTGAATATTTTCCTGTTTGTGCATGAGCAAAAATTCCTGGCCAAGTATGAGTGAATGGTAAACAAGCCTTAGAATTTCGAGATTGTTTATTACCCCAGAGAGATTTGAAGGTTTATTTTCCCAAAAACTATTATTTATTTACCTTCAAAGGATGTGGACACCTAGGGACCTTCCCCTTCTCTTCCTATAGAGGATTGGTTTACATTAGAGAGCAATGGTTTCTTTTCCTCTCTGCAGAGGAAAGGGCAGCAGTTCCTTCATAAACTCTGAGGTTCATAATTTCTGGGTTTCCCTCCAAAAGGACTGACTCCCTTTGTACATGCAAGGGGAATATCTGCCCTCATCACATCACCACAAAGGGGTAAGTGGAGCATGGAGAACCATTAATGTTACTGCTGTAGGTAAATAATTGGTCTGATCACTAATCTAGAAACCTTGTGTTTGCTATCAAGATAAAATAAGTATAGGGGCCCACCACGGTGGCTCACACCTGTAATCCCAGCACTTTGGGAGGCCGAGGCAGGTGAATCACTTGAGGTCAGGAGTTCAAGACTAGTCAGGCCAACATGATGCAAATGCATCTGTCTAAAAAAAAAAAAAAAAAATCACTGGGCATGGTAACAGGTGCCTGTAATCCCAGCTGAGGCTGAGGCAGGAGAATCGCTTGAACTCAGGAAGCGGAGGTTGAACTGAGCAGAGATCGTGCCACTGCACTCCAGCCTGGGTGACAGAGTGACACTCTGTCTCAAAAAAAAAAAAAGATAAAATAATTATAGATAAACATAAAACTTATCCGCTGGGCGGGCAGGGAGTGAGGGACTGGCTTATGTTTTGGTCATCCTTACATTAAAAGTACAGCATGTGGAGGTCCCAGTTTCCTACAGGGGCTCTCCTATTAAACTCTCCACTTCAGGCTTTTTCTCCTTTCCCCTTGCCCTGACAGGATGTGAGAGTGAAGCTTAGGATCAGTAGAGTTTGGTGTATGCCCTCAGGGTAAAAAACACTCAAAGCAATGTTCAAATTTGAGTTCCTACCGTCACTTTTTTTTCTGCCTGAGCTAGTCTGGGTATTTTTACTAGGATCTTTGTTACTGTATAATTGAAGTACCATAAACTGCACATATTTGATCAATTTTGGCAATATACATTCATGAAACCATCCTTATAATCAAGAGAGTGAACATTTCCATCACCCCAAAAGCTTCCCCCTGCTCCTTTGTAACAATTCCTCCAACTACTCCTACTCCCATGAAACCACTTACCTAGTTCCTACCACTACAGATTCGTTTGCAGTTTCAGGAATTTTATGTAAATGCAGTCACACAGTATGTATTCTCTTTTGTCTGGCTTCCTTCACTCAGCACAATGGTGTTGAGTTACTCCATACTGTTGCGTGTATTAACATTTTGTTCCTTTTTATTCACTTTGGTTTAGGACTCTCAACTCTCACTGTTTTCATCCTAGCTCCAGCTTGCACTTACTTTTTCAAAAAATATTTTATCCAGACTGTTAAACTGTTTTTGGTAAGACAGCCAGACAGAGCATCTAGTTTTCCATACCATCCTTCCAGAAACAGAAATTTCATCTTAATGTTCTGTTTAAACAATGTCTTCCAAGACCTCTTCAGAGGCATTGTTGAGGGAATAAATGAGTCATGAGTAATAGACCTAGTCCAGAATCCATATATCCTTGAGAATTTTATTTCTTTTGCTACAATGTGTTTCTGGCATCTCAGCTTCATCTAGGTAGCATAAGGAATAGGGCTTTCCTTAGAGATCTACACGGGAGTTGAATTTGAGGCAGGGTTTAACTTCCTCCCAAATCTCCATCAGCCCTTTATTCCTTGATGTGGACAACTGGTACTTTTTCAACCTTATATAAAATACAGGCAAATGCAGTTTCATGCATCCGTGTCTCTTTTCCCTTCCAATCTGTTTACACCTAATAATTTCCTCCCATACTGACATTCTAAACTACATTGTACTTTGTCAAAACTCATATAGCATACAACATCAAGAGTGAACCCTAATGTAAACTATGGACTTTGGGTGATAGTGATGTGTCAGTGCAGGTTCACTGATTGGAACAAATGTCCACTCTGGTGTGGGATGTGGATAGTGGCAGGAGGCTGTGTGTGTGCAGGGTCAGGGGTCTATGGGAACTCTGCACTTTCTGCTCAATTTTGCTGTGAACCAAAAACTGCTCTTCACTTCAGTTGCTGCTTCTTCCCTCACACTCGCTCTTCAGCCCTGGAGTTTGATTTTTATTTTTCTCACTTACAGTAACCAACTTATCACAGTTTGCCCAGAATTTTTTTGGTTTTAGCACTGCAAGTCCCACATCCTGGAAACCCCCTCAGTCCCAAGCAATGGAGGACATCTGATCACCTTAGCCACCACCTCACAGAAGCTATCATGGCAAAGAACATCATGTCCTCTCTGTCATTCAATCCAACGGACACTTTTAAACATCTTATTTTATCTCTCTGAATGTTTCCACTGTTCACCATTCCTTCCTGGCTCCTATGACTTCACTTTATCCTGAATCCCAGTGATTCCTTCCCAGAGGCTCCTCTTTTACTTTTCTCCCTTTATGTGTTTGCCTAAGGTTCAGTCCTCGGGCTGCATCACTTCTTACTAGTTCTCACAGTTTCCTGGGGTGATCTCATTCGCTCCGTGACTTTACCTTCCCTCTCTAGGACCACAATTCAGCCTTCTTTCTCTCATGAGCTCCAGACACCCCCAGTCAACTCTTCTGGATGCCTCGAATCAAGATTTGCTGTGCAGACTGGGGGCCCGATGAGCAGTCCCTCATTGCAGACTGCAAACAAAGCTCCTTTACATCAGGGTGCAAGGTAACTCTGGCAGATACACAAATATGAATGACACATGTTCCCTGGCCTTAAGGTATTACATTTACAATAGAGTACGAAAGACTGGTTGTTTTTCAACTCCCACTAATTCAAGATGAAAAGTACCATAAGTGAGGTCCCAGGAGGGTGACAGAGAGTTCAGAGGAGGAAAACTTTACATTTATCTAGGAAAATCAAGAGTGGTCCAAAGAGTTGAGTATTTAAGCTGGGACATGAGATTGAATGAGACATGCAATGATGCCAGGAAGGATATTCCCAATGACAGGATTTATGTGTGTGAATGCACTGAAGCAAGCCAGCTTGGAAACTGGTGTAGCAGGCTGCCTGGGTTACACACGTATCCATGCCAGTGTACACACCCTCACAAATCAAGGTGGTAAATTAGAGATTTCCCACACTCCTATGTATTCCCATTAAGGATGATCACCTAGACAGCTTATAAATCTTTTTCAGTTGGCTTCATGATCTTTACAACCAGCACAGTTCATTTAGCAAGCAAACTCCAGCCTGGAGGAAGCAAATATCTCATGGGTCTGAAGGCTCAGGCCCAGGATTCTCTCATTTGCCCCTTTTCTCTGAGACCAACAGGCTTGCAACATTAGGAACAAACAATTTGGTAGAAGCAGCTGAGATGGCAACATTACCACAAAGATATGGGGCCATGCTTTGGTGGAAAGAGAACTGGATAGGGAGGCAGAATACCTGGATTCAAGCCTCAGCTCTGGTTTCTATAACATGTGTAAGCTCTGTGGTTTGCTTAACTTGAGACTGTTTCTTTCTGTCTTGTATGGGAAAATGCTCACTGTTTTATGGGTTTGTTCTGAGGATCAAATGAGATAAATGTGAAAGGCTTTTGCAAAACAAAAACCATTATATATCATAAAATATCTGTTGCTGTTTTTTTTCCTTTTTAATAACACACTTCTCTATAGAGACTATGACCATTCAAAAGGCATTTACCTCCAGCAAGGAAAGGGAAAATGCAGACATATATAACTATGTAACTGATCAGAGATTCAGCCAAGCCCAAACAAGTGCAGTAATGTCTGCCTGTGATTCTAATACCAGCAGTAGAATCTCCCACTGGGAGAAAAATTTAGATGTTGTGTGCACTTTTCTTTCCAGATCCTGGACAGCACACCTAGCAACCAAGAAAATGAGAGTTATAGCTGTTTCTTACATAATAAAGAGTTCTCAAGTTTAATTTTAAAAAAAATTCTCATTGTCTTCCTCTCTACCCAACTCATGACATCATTTGTAGCTGAAAGTTCCACATGGGTGAGTCATCCCACACTCCAACCCTCAATTTCACTGACATTTCCTCCACACTACTCCAGCCACCCACTGCATGGTCATTTCCTGCCCTTTGCCATCACCAGAAAATGGGCCACTTCTAACCTCTAGATTCCAAGGACTCATTTTCATTGTCATTTTAGCTCACTTTCTCTGGCACCCCACTAGTACAATTCTAGGACTTCTATAAGATCTCTAACCCACTGACTCCTCCATTATTTTCCTCTGTCTGCATACATTGTTATTATATATTATAATATATTACTATTATATATATTATAACTTCTATAACTTTGCAGCTTAGATTCAGAGGGCATCATTACCCCCACTCACATGCAAATATCCCTAACACCCCTTCCCCACTCTTTTCAAGGTTTTCTTCTTAGCCCTGAAAGAACCTCTGCATCTGCATCTGACATTTAGCTGGGATGCCTCAGGACAGCTGTACCAGTGCTTACTGCTGGCATCTGCTCTGAATGATTTTCAAAGGTGGATTTACTGTGAATCTGATGAAGCCTAAGTTTCAGGGCCTCCATATGCAAAACACCTTTCAAAGATCCTAGCCATATGTTTATAAGGCCGTATCAGTTTTGTTTTGTTTTAAAAACAAAAAGTCATTGAGAAGACACTTGAAAATTTCTTTTTTTAAAGGCCCTCTCCCCAAAATGTTTAAGCAAAACCAGGTCCACCCCTGCCAGGTGTTGACTATTTTAAATATCGCCCTTGATTATCACCCACGAAGTGGACATGGCTGTCTAATAGATGCAGCATACCCACACACACTGGCATAATCTGCTCTCTGCCCAGGTCTCATCTGCTTTTCTGCCAGGTTCCTCCTCACTCTCCAGCCACATTGGTCTCCCTCTGACCATCATCACTAAAGCAAATGCCCTCCCACCCCACCCTTGCCGGCCCCTCGTCTGCTTCCTTCCTAACATGACAAAATGTCATTCTTTGATTTTTCCATTGACTTTTTGTCAGTATCCTCCATACAACTGCATTCTCCACAAGTACAGGGGTAGGGTCTGAACACCCACTGTGTGTCTCCAGGACCTACCACATACATACTTTGAATTAATTACAAATGACACAGACTGCCTGGGTTGTTAGTGAGATTGTTTCCTTCCTACCACTGAAGGGAAAGTCCGTGGAGGCATTTATGCCGCTTTCAGGCTGCTCTGAATTCCTTCTGTGGCTAAGGAGGGGGTGGTCTCCCAAGCACAGAGCAGGCTGGATTTCCAGATTCCTACAGAGCCCTAAATGCTTCCAAAGCCTCTTCAGGAAAGCATTGCCCGATGCTCTGGGAAAGCCACAATGCTGCTTTGCTGTCAGCAGGAGAGAGGCCTCCCATTCCAGTCCCTGGATGCCTCTTCCTTTGCCTGCAGCTTCTTTCAGCTCCTTCCATTAGTTAAGTCTCTCTGGTCCCTGAACAATTGTCCTCTGTATTAGGGGATAGCCCAGGGAAAGAGACACCCGCAGGATGACAACCACAGGGTGTACTACTTTATTAAGTTGGAGACTATTCAACACAGCATGCAAAATTATATACACGTTCATGCATATGCATGTGCATTTTAATTATGTAGAATTTATTTTCTGAATGCCTGGAGCTGAAAATATGGTAACCTTAATCAAGAGTTCCCTGAGGGAGGTGATGTTGACAGCTTGCTGGGATGTGAGGAATTCCAGGTGTATTTGTGAGGAAGTTGTTCTGTAAGAGCAGCTGCTTCTTATTCCCACAAGCAATTACTGTCAATAAACATCTCCCAAACCCATTTATGAATGGAGCACTGTGTTGGCACTGGGTCACCTGACCTTATCTGCCCACTCTAATTTCCATGTGCATAATGTACATTTTTCAGAACTTTCATATGCATTCGCTCATTCAATTCAAAGAATAACGATGACACGAGGAAAAGGGGGTATTAGGCCCCTTTTACAGAAAAGAAAACTGAGACCCTTTAGAACCAACAAGCAATACAAGGTAGCATCTGATATATGCCAAAGCCAATGCCTGTAATGTGTGTTCCAGGTTGAAACCTACAAATTAACGAAGTGTTGTAGGAAGGCAGCACAGTATAGAGGGAAAGGCCAGGCCTAGGGTTCCAAACATCTCTATCTGGTCCCAGCTATTTCCCAAACTGGCTTGTGTTCCCTGTCTACTAAATGAAGCCATGAAGCTAATCAGCGGTTCTTCACCTGGGTTGCACATTGGCATCATCAGGGAAACTTTTAAAATTCCCATACCCAAACCACACCATAGACCTATTAAATACAGTCCCTGAAGCTAACAGACTTGAATTTCCGCATTTTTTTTTAATGCTCCCTGGCTATTCCAAAATGTAGTTAAAGTTGAGAAACTTGGCTCTGAACTAAATGATCCCTTGGGTTTTTAAACACACTGTAAACTTCTATCAGAAGACAACTTGCAGCCTCTGACCAAAATAGATGTTCATTAATTAAGTTGCCTTCAAATAAACCCATTTAATATTGTTTAACCAAGTCTTTCTCAGCCATATATGACCACAAAAGCCTTTCCTCATGTGATAATTGTTAATACTTTACTAATATCCCAGAATATTAATGTATTCTGGAAAATACTCCATATAGGGTTTACCTTGAGAAGTCCCTTTGAAGAGTTTGATTCTCTAAGCGGTTTGGAGCACTGGAGATTCATGCCTTAGGAAACTCTCTCTAGCAAACTGCTAGCACCTCCCAGCACATCCAGATGGGATGATGGCCACTTCTACTTAACTCTTGTTTTGGGATTCAGTTCTATAATTAGCATCTTCTTTATTATATTCTGTGTCTAGGGGTAAGAAAAGAGGATGTTCTATGTCTGTTTAATGTGTTTCAGATGTTTTAAAGAGCCAAACATGAAAGCAAACCCGTGAAAGTATAAAATACAGCAAAATACATCAAGGTACAAAATGCAGAAGCAAGAAAGGAAAGGAAAATAAATTTGGATACATCAAGCTTTTAAATGGTAGAAGGCTCCATAAACTAAAAATAAAAGAAATTATAGACTGGGAGGAAATATCTGCAGCACACGTAACAAATCATAAACATGTGGAATATGTAAAGAAGTCCTATAAATCAACAAGACAAAGACAAATAGCCCCAAATAGAAATAAAAGAAGATATGAGTAGGTAATTCACAGAAGAAAGACAAATAGCCAGTGTCAAAAGATGTGAAAAGATGCACAGCCTCACTAGCAATTAGAGAAAAACAAACTAAAATAATTACAAGACATTTTTCACACAGGAGATTAGCACAAAATGTAAGAAGATTAATAACAGCAGGTTTTCCTGAGGAGTAGCAAAAGGTATATACCTTGTGCACTGTTGGTGAGGATATGAATTGAAAAAGCCTTTCTGTGGAGGACAATTTGGAGTTATCTAAAAAAACTTGTAAATTCACATTGCCTCCCACCTAGCAATTGTTCTTCTTTGTCTCTATCCTGCAGAATGACTTGCAAGTTCCCAGGAAGGCAGGTACCAGTATGGTCAATGCCATGCTGCTTATAATGGAGAAAAACTGGGAAACATCTAAATAGCCATCGAATGCCAAAAGAGAAACATCTGTACCCTTCGGGGGGCTGGTATATAGTGGTCAAAGTGGACTGCTTTATCTGCATTATTTAATTCCTTTTTTTGGACATCATTGTCTTAATGATAGTGCCTACTCATAAAGTTGTTGTATTAGATGAATGAATATATATAAACTATTCAGTGCCTGTCCCATAGTAAGCACTCAAATAAATGTCATTGGTAGTATTTTTGTCATCTTTAGTAATAAAAACTGGTGTTACAGTAACTTCCTGTTACTCAAGAATGACATCTTCCGTCTCCTCTGTCACTGCTGTGGAAGGCCTCATGTCAACCACCTTGGCTTATGAATAGCACTACTTTTAAGTCCCTTCCTCCTCCATTCAACCAGGCTGTGAGCCCTGATTTCGGCTTTTCTGTATCAACATTACAGAGGCCCTGTTCTTTCTCAAGTCACTGAGATGGGGAGTGCCACCACAGCCACTGTGGGGAAGAAGCAATCACTGGTCATCATGCTTAGTAATGGTGCTTGCTGACGGCCAGATCACTTCTCAAAGAAAACCTGTTTTCCCCTTCTTCAGGGAAAACCTCAGGCCCTATTGGATTTGGGATGGGGATGTGGAAGAGGAGAAGAAAAGAGCTGAAGGGGCATCACATTCTTGCTTCAGACAATTTCTTAGGCTTAAGGGACAACAATTCAGCTTCTCCTTTAAAATACATGTACATTTAGCCCTGCAAGAATTTAACAGACAACCAAAAAGAAAATGCATTTTAATAGAATAATTTTTCCCCACAGCACTGATGAGGCAATGGTAAAGGGTGGCAGAAGGGCTTATTTTAGAGCTTGGTGAATTGGTGCCACCTAAAGAAGGGAATTCCACTGAATGCCCCAGTGGAGAATCATTGCTCAGGGAAACGTGGAAGAAGCACAGAGACACAGACTCAAGGACGTGTGCAGTGCCTTACTGGAGGTCTTCTGACTTTTTTTCTCTCTCTCTAGTTGCTTCCTCTAACATGCTCTCTTTTGTCTTTTTTTACTTTAGCCTTGGGACTAAGAAGACAATACATTCTAAGTAAACCCTATTAGCTTTTCCTCCCTGACACCATCTCACTGAAAACGTCTTTCACCCAGAGCACTGCTTCTGGCCTGGATGGGACTTTTATCCTCTTTCGTCTCTTTCTGAATTTGACTGAGTTGACTTCTCTCTATCCAACTCTTTCAAGAGGTTTAATCCAGAGATCTGGTCCTCTTTTCCTCCCTTTCTTCTTTCCCCGCCAGATCACTTCTTTGGGATGGGGATGTGGAAGAGGAGAAGAAAAGAGCTGAAGGGGCATCACATTCTTGCTTCAGACAATTTCTTAGGCTTAAGGGACAACAATTCAGCTCAAATTTTCCCCATGCTCAAATTTTCATTTCTATTTGGAGGTGCACGGTCTTAGAGATTATGTTGCAGACTCCACAATTCTGGCAGGTAGCTGTGGCTTGCAAAGCTCTCTTTCTCCAGCTCCATCTCCTCTGTGGGCACCCTCTGAAGTGCCAGCTACCCTGTGGACACTGAAGGGTGAGGGAACATACCATTCTCCCCATCTCCCTTTGCTAGTACAAATCTCACCAGGTCTAATTCAGTCCTACCTTTCCTAAGAAGGCTTTTGGGACCTCCCGAGCCAGAAGTGATTTCCCCTACTGTGAATTCCTGTGGCACTTAATGTCTGTATCACTTAAATGGCCCACCATCTCTGTAGTCTGTGAAGAACTGTCATGACTATCAGAGATGCTCGCAGACAAGGCTGTATGCACGTGATCAGACAAACATCTCTACCTTCTAGGTGCAATGCTAGGCATAGACAATGCAAAGATGATCAAGAAATGGTCCCTCCTTTTGTAGGCTTTTATAATCTAGGAAGGAATACACAAATTTAGCCACATTTTCTCTCTGTACACAAACCCCCTGGTTGAATCGAAGGGTGGAAATATTATCATTTGGTCCTTTTGGGGTTGATCTCACCTAATTCCTGAACTAGTAGGTGTGACTTGGGACCTTTGATAAGGTACATGTTACCTTAAGTCAGGGCAGTTTTTAGATTAATTCCTTGAGACAATTAGTTTCATGGGATAATTCCTCATGGAAATATTCCCTACTTTCTTTTCTTACCACAATAAAAAATATCAACTGGGAATGGTAGCTCATGACTGTAACCCTTTGGGAGGCCGAGGCCGAAGGATTGCTTGAGCCCAGAAGCTGAAGGACCAGTGTGAGCAACAAAGTGAGACCTCGTCTCTACAAAAAATTTAAAAAGCAGCTGGGGGTGGTGGCACGTGCCTGTGGTCCCAGCTACTCAGGAGGCCGAGGTGGGAGGATCACTTGAGCCCAGAAGGTTGAGGCTGCAGTGAGCTATGATCTCATCACTGCACTTCAGCCTGGGTGACAGAGCAAGACCATGTCTCAAAAAAAAAAAAAAAAAAATCACACATACAGAGCAAACAACCATCACAACATCATACTAAAATACAGCTTAACAGAAAATGTTTTATAAGATATATATTTCACATTAAATATGCAAACCACATCTAAACACTGAGAATCCCTGGGTGATCTGTTTCTAAAACTCACTCACTCTGCTCACAACTGCTACCCTAACACTCATAACAGTTGGACCCACTTCCAAAAGCTGGGGTTTCCAAGTTTCTTAGCTGTTCTACCTCTGCTGTATATGTGTTGATTTTGATTCTCTTCAACCTGTTGTAGAAGCAGCTATATCAAGATTTTATGTTGCTCTTACCCACAAGATGCTCCAAGTATTCAGGTTGAGCAGAAAATACCCACTGCGTCTAGAAAAACTGTGCCTCTGGATCCTCCTACTTTTAAGTCTCTTCCTCCACTTTTCAGTTTCTCTCCCTTTGGTTCAGAACTTTAAAGTCTGTGCATATTCTTTTAAAAGGTCATGTCACTGGCTAAAACTCTTCCTTTTCTGTTCCATCTTAGATATGTTCACTCTCTTTTCTTCTTTACTTGTGCTTAAGAGTCATTTCAGGTTAAGCTTGGGCCATTCTCCCAGCCTATTAATTTCAAAGGATTTGTCTCTACACATAGCATCCCTATAAGATGGCCCCCTCCCACATAAATCCCTCCTGTTCCAGCCCTTACTCATTTGTCTCCAGTTCTAAGTTATCCCTCTGGCACCAGAATTCCTGTGGGGCATTCTGATTCACTCATAGTACTTACTACTTTCTGTCTCCATTTAGAATTACTCAGCCCCATAGCTGATATCCCTATTATATTAAAAAGTCCCTGGGAACAGGATCTATGACTGACTCATATTTCTATGAGTCAGTACCTAGTACAATGCCTGGCTCATAATAGGCACTCAAAAATTTTCGTTGAATGAATTGATAATGAAAAGATGGATGGATGGATGGATGGATGGATGGATGGATGGATGGATGGATAGATGGTCAGGGAACGTGAGGCAAAATGAAAAAACTTTGGAATTAAATTCAGAAGAACGGAGTTCAGATCCAGTTCTACTCCCCTCTATATGACCTTGGATATGCCATTTTACCTCTTTGGATTTCAATTTCTCCATAAGAAAAATGAAAATATTGAGAGCTGCCATACCTAAGGTTGTTCTGAAGATCAAATCAGGCAATTTGTGAACTATAAAGAATCTTAAGAAAAATACAAGGAATCAAGTGGTGATTTGCAACCTTTCCACATGAATTGTATGTAAGGTATTTAAAGGCATCTAGATTATTTCTTAATTTGTATGTGTATACTTCCCTCCTATTACACAACACTGAATGAATGTTCTGGTACCATCATAAGAACACCATGATCCTAAGCATTGTGTTAAATACTCACAATCTTTAAGCTGAAGACTGAAAATATAAAGACAATTAAGTACATTACCATAAACCACCCTCATAAATTGTACTCCCAGTAGCAAGTAAGAATGAATTTTGAGAATTAGGTGAGTTTACAATATTGTTATCTTATATTACAAATAGATTACAACATCTTACACCACAAATTTGTGTTGAAAAGCATAAATTGTGTTTTACACTGTATTGCTTTTCTCCTTCCTCCTTGGCAAGAGTTTGATGCTTTGCTTACCATAGAAAGAACAACATGCATGTCATATCTCCCAGGCCTTATCAGCCTAGAGAGGAAGTAGGGACATGTAACCAAGCAGTAGTTCTCTGGCTCTACCTGTGATTTCCAAGCTTAGAGGACTTTTAGGGGACTTAAGCAGATACTCCCTTCTGCTCAGATCCTAGGTCTCTGGATCACTGTGCTTTTCTGCCATTGCTGGCTTGGCACCCTTCTCCTCCTGGAGTACACAACTGAAGTCCAAATGGGTGTATCTCTTACACACCTGCTGGTGACTCCAAGGATCACTAGGATCTATGTTGCAGCTCCTGGGAGGTAACCCAGGTCCAGCTCACTGACTAGTCTTCCATGATTCTATCCTTCTGAAATGTGGCCACTTCAAGCCAGGTGGAAAAATACTCCTTACCTCCAAGGCAACTCTATTCTTGTTTCCACTCCCCTTTCCAGGTCTTGGGCAAAAATTCCTGGAGCAAAAGCAAGAACCCACAGAAGAGTAAGTAAGATACGCCCTATTGTAAGTATCCCCCAATAGGGATCATTTGTCCATATCCAAGCCTGCCTCTTTCAATGGCCTCTTTTCTTAAATTAAGTTCCTTCACATGAAGATCCCTGGACAAGTGGACATACCCCACATGGACCTATCCTTCTCAATATACGAACAAGCACCAATGTATGTGTATACCTCCCTCCCATTATACAACGCTGAAAATGGGTTCATTATGTTTCAACTGTGCTAAGTAAAGGCCTTTATTCAAAGCAGATTTCGTAAGATTTTAGACACAGTGCCTTTTTAAGAATCTGCCCGTTTTCCCCTCTCGTGGGTGGAGGCATTACGGCACAGTGTTCAAGAGGATGGACTTAAGATCCAGAATGCCTGAATTCAAATTTCAACTCAACCTTGAACAAGTTTCTTACCCCTCTAGTGCTAGTTTCCTTATGCTTAAAATGGGTCTTTAATAACATATATCTCATAATGTTGTTTTGAGGATGATCAAAATTGTTTGTAAACTGGATCATAAACCAAGCCTCAAATAATTTTGAAGTAATGAATTATTCAAAGTGTGTCCTCTGGAATTAAGTTAAAAATTAATAATGTAAAATTACTTGCTTGGAAATTAGGTAACCCATGGCTCAAATAGGGTGCTCAAGTTTTCCCCACTTGTTTTTTTTCTGTTTTTTGTTTTTTGTTTTTTGAGATAGTGTCTCACTCTGTCACCCAGGCTGGAGTACAGTGGTGCAAATCTCAGCTCACTGCAACCTCCACCTCCCGGGTTTAAGTGATTCTCATGCCTCAGCCTCCCCAGTAGCCTGGATGACAGGTGCGTGCCACCATGCTCAGCTAATTTTTATATTTTTAGTAGAGACAGGGTTTTGTCATATTGGGCAGGCTGGTCTCGAACCCCTGACCTCAAGTGATCTGCCCTCCTCAGCCTCCCAAAGTGCTGGGATTATAAGCGTGAGCCACTGGGCTGGCCCCCCACTTGGTTTTCTAATATGCACTTGTACCCCTCAATTATCAGTAAAAACTGCTGAAGGGAAAAAAAAAGTTGCCCAAGTAGGGAACCTAATCAAGTATAATCTGAGTGAGAAGGCTCCCTTACCCATCACATGCAGAAAACTGAGTGAAATAGGATACTTACAATCATTGCTTGGGCTTCTTTAATCATGTAGAAGCATATGTTCACACTAAACATGAGAGTCACTCCTCTTACTACACATATTTGCACAAGCTCACAACTAGGGCGTGAATTTCTATAATCACTTTCCAAGGAAACAAGCACGTTTTGCAGATTCCTAAAAATGAGGGTTTATAAACAAAGCACAGTTTACCCAGTTCATGCTTTTCTGTCCAATAAATATGGGAATCACAAGAGGGAAAAATCAGGAGACTAAAGATGCTATTTCTGCTTCTCAGATTTACAGACTGGAGGCCTTGCAGGGCAGAAAGGTGCTATCTGACTCACCAGTGTGCTAGCTGGAGGACTGTTTAAATTTTTCCAATTTGCACTTGGCTGGGACCAGAACATTTTGTATTTGCATCCGTGCCCAGCATTTCTGTCACCACATATGATAAGGATATATCTCCTAGGAAACACGAGAGATTGATGATAAAAAGTGAATCATCACCCAGGGTTATGAATTAGCCAATCCTATTCCACACAACAAACATTTACAGAGCAATTATATTTAGTTAGACACTGGGCTAGGGCAACGGTGCCACTAAATGTAAACATCCAGGTGGCTCATTATAGAGAAAGCATTGAATCCTCACATCAATTTCACAGACAGGCTGATATCACAGATAAGACATGAACAATGGACATGGAATTGGAAGGCCTGTGTCCTAGTCCTAGCTCTGGCACTTCTTCACTGTGCATCAGCAGGTTAAGTTTGTCACACAAGGGAAAAAAGAGGAAATCATGCCTAATCCATGTCCAGCCATTTTCAGTGAGATAATGCATGTGAAAGCTGTTTTAGTAAAGTTGAGGAGGTTATTTGTGTAATACTGTGAAATGATCTCCAAGAAAGTATTGTTAATTTTTTTAGAAAGGGGTACAGAAAAAATGCTCAATTTTTGTAAAAAAAAAAAAAAAAAGATAGAGAAAGGAAGAAAGCAAGAAAAAAAGGAAGGAAGGGAGGGAAAAAGAAGGAAGGAAGGAGAAAGACAGAAGAGAGAAGGAAGGAAGAAAGGGAGAAAGGAAGGAAGGAAGGCAAGAAAGAAAGAAAGAAAGAGAAGAAGGAAAGAAAGAAGAAAGAAAGAAGGAAGGGAGAAGAAAGAAAGAAAGAGAAAGAGAGAAAGGGAAAGGGAGAGAGAGGAAGGAAGGAAGGAAGGAAGGAAGGAAGGAAGGAAGGAAGGAAGGAAGGAAGGAAGGAAAAAAGAAAAAAAGAAAGAAAGGAACATCTACGTACTGTTAAATGCATAGAATATGTTTGGAGGTAAACACAAAAAACCAGTAACACATTGCTAATCCCTGAGAAAAGCTACAGTGTCTATAATAATGAGAGAGAATTTTTACTATATATCATTTTGAACTTCCAAATTATGAACCATAGGAAGTCATTAACTATTCAAAAATAATATTCAGTTTTAAATAGATTTAAATATTAAAACAAGTATTCCTAATATGCTGAGTTTTCCTGTGAAGATCAGTGCTCTCAGTATACTGCAAAATTATATAAGTAGACTTTAGTTATTAATGTAAAATCAGTATATTAATCATGATAGGAAAACTTATTTACTAGCAGGGAACAATACCTTGACCCAACAGAGTCAAATCTCAATGGTACAGTGTCAGCTTTCAGAAATGACACAGAGGCCGGGCGCGGTGGCTCACGCCTGTAATCCCAGGACTTTGGGAGGCCGAGGCGGGCAGATCACGAGGTCAGGAGATCGAGACCATCCTGCCTAACACGGTGAAAATCCGTCTCTACTAAAAACACAAAAAATTAGCCGGGCGAGGTGGCGGGCGCCTGTAGTCCCAGCTATTCGGGAGGCTGAGGCAGGAGAATGGCATGAACCCAGGAGGCGGAGCCTGCAGTGAGCCGAGATCGCGCCACTGCACTCCAGCCTGGGCAACAGCGAGACTCCGTCTCAAAAAAAAAAAAAAAAGAAAAAGAAAAAGAAATGACATAGAGCAGAAGAGACAAATTTTTGGTCACAGCCCTTCAGGAAACCTTAAGTTTTACACTACTAGAAGTCATGGCCAGTGATGATGCTGGGGTAGACATAAGCTAAGCTCTTTTCAGCTCCCTTCTTCAAATGACTCCAAAGGAAACAGGAAGTACATGTTCAATAGTTGGTTGGATGAATGGATGGATCATCCACTCTCAACGGCTTATAAATTCAAAATCCATTAGTTCTAGTCTTTACTCTGAAATGAGAATATGGGACTGAGGCTAGAAGTATAACAGAATTCGTGGTCTTATGAGTCATTGAGGGTCCCTGTCTGTGTTCCCCAGCTCTGAAGCACTCTATTGAAAACTTCACAATTCCTGAAGAATTTCTGAAATGTCCCTAGGATAGATGCTGACTCTAATTGGAAAATTCCTTCACCCAGAATCTCCCTCTTTGATTTCCCATCTACTATTTTACTGCCATTTATTTAGGTCTTCTTTAATTTCCCTCGGTAATGTTTTATAGTTTCTATTATACAGGTTTTGCACACGTTTCTTTTAATATTTAGTATTATTTAGGATTTAGTATTTAGTTTTATACATGTTTCTTTTAATATTTAGTATTATTATAAATATATTGATATTACAAATGGCATATTTTATTTCTAATTGTGTGAGATTCATTTAATTTTATATATTAACCTTGTATTCTGCTACCTTGCTGAATTCACTTAATAGATTCAATAGTGAGAGCTTTTTGTAGATTCCTTTGTATATTCTATGTACACAATCATGTCATTTGTGAATATAGTTTTATTTTTTCTTTTCCAATCTTTTGACTGTTTTCCTTACTTTATTGTATTTGTAGTGCTTTAAATACATCATTCTGGTAGACATCATTTTTAATAAGTCTGCTATAATTCTTATTGTTCCCTGGAATGTTCTCTGAATTCATTTGGAATTTTCTCTTTATGCTTATATTTTAACAATCTGACTATGGTGCACGTAAGTATGACTTTCTCTGTATTTATCCTGCAGGGGGTGAGATTCGTGGATTTGATGATTAATGTTTTCCATAATAAAAGTTGGAAAAAGTTTTGGCCATTATTCATTTTGAATAATTTCTACTTACTTTCCTTAAGTTCACCGATCCTTTCTTTTGCAGTTCCCATTCTGCTGTTAAACAAATCCGATTTATTTTTTCTCTCAAAGAGTGTATCTCTAGTTCTAGAATTTTCATTTGGCTTTCTTCACAGTGTCCACTTTCTGCTGAGACTACTCATCTGTTCACCCATTCTTTCCTTCTTTTTCCTATAGTTCATTAAACATATTCATAAAGGTTGTTTGAAATTCTTCTCTGCTAGTTCTAACATGTGGATCATCTATGGGTCTGCTACTGACCATTTTGGTTTTTTTCTCCACATGTCTTATTTTTTATTGTATATAAAAATATAGTGGAGATTGTAAGATTTGATTTTTTTTCTAGTGCGTGCAAGCTCTTTCCTATGTCTGGTAGCTAAGGTGAGGAAGTGAGCATCCAGTATTCACTCAGCATCACGTTTCACTGGGATAGGCCTCAGCTTTATTAAGATTGAGCTTACCTTAGTTAGCCCAGTCCCTAGTTGTGCTGTAGCTGCAGCAGCAGCTACCTAACTTCTTTGCTTTTATTAGCATTTGAGCCAGGGTGGCTGGGTTTCAGTTCCATCCTTGGATTCAATGACTGCAGTCTCCTGGTTCCAGGAACCATGGAAATAATCCATGAATTCCTTCTGGTTTTCAGTTCTGCCAGTGCCGTATTAGTAGCAATTCAGGTAGGGGTTGAGGAGAAGCATCCGGCTGATCATTCAGGGCACTTTCAGAGTCCAGTGTCATACTTGCCCCACCATCACCAGTAGCTTGATGGATGTCTCTTCTCCCCAGCAAAGTCTTTTGATCTTTGTCAACTTTCTTTCTTCCCACTCATACCCAGATCCAGAGTTCGCCACCTGGAAACCCCTGTAGCTCCCTGCTTGCCGGTGAAGAACGCTTCTCTGTTGAAGTCAGTTCATCAAGGCTTCCTTACATTTACTCTTTGGTAGTCCCGTTCATACCTATGATCTTTGTTTGATCCTGGAGTTACCATGGGTATAGAAGGTTCCTATTTTTACATCTAACCAGAAGTAGATATTATACATATTTTCTCAGTCTAGAGATCCTAATATACAACTATTCTCATCTTAGAATCTATAAAATGTTTACGTAGATATAGATATATAGATATAGGTGATGTGTAGCTGAGCACTTACTCTCTACAATTCACTAAGGTGACTGACTTATTATTCTTCTTCTATAGATAAGGAAACTGAGACATGTAGAGATTAGATAACTTGCCCAGGGACCCCTAGTTAATATCCAAAAGGGCAGGGATTCAAAGTCAGGTAGTCTGATAATAGAACTCACTGTTATCCCCATGTTACACTGAGACATGGTGTCCTCATGATGGAAAGGTTAATGGCCACCACTCTAGAAGCACAGCTCACTTATTTAGCCATCATCTGTAGAATTTAATCTACTAGCTATTTTTTCCCCATTTCCAGGCTGATGTGTTATCCTGGCTGAGAACATTATGTATTTCATTAAATTACACTTTCTTTTGCACAAATCAATACAAAACCAATGATGATTTCTCCAAAAACACACACAGCATTACTGTTCCAGGTCTGTACTTTTCTTCTTCAGCATCATATCCCTGAAAGCTATAGAAGAATCACTTATTTTAACAGGAATGAACCTTTCTTTGTGACACTAATTGAAATATTGTTTGTGTTTCAGAAAATGGCTGAACAGAAAATGTGAAATGTAATTTGCTGGTGCCTTTCGCAAAGTCGCTGTCCACCTTAGGGATGTTTGGCTAGACATCTTTCGGCTCCGTTTGCTTAATTGGAGATTCAGTCATTGGATTTTTGTTGAGGGGGTGGTTAATGCCTTCCGCTTACCATGCCCTCTAGCTGCCCTGTTTAAATCACCCATCAGTCTATTTTGAACTTCTTCCCAAAATCTTTCCATGAGACCTGCCTGCTTTGAGATTAGAGCTGAAGCTGTTGTTCCTCTTGGTGTCAGTTACTTTAACGGATTTCAAATTGATATCCCACTGTGTCATTTTTATGAACAGTCATCCTCCATTCAGACAAGGCCCGCATCTTCTGGCCCTGCTTTATGCCAATAGCTTCATCTCCATTCCACTGCAGCCATCTCCTGACTCCCATGGCCACACCCAGGCCTCAGCATTACCGTTGCCTTGATTTCACCACAAAAATATTAGACTTCAAAATCTCCCAGCCTCACCACAATGTCATGAAATTTTACCTGTAGACCATAAAACCGTCCCCAAACCTTCAAGGATTCAGTATTCTCAGGACCTCACTCCTCATCTGGCTTCACTTTCTTTCCTGTCCAACCTGGATCCCAAGATCAAATTCTTCAAACCCATTGACAACTGTTTCTGCAGTTCCTCTCTCAACTATCACTCTGCTCCATCTGCTTGAATGGCTCTGAACCCTTCGGGAATCCAGCAAGCCTGTGCCTCTGCCTCTGATCCCTGACTGCCAAGAGTAGAGAAAAGCACATACCTTGCAGATTCATGACTTTGTCAGCTGAAGCCTCAGCTCATGAATCCCTTCACTGGACCCTAGTAAGTTCCCTTTTCCACTCACCATAACTTTAACATGGTCATATTTCAGCTAGGATTGTATTTGAGTACATATCACTGAAACCCAAATAACAGTGGTCCAGATATGCTAAAAGTTTATTTCTCAATCAGGTTGAAAGAAATTCAGAGGCTGACAATCCAAGTGTGCTATACAGGTACCACAAAATCATCAGAACCTAGTATATTTTTGCTCTGTCATTCTCAGCAGATGGCTTCTATCCTCAAGATGATCTCATGATCCAAAATGGCTGCCAGTGCACCAGTCATCATTTTCACATTCTAGACAGCAAGAAGGTGAAATAATAACAGAGCAAGTAGGGCACACTGAAAGCTGAGTTATCTCCACTTAAGAAGCCTTCTCGCAAGTCCCATACAGCACTTCTGTTGACATCCCACTGGCTGTAACTTAATCACATGACATTTTGTTGTAAGAAAAGCTGGGAAATGCAGTCTTTTAACCATGCTTGTTGCCAACCTAAACAAAATCAAGGCTCTTACAAGGGATGAAGAAGATAACGTATTTGGGTTAAGCCTCAAAAAGTCTCTACCACATATCCTTAGCCCCTCTAATCCCACACTTAATGCTTCTCATTTCAATCTGATGATTCAACCTTTTCACTAGGAAAGAAACCATCAAGTCTCAAATCTTCTAATATTGCTCCTTTTGACTTTCAACTTACTTGTTTATAGAACTAGCCCTCATTTCCTCCATTTCTGTGTCAGAGGAAGAATTGTCCCTACTCCTGCTCAAGGCTAAAACTTGTGCTATTAACATGTGCAGTTTATTATATGTCAAGTATACATCAATACAGCTCTTTTTAAAATTTAAAGATTTTAAACTCATAAGCTTCTTAATCCTTTACCATCTGTTTTCCATAGAAACTCACACTTTCCACCATCTACTCCCTCCATTCCTTCAATTCTTTCTTCCCTTCATTTCTTGAACATTGTTTTTTGTTTGTTTGTTTGTTTGTTTTTGTTTTCCTTTCTGGTTCTCCACCTGCTTCTTTGACCACATTTGTTCTGTCAATGTTTTGTATTAGTGTATTTTGGAGACTTCTCCAGACTCTTTATTTTGTCCTCTTCTATTCTTGGTTTCCCAGATATTCACATCAATGATTACAGTTCTATTAGAGGAAATGTTATGCTCCTGTCTTCATGTTTCAGGATAAAGAACTTCCATTCCCAAGAAAGAATAGTATTGAAAGAACCCTACTGAATGAACCCCTCCTTTCTCCCATGGGAGAAGTAATTTATCTGACTCCTATTTTTACATAGTCCCTTATAGGGGAGAGGTTGAAATGTTAAAGTCCATGGTTCCCATGTGGCCTGTCCTCTCTCTTTTTGTACCAGCCTGCCTGTGGAAATCACAAATTCTGCTCTTCTCTATATACTACACTGAACTGTAGGTCTGAGGAATAACAGGAATAACTTTAGTAATTTTAAATCTGAAGAGAGCTTTAGGAAACCCCACTGTGGCAACAGATCTAAGCCAGCCTTGTTACTATTGAAACAGATATATTGATCTCCATCTATTGGTATTTGTATTTATTTCTGTCTTGGTCCTTAACTCAGAGAGAGAAAGAGAAATATGGTCTAATACTCCCTTAAGCCCCAGTGGGCCCCAACAACCACATCTGTGCCAACTGCTCCCAGGCCCATCTCTCTGGTCCTGAATTATTATATTTTCAGCTGACCATCTGACTGTCCTCCTCACCCATCCCAGACTTCTGCTATATTATTTTTTGTTTGGCTGGTTTTAAAACATTGAGCTTTATGTAAGCATGATTTTTGAAGTTACAAAATGTATGTCTTTCTTGAGGCTCAAAATTATTAAACATTGGAGAATTGTGTAATTGATAGATTACAAAGTCGAGGAATCTCAGGGATAGGAAGAGCTAAGGAGTCATTTTTTCCATATTCTTGATCTTGAAAAATGGCACAAGTATCCACTCAGTCCCAGGAAGAGGACAAGATGAATGGCAGAACCTCACAGCAGCCTGAAACAAGAATTGGAAGACCATTAAGAACCCAGGTAGCTGCCCTTGTCTCCTTCTAAATTTTCTCATTATTCCAGGAGATATTCCCATGCCCTTCTCGTAAGTACTCCTTTTTGACTTCAGGTTGCTTTAGAAGATTTATATTACTTACAAAAATCATCTGATATTTATCACATTCTTTATACTGTTGATTATTTTCTAGGTTGTTCTTGAGCATGAAACAAATAAAGCACATATTTTTAAGTATAAAATAACATATCCACATTATCCTGCATTTACTTCCTTTTTTTCTCTCCTTCAGATTGCCTGTCCGCACCGCAGAATCTGGAAAACTTAAAAGCTGCATTTCCAGATGTTTTTGCACCTAGGGTGTAGATACAAATTTTGTCCCACCAAATAGATGCACTTGTGCAAAATACAGAAGGCAGAAATGAGGTAGAGGCCTTTTCCCTGCCCCTTTTAGACTGGTTTTCTTCTGGCCAACATTATCTTGGAGACAGGAGCTATTTCTATAGCAAGGTTGCAGTGTCTATTATCCAGCTTCGTTGTGTAGAAAGTAGTGGCAATAGAGGCAGTGGGGATTGTAGTTTCTTAATCTGGCTTTCTGATCCTTGAAGGTGTCATTCAGATTGTGCAATGCAGGTCTTGACTATGGGGTGGTGAGTTCTTCTACTTCTACTCAAAATTTCCAGGGGTAGCTTCAGAGATGGTAACTTCCATAGGGGTTAGGAGTTGCTGTGTTATTCTTGGAGTAAGGATTTTTCTCCTCCCACCTTTCCAATGACTTTTACTAGCAGCTAATTTCCTGCATTAAATCACATCTTGCATAAAATACCTAAAGTGGCTCTTTTTCCTGCACTGAACCCTAACTGATACACTATTCTATTTTCTATCCCCAGCATTAGCAAGGTTAGAATAGGATATGAATCATTTTCATGGCCAGAGACCCAGGAATGCCCAAATCCTGTTCTGCTTATCTTCCCTTCCACTGGAGTTCCTGGGGGAGCTGTCCATGAAAGGAATAATAAATAAAAATCAAAATACCACTTATTACTAGTTTTACGCAGGTTAACACCAAATGCAATGCCTGGTAAAGGTTACAATGGGCCCTTTGACCCCAAATGTCCATCTGAACATCTTATTGCTTTGGCTGGGATAGGCAGGAAGAACTGGTATAGGCAGTTGAAGAGAAGGTAAGACAACAGAGTCATCTAGAATCTGCTAATTCATCCAACTGTGAGAAGGAGGAGGGAAAAAGAAGTCTATGCATTTTAAGGTACAGTAACCTTGCTCACTAGTCCACATGGCTCAATCTACAGTCCCAAACTCTGACCACTCAAACTAACTTCTCTCCCCATGGTGGGAACAAACAAGGAGTTGAGAGAAGGGGGTTGAGCATGGAAAGAAGTCACAGGGTATATGAGAAGGGGCTGGCCAGGCAGAGCAGAGAGGTAAGAACTATTGAATATCCTCCAGTATGTGTTAGTCTCTTCTTCTGCCCCATCATGGGTGTTTTGATGAAGTGTATATTTATTTACAGTTTTGTCTGTCCCTTTGAAGTTACTTGCAGAGCTAAGACTTTCCAATTTGTACAAGCCTGTAACAGGTGAAAGTGTGTGTGTGTGAAGGAAAAGGAAGGAATGGTGATGGGGAAGCTGACCTGTGGGAGCAGTATTGATAAGTCAGAAGGTGTTGATCAATATCATCAAATGTGTATTAACTTTTCATTTTTTTATTAATACACATTGGTACATATTTATGGGGTATATTAGTCCATTCTCATGCTGCTAATAAAGACATACCCAAGACTGGGTAATTTATAAAGGAAAGAGGTTTAATTGACTCACAGTTCCGTTGGGCTTGGGAGGCCTCAGGAAACTTACAATCATGGTGGAAGGGGAAGCAAACACATACTTCTTCATATGGTGGCAGCAAGGAGAAGTGCAGAGTGAAGTGGAGGAAAAGCCCCTCATAAAACCATCAGATCTTGTAAGAACTCACTCACTATCATGAGAACAGCATGGAGGTAACCACCCCCATGATTTAATTACCTCCCACTGGGTCCCTCTCATGACATGTGGGGATTATACAAACTACAGTTCAATATGAGATTTGGGTGGGGACACAGCCAAACCATATCACGAGGTACATGTGATATTTTATTTACATGCACAGAATGTGTAATGATCAGAGTGTTTAGCATCTCCATCATCTTGAGTATTTATCATATCTATGTGTTAGGAACATTTCAAGTCCTTGCTTCCAGCTATTTTGAATTATTGCTAACTATAGTCACCCTACTCTGCTATTAAACATTAGAACTTATTCCTTCTAGCTAACTGTATGTTTTCACCCATTAACCAATCTCTCTTTATGCCCCCACACATATCCACACACTTTACAGCCTCTTTTAACTATCATTCTACTCTCTACCTCCACGAGATCCACTTTTTTAGCTCCTGCATATGAGTGAGAACATGTGATACTAGTCTTTCTGTTTCTGGTTTATTTCACTAACACAGTGGTCTCCAGTTCCATCCATGTTGCTTCAAATGACAAGATTTCATTCTTTTTTGTGGCCAAATAGTATTCCATTGTGTATATATACCACATTTTATTTATTTATCCATTGATGCACACTTAGGTTGATTCCATATCCTTGCTATGGTGTGAGTTTTTAGGATTAATTGGCCTTAATGAAAATACTAGTAGACCCCCTTCTCACTACTGCACTTGACTAA
The DNA here is from genome assembly GCF_000001405.40 of Homo sapiens. Taxonomy (NCBI): domain Eukaryota; kingdom Metazoa; phylum Chordata; class Mammalia; order Primates; family Hominidae; genus Homo; species Homo sapiens. The sequence goes on along the minus strand of NC_000001.11, from coordinate 67,870,410 downwards.
TCTTAAAAAAAAAAATACGGGTGGGGGGAGGGGGGGAGGGATAGCATTAGGAGATATACCTAATGCTAAATGACGAGTTAACGGGTGCAGCACACCAGCATGGCACATGTATACATATGTAACTAACCTGCACATTGTGCACATGTACCCTAAAATTTAAAGTATAATAATAATAAAACAAAATAAAAGAATGTTTTCATATAAAATAAATGTAATCATAGCAGATGTAAAGCAAAGAAAGGGAACAAAATAAAAAAAAAATACTACTAGAAACGCTACTAAACTACACAGATTTTTCTGGGAGGAAGAGACTGAGAGCAGAAATCCTGAATGTGCTTTCAATAGATTATTTGACTTAACCTCTCTGGAAGAAAATAAGTGACATGAACTTTAAAATGTTCTGAGTCTACTCTGTACTCTGGAAACATCTCAGAGTTTTTGCCATCTCTAAAGAGCTTCCTGACCCAAACAAATCAACACCAGCCTCTACGCTGGTAATACCTACCTCCTTAAGACATCTCTGCATATTCTCTTTATTTTTGCCTGCACTAAAGAAAAGAATATGTCTTGCTGAAAGTGAAGAAGCTACACTTCCAACTTTTTTAAAAAAAATCAAGTTGACCCTGTATTAAAATAGACAGGAGTAAGTTCATTATCCAGGAAATAAAATTCTGTTTTGTTTACCTTATTGATGGTACTGTTTGCATTGTTGAATGATCTTATGGACTCAAGTTTACAGCCAAGTACTTAACTAGCACTCTGACAACATTTAGGGCCTTACATTAATACTGTCCTTGAGAATATATTCCAAGAATTGTGTCATTTCTATAAGAGATGAAATTCCTTGGGGGCAAGAACTGTCTCATTAACACCTACATCCTTCACAGCATAGTTGTAACATAGTGGACCCTAGAAATGTAGATGAATGGAGAGATGGTGAAATGGATGGTTAAACAGATGGCTGCACAGATGGTTGGATGGATAAATATGTTATTTTTGTTATCTCAATCAACACACTCCTTTGGAAGGGCTTCAAGATGAATCTGTATAATATTTAATTCTGCTGAAAGAGAGACAGGAGTAAACATGGTTATAGTAAAACTCAGACACAACAGAACAAAACGAATTAATATTAAAGTTTTTTAAAACTTTACATTTTGAAGTTAAATGAACCCTACTTAAATGTTTTGCTTTTTATAGTTTAGAATCCTCTTTTCCATTCTTATCTTTTGTACCCTCAAACTAATGCTGTGTTAATATTAGCTCCAAGAAGGGTGTTAGAACATAGTTATGCTCTAGTCTAGAAACTAGCTACACAAAGTATGGTCCAGCAGAGCATCCCCATCTCCTAAGACCATGTTAGAAATGCAGAATCTCAGGCTTTTCCCTATACCTACTGAATCAGGATCCGTAGTTAACAAGTTCCCAGGTGATTGATATACACATTAAAGTCTCAGAAACACTGGCCTATATTCTAGATAATAATGAGTGAGAAGTAGGCTAGTCCAGAAGCCTTGACTTCTGGCATCAGACTCTTAGTCTAAACAGAGTAATAAACCGCAAGTAGTATCTTGCTAGTGGAGAAGTCTAAGACACTGAGGAACAGATTTTGATATGTTGGACTACAGAGAATAAGATTTGGAGGTAGAGGGTGAAGTCTGTGGGGACAGGGGACAGTGTGTATGTGTATGGGGTAGATGGGATAGTACTAAAATTCATTTCATGAGTAACTAGAACCCACAGGAAATTCAAGTGGCTACGATCAGCTGATTGAAGTATAATGCAAGGTCTCTACTAGGTTTCATTGCTCTGAAAGAGGATGGAAAACCCAGGATACTCACATTGTCTCCAGAGAAACCTAACTTCCCTGATATCACTGATGAGCCCTTCAACTTCAGCAGGCACAGCCAAGCCCATGTCCTGCTTGGAGAAGGAAAGAACTGAGAGTTCACTGATGAGCCATGTCAGATTTTTTAAACTTTGGCCAGAGACCAAGCAGTCTGCAGTATGCTGGGTGCTTACTTCAAAAATTTAAGAAAAATCTAGTATGGGAGGACAGAGCCTAACAGTGAGGATGTGTGGCTGGTATTAATGTCCTGAAATGACATATGGAGAAATTGAGGCAGGTAGATAAAGTGTCTTACTTGCACTAGCTTGGTGTAGTGACCCTATGCAAATCAACTCACCTGTTAACTATATATTTTTAGTTATTTTCTTAGTGGCTGCTCTAGAGATTACAATATCCATTTTATTACAATTTATTTCAGGTTAACAGTGACTTAATCCTGTTAAAACATAGCCAACTTTGCTGCAATATAGCTCTATTTCCGTGTTCTTCCTTTGTGCTATTATTGTCATCTATATGGCATCTTACATAGTTTATAAACCCAGCCATACAGTATCACAATCATTGCTTTGAACAATCTATGTCTTCTAAGCAAATTTTTATTTAAAAATTATATGTTTATACTGTCATTTATATTTGCCACTTCTAATGTCCTTCATTTCTTTCTGTGGATTCCAGTTACTGTCTGGTATCATTACCTTTTAGCCTGAAGGACTTCCTTAATACTTCCTGCAAGGCAGGTCTGCTAGCATCAAATTCTCCGTCTTTATTTGGGAATGTCTTTATTTCACCTTTATTTCTCCAAGATAGTTTTGATGAATATAGATTTTTGGTTGACCTTTTTCTTATTTCAGCGCTTTGAATGTGTATTCCATGACCTCCTGACTCCATTGTTTTTGAGAAGTCTGTTAGTTAACCATATAATTGTCTCCCTGTACATAAGTCATTTTTCTTGTTTTCAAGGTTTTCTTGGGTTTTCAACAGTTTCTCTTTGATGTATCTAAGTGTAAATGTCTTTGTATTCACCCTACTTGGTGATGGTTGCATTTCTTGAATCTCTAGATTAACTTTTTTTTTTTTTTTTGAGACAGAGTCTCGCTCCATTACCCAGGCTAGAGTGCGGTGGCACAATCTCAGCTCACTGCAATCTCCGCCTCCCAGGTTCATGCCATTCTCCTGCCTCAGCCTCCCAAGCAGCTGGGACTACAGGCGCCCGCCACCACGCCCAGCTAATTTTTTGTATTTTTAATAGAGACAGGATTTCACCGTGTTAGCCAGTATGGTCTCGATCTCCTGACCTCGCGATCCACCCGCCTCCACCTCCGCCTCCCAAAATGCTGGGTTTACAGGCGTGAGCCACTGTGGCCGGCCAGATTAATGTTTTTATTATCAAATTTGCAAATTTGTCAGCCATTATGTCTTCAAATAATTTTACTGCCTTCCTTCTCTCTCCTTGACCTCTGGGATTTTCATTACATGCATATTGACAGTTAGTGTTGCCCCACAGATCTTTGAGAGACATTTTTCTTCAATATTTCTTCTCTATGTTTTCCAGATGGGATAATTTCTATCTGCCTTCAAGTTACCGGATTCCTTATTCCATGATACCAAATTCGTTATTTATCCCATCTAGTAAATTTTTTGTTTACATTATTGTGTTTTATAACTCTAGATTTCCAGTTTTATAGTATCTATTTATGTATTTATTGAGATTCCCCATTTTTTGAATCATTTTCATCACAATTTCCTTAAATCCTTTACAGGTAGTTTCCTTTAATTCCTTGGACATGTTTATAATAGCTATTTTGAAGTCTTCGTCTGCTGAATCTATCATCTGGGTTCACTTAGAGATTATGCATATTGGCTGTGTTTTTCCTAAGTAAGGGCCGCACTTTCTGGTATTTGCACATCTCACAATTATTTTTTCAACTGGACATTAATCAAAAATTATCAAAATATATTGTAGTAACTTTGTTTTCTGGTTTATTTCTCTAAACTCTTATTGTTGATTTTTGTTTTCATTATTTATTTAGTAACTTACCCATATGTAATCTGTAGAATCTGTCTCCTCTGCAGTATGCAGTCATAGTTGTCTCTGCTTAGCTTTTTTTTTTTTTTTTTTCAGAGATAGGGTCTCACTCTGCCATCCAGGCTGGAGTGCAGTAGCATGATCATAGCTCACTGCAGCCTTGAACTCCTGGGCTCAAGCTATCCTCCCATTTTAGCCTCCCAAGTAGCTGGGGGGGCCGGGCACGGTGGCTCACACCTGTAATCCCAGCACTTTGGGAGCCTGAGGCGGGTGGATCACCTGAGGTCAGGAGTTCAAGAACAGCCTGGCCAACATGGCGAAACCCTGTCTCCACTAAAAAATACAAAAATTAGCCAGGCATGGTGGCATATGCCTGTAATCCCAGCTACTCAGGAGACTGAGGCAGGAGAATCGCTTGAACCCAGGAGGCAGAGGTTGTAGTCAAAATCATGCCATTGCACTCCAGCCTGGGTGACAAGAATGAAATTCTGTCTTTAAAGAAAAAAAAAAAGTCTACCAGATAGCTAGGACCACAGATGAATGATATTATGCCCACATAATTGTTTTATTTTATTTTTGTAGAGATAGGATCTTGCTATGTTGCCCAGGTCGGTCTGGAACTCCTGGCCTCAAGCAATCCTACTGCCTCGGCCTCCCAAAGCACTGGAAGCATTTTTCAATCCTTACTTTTACTTTTTAGTCTAGTTTTCTAGAAGTTGCTCCTGTGTCTGCATAGCTTAGTAGTCAGTAATTGGTCAGAAAATGCTCAAATGCCTTCAGCCAGTAAGACTCCTAGCTATTGTTGATGGACCTGAGTGTGGGTCAAACTTTGTGCATACAAGTTTCAGGTGGGCATCAGGTTGGCCCCAGCTTTTACTTTCCATTAGGCCCCACATGGACTTCTTGTGCATGCATATCCTCTCAGTCAACCAGTGATGTGTGGAGAGCTGATTTAATTCCCAAGGTCTTCCTGTTGAATTTCTGGCCACAATCTGAGGCTAGCAAAACTGTAGGCTCTTCTTGTGTGTTTCTAATTTTCTGATTTTACTGACGATGCCCTTCACTCTAAATCAAGTCAGTGCCTTCTGGCACAAGCAGATCTACCCTGGCAACACTATTGTGACAACAGATCTATGGTTATGAGGCATCCCCAAGCAAGAACATCACAGACTCCCATTGTTCTTACCCAGAGATAGGAACTTTGTTCTTACCCAAAGTTCAGCAAGGTTCCATGAATAAATGTTTCCCAGTTTGTTGTTGACCTCTGTCCATTCCCAGAAGACTAAAATTGTTGGTTTGGACAGTTTTCTCCAGTTGTTTTTGGGAAAGAGGATTTGTTATCTTCTCCACTCTGCATTACTGAAAGCCCTGCCTGAAATTCACTTTAAAGGGCTTTGGGTTTCTCATCAATAAAATTAGGTTTCTTCCTCCCTAGTCCTGTGCTATTTCCACTGGATCAGGGTTTCCAAATGTTTTGAGGAACTTGAGGAGTATTAAAAGATGATAGGAATGTATTACCTAAGCTTTGGGAAAGTACAACCTAACCTGACTCTAATTAGCTGAAGCATATTGGAAGGATACAAGGCAGCTCAGAGACAAGACTGCCACTAGCACAAATTTAAAAGGATGCTCCTCCCTCAAATGAAAGATGGTTCCATTAGTATATTATTGCACAACCAAGCACCATATTCAGGCCACCCGGGAAAAGTAGACACCAGGCAGGTAGCTACCTTACCTGCAAATGAAGAGAAGGGGAGGGAAAATAAATTAATGGATAAAACGAGGGGCAAGAGAATGATGGCTGTTATTTCATAAATTGAATGTATCTTTAAAATTGGCAACCCAAATATATGTGTCCCACTCATAAGAAAGTAAAACTAAAGCCTCTTGCTTGGACACACACCCTTGGTTTTCCAGGCCATACAAAGAAAGACTGCAAGGGCCCTGACAGGCAGAGCTACAGGTGCTCTGTAGAGATGGGGTCTTGCTATACACACTCGTGCCCACATTCCTGGCTGCTTGTCCATGTCCTATACTGGAACATACACACTGTTGGCAGAGACACACTCCATGCCCCCAGTCCTATTCCCTAGGCAAAGGGACTGTGTCTAGATAGGTTTCTGAGGGTATCTAAGAGCAGTGGAAGGATGACAGAAAAAACCTCATGGAATTCTTGGGGTTGCACAGGAACAAAACCAGGTTGTGAGTACATGGGCATCAACAAGTGTGCGTGTAGGTCTCCAAAGTGAATGTATATTCCTGAATGCTGGTGCAGCCTAACTTCATCAGGAACTCTCCTCTACTACTTCCAGATGCAGCCAGAAATCCCAGACTCTCCATTATCCACCGCCCCTCCCAACCCCCATTCTCACAGGAGTTAATATAGATCTACAGCATGAATGTTTTCTTTCTTTTTAGACATGGTGCCCTTAAGCAGTGCGCAGCCTGTATAATTACACAAAGGAAGGCTGGAAAACCAGAATGTTAAAAGCCCAAGAAGAAGAGTAGCTCCAAAGATCCAGGAAGCAGAGCACCATCACCAGGATAAATGAATTTCAACTATATTGAATCACTGCATTGTTCCATTCAAGATATAAATTCCAGAGAGAAAGCATTTGATTGGTCCATCTTGGGTCACATGCCTATACTTTGGCCAGGGCATGGCAAGGTCCCCTGATTAACACCCACTTCGCACTGCGTCAAATCAAGAGGCACAGTTTCCCAGGACAAAATTATGGTGCTATTCCCAGAAAAGTGAACACATACTGAGCAGGCAATAACAACAGATGGCCAACACAAAAAATTAATTAGGGATCAGATATCTTTACTGTAGGAGTAGGACTTCTCAGAGCCTTCAATTAGCAAATCTTATTTTCTGAATCCTTCATAGGAGATAAAATATAGAGCATGTCTCAATTATATTACCAAGAAACCATTTTTCGACAGAGCATTTAAAGAGACTAATGAGTTTCCCAAAAAACACTTTTAGGAAAATTAAATCCTTTCCGGTTTTCCACTAAATTGGCCTTTACAATTTTTTCTCTGGGTTTTGAGCATTTGTGTGGTTAAGTTGTTCAATGATGCATAACTTATGATATATTGTGTTTCTTTCAGTATAATTGAGCAATTTTATCATAGAAATTGCACTACTCAATTTTATTAAGAAAAATCTCCCTTTTCCTAAGATAGTAATATATTCAGATTTACAAAATATTTCAAGGCATGGATCAGACAAAACAAGCATTCAAAAAAGCACAATTACAAAATAAGAAAAAGGTGAACTGTGTTCCAAAATGAGAGGAATACAAACAATTTATCAATTTTACTGTTCCAAGTGATTGGACAGGAGCATAAAAATGCATTTAAAAATTTCTATTACCATAAAACTCATAGAGAGACATTTATTTATAGGAAGTAAAATAACAGAATGCTGCATGTAAAATAGGTAGCCTGTTAGCCCCAAAGCTAGAGCCATTTGGGAAAGAGTTCCCAGAAATTAATTAAGAGGATACACTGAAATCAACCAGACATGGGTTGAAATCCAGGACCCATCCTAAAGTAACTACGTGATCTTGAGCAAATTACAAGCTCTCTTCTGTTATCTTATTTCTAAAATAAGAACAATGACACCTACTTTAGAGGCTGGCTAACCAGTGCACTCTTCAATTAACTACTGTCTTACTATTTATAAAGTTTGGAGCAAATTAAAAATACTAATTGTCCCCTTAGCATAGCCTCCTGGCCATGTAGCATAGCTAATGAAATGAGTGTATGACAGTAAAGGGGCATGGATCTGGGTCCACCACAGAGGGACATCAACTTAGAGGCAGGGAGGCATAGAAAGGGAAATCACTGAGCAAGTCACAGGCCTCAAGTTTGTGTATCAGTCTATACAGGCAGTTATAGGACCATGATGAAGAGAAGAAACTTTTCAGTCGCTCTGGGTTCTCATCCTCACTCCATCACCCACTAACTAGCTTTGTGATCTAAGAAAAGGTACCTATCCTCTCTTTGCTTCAGTTTCATCATTTTTAAAGGTTGCATAAAAAAGTCTATCTCACTGGATAGCTGAATCAAGTGTGGCCATGTGTGTTGTGTGTTTATCTCAATGCATGGCACATAAATGCTCAGCCAATGCTAGCTAGTAATCCTATTACTAGTAGTACTAGCAGTATTGATAATAGTAGTGGAGTTTCCAGGCTTTGGCTCAGGAATAAAATGTGTGTCTCCACATGATTAAGGATTAAAAAGGAAAATAAGAGTTATCATTCTATATAGACTGGGTTATCCAGGCAGCCACTGAGGACAACAAGGCCAAGATACAGATACAGAAACAAGGTACCTGTGGGAGACCAAGTGATAATAGCAGGGTAGAAACACAGCAACTAAAACTGGGACACATAATCAGGTTTTAACTAGCATCAAGTATGGCATGATGCAATTGGGCTAAACTTGCTGACATAGAGATCAAGATGGCTCAGCTGTTGGTAGAGAACTCTGGGAAAGGCAGACAGGCAACTCATAAGCACAGAAAAGGCACAATAACTCCTTATGTATGCAGAGGTCATTTATTCAGTAGTCTCTCTCACAGAGCAAGTAAACAAAAAGGGTTTCTGAGCAATCTTTGTCATAAAGCCCACGAAACAAAACACACATCTTCTACTCAAAAGTAATTTTTCATCTCTTCATTCAGCTCCTGTTTACTGGCATTTTACATACAATTTCAATGAGCATTTGTATCTGGTTTCCTAGCCCAGGACAGATTTAGGGAGAAATGAGAAACTTCTAGTGGCAGGAATCCTGTCAAAAAGGCAAGCACTGTAAAATTATTAAAAAATAGAAACAAGTCTTATAAAGCATAGTGGTCTTGTGCCATTGCATGCAAGGGCAAATTGCCTTGGATGCCTCACAAGCCAAGAAAGCACATTATAATACTAGATGTTCATAATGATAATTTTGAGTCTTCTCATCTTAATAAATAGTATCAACGATCACCAGCGGTCAAGCCAAACATCCAGAAGTCACTATCTTTGCCTTATCCTACATATCTAATCCATCAGCAAGTCTTGATGATCATAAAGCTAAAATATGCTCTGGATCTGTCTGTACACTTCTCGCCACCATCACTGTCATAGCCCAAGCCACTGTAGTCACTTGCCTAGATCACAGCAATGGCCTCCTAGCTGGCCTCCTCAATAATCCATTCACCTTGCAAAAACCAAAGTGAGCTTTTAGAGACAAACATTGTATATGTCAATTCCCTGATTTAAAGCTCTAGGAGCTTTCTACCATCTTAAAAGGGAAATCAAGATGCAGTATTCTGTTTCTGAGACCTGTAAGATCCAACAACTGCTTTCCTGGATGCTTATGTCCTCCTCCATCCAGCCACACTCTCCTCTCTGTTCCTTGAATATGCCAAGATCACAGCTGCCGGGGACTCTCTGCATTTGTTCTTCTATCTTCCTGGCATGCTCTTCCTCCGGATCTTCACAGACACCAGATCAAATGTCACCTCCTCCCACAGGTCTCTCTGATCACCCAGTCCAAAGTAGCTGCCCCATCATTCTATCACTTTGCCTGGTCTGATGTTTTTGGATAACATTTAACACTCCCCAGATATTTCCTGTTTATTTCATTGAGCATGATCTCTCTCCCACACTGGAATGTGCTCTTGTCTCTCTCATTTGCCCTTGTGTCCCCAGTACCTAGAATAGTGCCAGGCACAAATAAATATTTAATAAGTATTTGTGAAATTATATAAATGAATAAATATGCCTCAATTTGTTTTAAAAAAAATAATAATCTTCAAACCTTAACCATTATTAGTGAATGCACATAAGTCATGTGCAGCCCCCTCATCACTAGTAAGGTCCTACTGATGGCTAAGAACCTCTCCTATGCCCAATGACAAGAGGTGTGAGTGTTTTCTCCCAGGAGAGCAGCATGATGGAGAAGGGCTTTGACAGAGGTGAATCTAGAGGGTGTGTGCAGAATAGATCAAAGGGGGACAAGCAACAGCCAAAGTGGTCAGTTAGATTCCTGTTTTATCTATCCAGGTGGAAAGTGATGAAGCCTGAATTAGTGGCAGGAAAATGAAGGAACAGATGCAAGGATCATTGTGATGAAAGAAATAACAGCATTGGAGGCTGATTAGATTTGCCGGGGGAGCCACAAGAGTGAAGGAGCTCTGGGAGCTCAAAATCTGGCAATGATCTTCTCCTACTTATATGAAGTCTGCTTCCTATAAATGACACTCTGAGTGATTTAATAAAGGAATACAGATTCATTAACTGAGATAGCAGTATGTTCCTCTTTATTTTCCTTATATAATACTTATGAAAATCGTACATTCTTTTAAAAGACTGGGAAGATTTATTTGATATCAATAAACATATCACTTAAAAATATTTAAGTAATTATATCCATGTACTATAAGAATACAATTATTTTGAATGAATTCAATGAAAAACAACAGTTTGGTCTTTTTTAATTCTTTTAACACTTTGATAACTTGACTGAATTTTTCACTTTACCTTTCCTTGGTGTGGTGTGTTCATTTTCTATTGCGGCTGTAACATTGCCGCAAACTTAGCAGCTTAAACACAGTTCTGCAGGTGAGACGTCTAGCCCAAGTCTTCTGGGCTAGCACCAAGGTGTAGGCAGGACTGCTTTCCTTGTTAGAAGCTCTAGGGGAGAATTCATCTCCTGGCTTTTTCCAGCTTCTAGAGGTCACCTACATTCCATGGCTCCTGGCCCCTTCCTCCATCTTCAGAGCCAGCAACTTTGGAGGACCCTTATAATTATAATTAGATTGGACCCACCCAGAGAATCCAGGTTAATCCCCCATCTCAAATTTTCTAACTTAATAACACTGGCAAATTCCCTTTTCCCACATAAGGTAACACATTCATAGCTTCTGGTCACTGGGGCAAGAACATCTTTGGAAGGCCATTATTCTGCCTGCCACATTTGGTATCATATATTATTGTTTTGTCTATAAGAAGTAATTTTTTCATTGTTGCCTGATCCTGTGTCATACAGCTGGATTCTCTAGTAGCTACCCACGTGAGAGGAAGAGCCAAGTGAAAATCCTGACTTGATCAATTTCATTTCCAATTTTTCAGAAAGGTATTTTAGTTCATTTGTGTAGACCTCCACCTTGTCCTAGAAAAATTTTAAGAACCCTTAAAGGTCCTTAAGAATTTGATAAGAATGATATGTCTGGTACAGGAATAACAGCTTCCTCTTCTTTCTTTCTTTTCATCTGGACTGTCTTGCAACCGCAGAGCCTAATGGTTCAGAGGGCAGGCTCTGGAGCCAGACTGGTGCAGGGAATGGACTCATGCTTGGCTCTGTCACCTACTAGCTGTGTCTTTGCACACACTACCTAATTTCTCTGTGACTCAGACTCCTCATCCACAAAATGGGAGTTAATTCATGCAACCAATAGTTACTGAGCACTTACTATGTGGGAGTATCATTCTAAGCACTGGGGATTCAGCCAGGACTCACAAGTACAACATCACTGGTTGTTAAGAAACTCCTCATCCTCACCCCTTACTTCACGTCTGCCCCAACCTTTGCCCCAGAACTCTGGACTTCCCACAATCTAGCAACCAAAGGCAGCGTGCCTGGTTCAGCAGGGGCTCTCAGGAAGCCTGCCCCAGTGCTACTGCCTGCATCTGTAGCACCTGTGCAATAGAACTGTTCAATGTGTTTTCATATGACCTGTGAATGCCGCGGTGAAAAAGAGACAGATGAAAATCCCTTTTGGATCCTGGTAGAGAAACAGACAGTGAACAATAAAGAGGGTAATAAGGGCTATGGAGAGAAATCAATCAGGGGAGGGGAAGAGTAAATGTCAAGTTTAAACAAGGCAATCAGAGAAGGCTCACTAAGAGGAAGAAGGATGGTGGCCCTTATCTCGATCACTAAGGGGCTACAATTCTAGGGGGTGATGAGTCTATGAGGCAGATATCTGGTACCCAATGAGTTGTAAAATTGCAGCTGAACCCTTTTCTTACACACACACACATGCATACACATACATGCACACACATCGTAACCAGTAGGTACTGTTGTATGAATTCAGAGCACAGATATGGCCATATCTCTTTTATTTTTTACTTAAGTACTTAAATATCCACATGCCCTATTAGCAAAAGTGGCATCTTGGGTTATCTTCATCTCTAACGAGTCCAACCATCTCCCTGGAGCTTACACAAGGCAACAATATTCAGACCTGTCCTTCAACACCAAGCTGAAAGAGAAGTGCTTCAATGGATCCAGGGCTGCATGTCTTTTGCCTGGTGTCATTGTAAGGGACTAGTTCTACCCGCTCACCTCTTCACCTGGACTCTGAGGTTGCAAGTCTTTCAGATGATACTCTCATTCTCAGAAATTCTTCCCTTCATTCTTTTCACTGTGTCCAGAAGGGATAGTGATATGAATGATGCATTGTGTCAGAACCAGCCCTACCTCACACATTTTAAGGTTTTGATCCCATATCATCAGCCTAGATATGGCTACCTTGAGGTTGATTTTTATTTTAGGAACCTCATAGGCCTTCCTTGCCCTGGTTTTAAACGGAGCCCTTCAACCTTTCTCAGAAGCTTTACCTAACCAGACCTCAGGGAATAGTTTGGAATATTGGTCCCTTGTGTCAAAATGCCTGGGGGTCTTATGCAAATCAACTGCCATCTTCCTGCAGATCAGTTTCCCAAGTTCCCGCAATCGCAATCGACAAAAGTCAGACATGTCCCAAAGCCAGAATAATGAGTGCCTATAGCCCTGTATTAAATGACTAAAGGGACCACTAAAGAAACAGCACAGCAGAGAGGAGACAAGCTTCTCTTGATAACACATATATCCAGACATTCCTAACTAAAAAGCAAAGGCTGTGGACAAAATCAGATAATGCAGTGTGAGCTATTTGTATCTGACACATTTTCATTTGATCTGTCTAAACATTATAATACATCTTACTAATTTCCTCTTTGTCTAATTTAGGTAAGCCCTGGAAGACTTGAATAATTAAGATGTGCAGACAGGAATACAAATAGTATAACTCTCTTTAAATGTGGTGGTTACCGACAGAGCTTTCAGAAAGACATTTAGATATAAAAACTCCATCACCCTCTCCTCAGTTAAAAATGTTTATTAATGCACATTGCTAGCAGATGGAAACCCTAAAGATCTCCCATCAAAAGAAGGGAGTATTGCTACTGTGGGCAAGCAATCCACAAAGTCCAAAGAAATCAACCTGTTTCCTCCCTTGTGCTGAAAAGAGGTGATAGCAGGATGCATTGTTTACTCTTAATTGCACACAACAGCATAGAGATGTAATAATTTAAAGCACATGATTTCAAAACCTGGGAGAAACACATTTCACTCATCAGAATTGTTTAATCAGTTGTGAAACACTTTGGAAAGAGGCTGATCCCTGGCCAACAATATCCATGGCCAACTTAACGTGTATATCGGTCTTCCCGGGTCTTTTAGTCTGGAGCTTATTGAAAAACCTTAACTTCCTTTCAGAGAGAACTGATTCAGATTTAGCTTTTTTGATCTCTGAACCATGTATGCCTAAGCCGGGGATAGCAGATTTTCATCTAAAGGGCCAACCTTGATCTATAATAAATTCTACATCTATATCCAGCTGACAGTCAAAAGTAATGTCTACTTGGGCACGGGAGGAGTGTGAACAGGATGAGGAGCTCATCTCTTTGCCTCAGTATTCCCAGTGTCTTGAACAGTGCCCAGCCCACAGAAGGCACTCAATAAAAAGGCATGTTGAATGAATTAATTAACTAACCTATCATCTCCAGCTTATATCTTTGAAAAAACACAGTGTTGTAGAAAGCACACTAAAAACTAGAAGATGCTTGTTCCAGGGCTACCGTAACTACATGAGTAAGTCTCCTACCACCGCATCTCAGTTTTCCCCTCTGTAAACTGAATATAGCAACATCCACCCTGATTGGTCAGCAGCTGAAATAATGCTCTCCACAAAAAGCAACCCAGCACCATGTATCTTTCTGTAGTTTGATCCATCAGTTCACATTTTCCCATCAGCTTCTCAGAATTAATCTGCCTTTTTCAGCCTGTCTGACCCTCAGGACCTTTCTAAAGACAGGTTTGATGAGTTTTCAGGTGCATGCCCCTCCCGGAAGCCAGCCTCTGGATGGAGAAAGACAATCAGAATGCCAGAAAAGGTAGTTTGCAATGAACAGACTCATCAGTGATGAAATTGTTAACTCCTGAGCAAAATTACACAGAGAACTTTACAATAACATAATAAAAGGAGAACATGAAAAATCTAAGTGCTATACAGTGACATTTAGCTACAAAAGAAGAGGCTTCCAGGGGTATCTCCTTGACAACCAAAGGCAGAGTGGAGGAAGTGTAACCTTCCATAGCCTCTTTCTGTCAAAACAAACTATGACTTCATTACATCTGTTCTAAGCGGAGGCCTCTCCGTGTTCAAAAAAAAAAAAAACAAAACATATTTATTCATTAGAACAGATTTCCTGCTCAATTTAAATGATTCAGAAATGAAAATTCTGGGAACATAGGAGAATCGGATTCAAACTATTTGGGACAGCATTGCAGCTTCACAAGGATTAGGCCCCATCTATCTCTCATTCCTTTTCTTTCACTCAAATTTCTCCACAGGCTTTGCATCCTCTTGGAATAAAATTTAAATCCTTGCAATGCTAACAAGGCCTACCTGTTCTGGCCTGGCTAACCTCCCCACCACATATGCATTTGCCACTCTGTTGTCCCCACTCACTCCACGGTAGACATACTATTCCTTAAACCTGCCAAACACAACCCCCCATCCAGACCCTTGCATCTCCTGTGCCCTCGCCCTGGAACACTTTCCACCGGAAGATTCAAAAGACTCTGACTCACTTTTTCAGTTCCCTGTTGACATGTTATCTTAACAAAAAAGACTTTCCTGGCCCTTCTATTTGAATGAGCAGCTCGCACCCCAACTCTCTTGCTTCTTTAACCCTTTTCACATTTTTCTTCTTTGCTTTTATACCATCTGACATTTTTTCCATAGGTGTATATACATATGTATTTAAACATTTATTTGCTTATGGCTTATCTCCTCTTATTAGAATGTAAGCCTTGTAAGGTAGAAACATAATTTTTATTTCACTACTCTATCCCCAGTGCCTAGAGCAGTACCTGGTGTATACTCAAACATTCCCTGAATGAATGAGTAAACCCCTCTTCCCAGCCTACCCTTTCATGGTATTCAGGCACTCTTCCTCACATACATCATGCATTGCACCTCCATGCTTATTGCTGTTCCTCCCCCTGAAATACATTTTCCCTTATTTCTGGATCCCAGAGTAATTTCTTTTTTATTTGTTTGCTTGTTTTGAGACAGGGTCTTGCTCCGTCACCCAGGCTAGAATGCAGTGGTGCCATCATAGCTCACTGCAGCCTTTAACTTCTGGGCTCAAGTGATCCTCCCACCTCAGCCTCCAGAGTAGATAAGACTATAGGTGTGCATTATCATGCTGGCTAATTTAAAAAAATATATAGAGTTGGGGGTCTTGCTATGTTGCCTAGGCTGCCAAGAGGGATTTCTGTCCAGCACACACAAGAGCTGAACTGATTGGGAGGAATGGGCAGGAGGTAGGAA
This sequence comes from Homo sapiens, assembly GCF_000001405.40. Classification (NCBI taxonomy): domain Eukaryota; kingdom Metazoa; phylum Chordata; class Mammalia; order Primates; family Hominidae; genus Homo; species Homo sapiens. The sequence goes on along the minus strand of NC_000001.11, from coordinate 67,854,876 downwards.
GGGGGGAACTTTCCAGAAAAAGATTGCAGCAGAAAACAGTTATAATGGTGAACACAGGGAGAATTGGAAGAATAATTTACCATGGAGAAGGAGAAGGGAAAGAGTCAGAGGGGAGACACCAAGCAACCATCTCCACCAAACTCAGCCTTGTGGCTCAGACCTGCATTTAAGAGTCGGCAGGGTTGCCATCGTCTAGAACCTAGTCCTCCCTCCTCTCCATTCTTCTCATATTTCCATCCATCCAAATCTTTCTTGCTGAGATCAACATAAATGCCCACGCTGTGGCTCCTCCACTCAGCCCTTCAGAGTCATGTACCCCTGCAGCTTTAGTGAGGGCCTCCACTCAGTGTTCATGAAACCCTACTCTGTATTTGAGAAAGATTTGTGGAGTTTTCCTACTTATTTTTTTCTCCAACTAGATAATAAACTCCTTGAAAAGCGAAGATGTACAGACTTTTGAAATATGTTTCAATTTTGACTTCAATACTGACTACCATATTTCATTGAATCTAAGCTAATATAAGATACATTATTTTATATACCACTAAAAACAGAAAAATACTTCCACTTGATTGTAAGACACTGCCAATTGTAAAAAGCATCCTGATTTCAGAGATCTGAGAATGTGAAAAGGGAGCATAGAAGAATTGATGGAAGGTATGTGGTCTTAGACATGTGGTAAGCCTCTCTGAACTTCAGACTCGCCATTCATGAAATGAAAACCATACTTTTTCATTCATTCAGCAAATGTGTATTGAGTATTGTGTATTGAGTGCTTAGGTGTTGGGAACTTTTTAAGTTGAAAGGAATAGTAACTGGCTCTGGTTAACATAAGCGAAAGAGGATTTACTGGAAGGATACTGGGAGCTCAGAGAAACAGGGGCTGGAGCAGCAGGCTTGGTGATGGCAGGAAGCAGGGGAGCACCAAGGCCTGGGAAATGGAAACCATGGCAACAGCTCTCACCAGGAGGGCTCTCTGGTGAGGACAGAGATGCTGGGATTCAACTCATTCTCTTGTCCATGGATAACTCAGGAGCCTCTGATGGACGCAGCCTGCCCCCTGGTGTAGGGGTCTGGGGCAGCATCTGCTTGCTTTGGCTTCCACAGTAGGAGGCAAACACAGAATTTGCCATCCCATCAAGACCACACACAACAGAAGAGAGGAAATTCCCCAAAGTGATTTGGAACATTAGGAAGGTGAGAAAGGGAAATGGACAATATGTGGTCAAAACAGAAACCAAAAGAGATAAATTGCATAACATACTCCTAATATGTGCCAGCCACTATACCCCCAACAGTCATGGTCCCCGTTCTTATAGGGGTTACTGTTACTATCCAGTGAAAGAGGCAAATGAGAAACAAAAAGAGAGATAAAGAGAGAAAGAGAGAAGGAAGGGAAGGGAAGGGAAGGGAAGGAAGAAAAGAGAGAGGGAGGGAGGGAGGGAAAAATCCAGATACTGTCAATGAAGAAAAGACTGCTACGGGATAGAATAACTGGGGCTACTTGGCTAAATCCAGTTGCTCATTTTCAGTCCTCATTTTACATAAAACATCAACAGCTTTTGACACAGTTGATCACTCCCTCTCTGTGAAACACTCTCTTCATGCAGCTCTGGGGAAATCATGTCCTCATGGTTTCTCCTCCTTCGCCAGTTGTTCCTTCTCTTTGATGCATCCTGCCTTCATTTCCCCACCCTTAAGTCCTGGAGGGCCCCAGGGCTCAGGCCTCAGACTCCCACTTTATCTGTACTTGCTCCCTTGGTGAGTGCCTCCAATCTCAAGGTTTTAAATATCGGCATACTGAAGATGGCCAACTTTATTTATCCAGCCAGAACCCCTACACTGAACCCCAGACTCGTGTATCCAACTGAAGTCTCAACATCTCCATGGAGATGTCTAACTTAAAGTTCAAACTTATGTCTAAATCTCTTCCTCCACTTACCTCTGCCAAACCTGCCTGACCCATAGTCTTCTCATTCAGGAAACAGCAACTCCATCCTTCCAGAAACCTTGGTGTTATCTTTCGCTCCTGTCTTTCTCTCACCTCTCTCAGCTAATCCACTAGCAATCCCTGTTGGCTCGAGATATAATCACCTCTCACACCTCCACCACTGTCCCGCTGATCCAAGCCATCCTCATCTCTCCCGGACTAGTGTCATAGCCTCCTAATTGATCTCCCTGCTTCTACCCTTGCCCTCTATATTCTAACTTCAACACAATGCCTTGAGTGATGCTTAGATATCTAGATCAGATCATGTACCCCTCCTCAAAATCTCATGATGGCCCCGAAGACCTCAATCTTCCTCCTAACCTCTCCATCTTATTTCCTGGCTGTCTCATTCATTTGCTCTGCTCTAGCATGTTTCTTCCTCTAGGTTTTTGCAGCTGTCCTTGCCTGTTCCCAGAATTCTCTTTCATCAAGCTATCCACAGAGCTTCCTCTCTCACCTTCTTCAGGTCTTTACCAAAATACCATCATCTCAATCAGGCACTCCCTCACCACTATATTTAAATTAGCAACAATACCACCTCCAAACACACACTCACACATAATCCCCTTTCCAGTTCCCGTTTTATTTTCTCCATGCCACTCATCACTATCTGGTATATTATATATTTTATCTATGTGTGTGCGCCCCACTAAAACAGAAAATGCATGAGGGCAGGGATTTCCTTCACAACTTACAACACTGCCTTGCACATATTAATAGTATGCTCTCAGTAGAAATTTGTTGAATGAGCCAAGTTGCCTGATATTTCTGAGCATCAGTTGAAGAAAAATGTAGGAAACAACCCTGCCTACAATATAAAATTTACATAAAAGGCCAATGAAATAGTGTGCCTTATAAACTGAGCTACGCTGTGCACGTGTGAGGAAGAATGACAACCTGCTTTCCACATGACCACATTTTAACACCCTGCTCGCTTAGCAATCTCTCACATAGACTGAAAACATGAACATGTTTTGCTACTCGCAATACAGGTGAAAGACCAAAAAAACTGTTTCCTTCCCTCTACGATAAAGGTACATTTCCTATCCATTTCTCACCATACCCTTATTACCCTCCCCTCGCAAGCCCCCACATGAAATAGAAAGCCCCCACTGAAAATCAATGTGATTAGATAATAATAGTATTAATTAGGTCAGACACGGTGGCTCATGCCTGTAATCCCAGCACATTGGGAGGCCAAGGCAAGAGGATCCTTGTGCCCAGGAGTTTGACACCAGCCTGGGCAACACAGGGAGATCTTGTCTCTACAAAAAAAAAAAAAAATTTTCCAGGTGTGGTGGCATGCACCTGTGGTCCCAGCTACTCGAGAGACTGAGACGGGAGGATCACTTCAGCCCAGGGAGGTCAAGGCACCAGTGAGCCATGATTGTGCCACTGCACTTGAGCCTGGGTGACAGAGCAGACCCTGTCACAAAATATATATATATATATATATATATATAGTGTTAATTGGTAACATTTCTGAAAACCTATTTTTAAAGCACCCAAATATTTTAGACTTTGATAAAAGAAAGTGAAGTATCTGGTGGCCTGAGCTAGTAGGAAAGGGGGAAGAAGATAAATACAGTGGGGACAGCTGGCTGGCTTTGCTGTATAAATATTCCCTGTGGCTGAATCACAGGCACTAGCATCAAGTCAACTTCTTCCCTAGGTAAATCTGTGCTATATTCATACTGTGTGAAGCTCCAAACAAAATGAGTGCTTGGACCTATCCCACCTGAAAGGCTGGGAATACATGATCATAGCAGATAGCAATTGTACATGTTCCAATAGATGAGGAAAAGCTACTAAATAGAGAGTAATTTAATTCATTGCAGTGTATTAGGAGGGGGCTGATTTTCCGGCAGCCACATTCCATTCAGGAGCTTCCTCCCTCTCCATCTTCATGGCTTGCCTGTCCAATCAGACCAGTCAATAGCAGAAAGACTCCATCTATGTCAATGCAGTTGGGAGGAAGGATTATCAAGGAGGAGCACCTTCCAGGAGCCAAGTACTAAGAGAACCTGAAAGGGAGTCAGTCATCCTCTCATGACTCATGTGCTTCACTGATTAGATCATGCCTGGCAGGCTGCCCACAACTAAGGCTGGCAAAGAATAGAGTCTTGGAGCAGGGAAAGTGGGGATAAGGGTCACTGTGGAAATAATAATAAGAGCTACCATGTATTAAGTGCTTACTTTGTCCCAGGACTGTGCTAGATACATTATAGGCATGCATTATCTAAGTTCACACTCACACCCCAAAGAAGTTGGTACTAATACGTATACAACATTCTACAGATGAAGAAAGAGGCTCAGAGAGGTTATCTAAGGCTTCCAATGTTACTCAGTTGCTTGCACTAAGTACCTTTAGGATTAAAGGGCTTTTCATGATATGATATAAGTCCTAGATAGTACATGCACATAGGTACACACTGACACACATGAGCCTTCTTGTAAGAGGCCACAGAAGGATCTTGCTCATAAAACTGCCTCCACCTATGCATATTAAGAGAAGAACTCAGCAGGGTGGGCTGCACTTTCAGTGATTTTGACTAGACTCTGGTTGTGTGGCCCTCAAGAATCCACTTTGATGTAGCTAAGAAGGTATGGCTTCTAAATCTGGGCTTTTTTTTAAAGAAATGTTGCCACCTGGTGGACACCCAGCCAATACTTTTAAAAAATATTCATGAGCAATTTTAAAAACAAAGGGAAGGGTGATGTATGTTGAACTTGAGTTGTCTCTTTCAGCCTCAGCTATTTCAGCCTCAGCTGTAGGACTCTTGTTTGTACTATGCAATTAAATAGGGTTTATTCGTTTCGTAGACATGCATCAGGCTTCAGAATTTATGTTCACCTAAAAATAGGACTGTTATCCACTGCCGACCTCTCCATACAAACCAAGTCCTCCTCTTGTTTCCACCATCTTGCTAAAGTCACCTCCATCAACCAGGTTTTTCAATCAAGGAACCTGGGAGTCATTCTTGATACTTCCATCTTCCTCTCCCTCCTCTCCTGCACAGCTTCTCATCATGTCTTGTCAACTCTATCTCCAAAATACACCTCAGAACTATCCACTTCTCTGTCCATCCCCTGGTACCATCTCTTGCTTGGACTAATACAATTTCTCTGTTTCTGGTCTGGGCCCTACCCATACTGCTAAACTCACCTCATCTCACTCCTCCACTGCTACTCTACATTCCAGCTACACTACCCTTCTTTGGGTTTCTACAACATCCTCAGCTCTTTCCTGCCTCAGGATCTTCACACGTGCTGCTCTCTTGGGCTGAGTTCCTCTTGCTCCCACTGCACTTGAATATTACCTCCCCATTTTTCAGGTAAAATTTGAAAATTCTTGACTCTCAATATAAATTGAGTCTCCATTATTCTTTTTTTTATGACATTTGGTTTTTTTGTTTGGTTGTTTTTTTCTTTCAGGGCACATACTTTTTGTGTTTGTTTTATATACTTTTGTGTGTTTATTTTTTCTAAGTTTTCTAACTCCTCACCCACTTCAAGATTATAAGTTCCATGAGGAAAACAGCCACATCTGTTCAATTTACCTTTGTACCCCTGGTGCCTAGCACAGAGTGTTATATACAGGGGTTTTTTTTTTTTTTAAGGTAGAGAGATAGAAATCATGCTATGAACAATATTACTACTATTATGAATACTACTACTACTACCCCCTACATTCTTTTAACACATGGTTTATTAAAAATCCTTGTTGGCATTTCACCAGAGGTACACAGATAGAAAATGCACATAAGAAGATGTTCAACATTGTTAGGGAATTGCAAATTTAAAACATGATGAGATACTATTACACTTCTATCAAAATGGCTAAAATAAAAAATAATGACAACAACACATGCTGATGAGGATGCAGAGAAACTATATCATCCACAAATTACTGATGGGAATGTAAAATGTTTCAGCAATGCTGAAAAACAGTTGGCAATTTCTTTTAAACTCAACATGCAACTACCATACCCAGTAACGTACTCAGATACATTTGTCCCAGAGAAATTAAGACTTACGTTCATACAAAAACCTGTACACAGATGTTTATGGCAGCTCTGTTGATAACAGTCAAAAAACAGAAATAGTCCATATATCATTCAGTGAGTGAATGGTTAAACAAACTTTAGTGCATCCATCCCATGGAATACTACTCAACAATAAAAAAGGAATCAACTGTTGATAAACACAACAACTTGGATAAATCTCCAGAGAATTGTGTAGAGTGAAAAAAAAAGCCTGTTTCCCAAAGGTTACATAATGTATTATTCCTTTTTCATAACAACTTTTGAAGTGACAAAATTTTAGAAATGAAGAACAGATTACTGATTGCCAGGGTTTCAGGACATGGTGGAAGGGAGTGTGATTATAAAAAGAAACATTACGAATACTTGTGATGATGTAAATGTTTTATATCTTGACTATATTAGCATCAATGTCCTGGTCATAATATTATACTACAGCTTTGCAAAAGTCACCACTGGGGAAAACCAGGAAAAGAGCACATGAGATCTTTTTATATTATTTCTCACAATTGTGTGCTATAAGATAAAAAATTTTTAACTCAATAAAAATTTCAATTAAAAAATATTTTAATGCTTTGCTGGTGACAAAAAAAATAAAATAAAAAAGGCCGAGTGGCTCATGCCTGTAATTCCAGCACTTTGGGAGGCCAAGGTGGGAGGATCGCTTGAAGCCAGGAGTTCAAGATCAGCCCGGGCAACATAGTGAGAACTTATCGCCATTAAAAAAAAAAAAAAAAATCCAAAGAGGCTTCCATACGTGGTGCCCCTGTCTTAGCGGTATAAGGTGCCATTTGTGGCAACTTGTCCTGTCTGTGAGGGGTACCCCAGCACACTCCAGTTCCTAGAAATTTCACTACAATGGCAGGCTCCTGAAGTTTTGTGGAGTTTATTTCCCACCTTCTGGCCCTCTTTGTTGTATCAAAAGAGCTTAAGTTATTTGCACTTCCTACAGAAGTTCACTATATTAATGAGAGAAACGATTTGACAAACTGTCTTTTTTCTCATCCTAAGTGCTTCTATCACTCAAATCTCCACATGCTAAAACAGTGCCCATCTCCAACATTGGCAGTAGCATGAGCCATACACCCTCACAACATCCAGACATACTGGCCTTTTGTATTGAGGACACAGGAAAGAGATGTGGAAAAACATTTCCCCTAAAGCGTGAGCAGTGTTAGTCATGAAAGCACATGTTTATGAATGCAGGTTGTACTAAGCCAGGACTGAGCATCAGATTCAAGTGAAAGAGGTCCTTGTGCATTCCTTAAGACATTTCCAAAGGTTTCTCCACTCATTCATCTTGATTAGTGGGCTCTGTAAGGCATGGGGTCCACGCTAAAGAGCCATGATAGAGGAGACCTCTCTTTCCTGAGTCTAATCTCAGTACTATCTGGCAGGAAACAGATCATTAATTTGATGAAAGTTTAATAGTGGCTACTTACAAAGATTGGACAGTGTTCAGGGAAACCAGCAAATAATAACGTAGTATCTAGAAGCTAGCAAGAAGGGGAACCATTACCACCCTAGGCCTGAAGAGGTAAGGGTTACCAGAAGAGGGGGAGTTTAGCTGTGTGGAGACGGCCATCTGATAGGAGCTATGGCTTTCACTGGGGAGATGCAGTGAACCCACTGACACCCAGCTGGGAAGAAATTAGGGCAATAAATATCCCAATCTCTTATTCTTTGATTTCCTCCCATTGGCCAAACCCTGCCAGAAGCTAGAGGACAAGGGAGCCCATTGGTGCAGTCCACGCTGGTCAGGCTGCTGGGGCACAGAGCAGGATCTAGTGGGGAAAACAAGATTTAGGGCACAGTCAATTTCTTTAAAATCTAGAAATAATTAAATAAATAAATCAAGTCCCTAAACCTCTGTGACAGCAAGAAATCCAACCACCCTTCTAAAAAAGTACTGCCTTCCAAAAAAGGATTCCTGAAGAAGACGTAGGCTTCCTGATAAAGATACACATCTTTTGTTAGCACTTGCCACCTTGCATTCAAGATAGCTTCCCCATCCAGGTTTGCTTGTCTCTTCTTACCATCTCATAACTGCTGCTATAGGCTATTAGCTACTGTCTTGACTTGCACTGTCTTGTCTTGTCTTGTACTGGTACACTGTATTGGTATCTCAACTACAGACTCAACTTTTCCTTTCCTTCCCTTAGTCACTAGCCTGATGCTGGGCTGTAGTGATTAACCAGCCTCACTAAAGACTTGAGGATATCTTGGGGTAATTATGATGCACTGCAAGAGTACTACTCAAAACCCAATGTTGGACATTGCTGCTCCTGGTATCCATAGACCAATCCCTGGTAACAGTCAAAGCCTCCTTAGCTGTCACTGATTTGAACCTCAGTACTGGACCTGCTTCCATTAAGATCAAAGTGTTCCCTTCAATTCTCCTCAGAGTCTTTGTCTTTCCCTAACATCGCATCTTTGGCACTACCTTCATACCACTCACAGGAAAATAAGACTCAGTTAACTTCAAAATAATCTCTCTACCCAAGAAGAGTATCTTTTAAATTTTATCATCCTTTGCAGTTTTACTAAACTGTGCATCTTGTCTCCACCAGTCCTGTCTAATCTAGGCCCTAATTCTTGCTCTATGTAATAACAAAGGGCCACTTATATGTTTTACAAATAAGAACAGCTTTTTGCTCCAAAATTATGTCAACAAGTCTCCTAGATGAGTGTTTTCAAATTAAGGGTCCTGACTCATTAGTGGGTCAAGTAACCCTGAGTGGGTTGCAATCAGCATCGATTTAAAAGATAAAATAGAAGAAAAAAACATCTGAATGCATTATAAACAGAAAAAAATAGGCTGTGCGCATTGGCTCACGCCTGTAATCCCAGCACTTTGGGAGGCTGAGGCAGGTGGATAACAAGGTCAGGAGATTGAAACCATCCTGGCAAACACGGTGAAACCCTGTCTCTACTAAAATACAAAAAATTAGCCAGGCGTGGTGGTGCGTGCCTGTAATTCCAGCTGCTCGGGAGGCTGAGGCAGGGGAACTGCTTGAACCCAGGAGGCAGAGGTTGCAGTTAGCCAAGGTCGCAGTGAGCCAAGATCACGCCACTGCACTCCAGCCTGGTGACGGAGCAAGATTCCATCTCAAAAAATAAATAAACATATAAATAAACAGAAAAAATAATTCAGATAATTCAATAGTAAAAAAAAAAAAAGTTGTTTTGAATTTAGAATACAGAACTAGCCATAAGCAATGTTTAAATTTTTATCTAAATAGAAATGTTAAGAAGGGAACCTATTTTCTCTTCTCACACTTCCACCTTAACCCATAGAAAAAAGAACGCTTCCACCCAGCTTCTAGGAGAAAGAACATTTCTGCCCATACTTCTAGAGACCAACTCACAGATCCCCAAGGAGGAAGCAAGAGGATGCCAATCCCAGTGGATGGCACCTGGCTCACACTGGATCACTTCCTGATGCCTGCCTTGTCTGTGTCCTGTGTCCTCTCCTACTACATGCACCCATGTGCAGTGGGCCCATTTCCCCATCCTGTTCCCCTATGAGAATCTCACCTAGACACAAGCTGTCTCCTTGAGGGAGGCCTAGCAATACTTGTGCTCTCTGCCCAGCTTTCTGGTCTGCAGTGGTGTGGGTGAGGCAAGCCAGCCTTTCTCTACTGCACAGCTGGTTAGGTCAGTGGATTAGAACCTGCTGTGCAGGCCTAACCATTCTAGACTCAGCCAGTCCCCACTCAAGGGAGCAGAAAACTCCATGTTGGCTTCCGGACTCAACCCTCCAGCACAGCTAACAAGACAATCTCTGCCATTCTATCAAATACATCTGGTTTTTTGTCTTGTAATTAGCTATTGATCTTTAGATAAGTGGCTCCCTCAGCAGGGAGCCTTAAAGGTTTGGGGTACCAAACCCCACTTCAAACTCCTAATGAGGAATACATATAATTCTAATAATAAATAAAACATGTTCATTTCATGAATATTTTTATAATTTCACTCATTTGCTATAAGAATTTTAGCAAGTTTTTACTCTCTCTTAGCTTAGATTTTATAAAATAAGGTAGTAAGACTTGATATCTCATCCATAAAGTGGAAATGATACCTCATAAGGTGATAATAGAGATTTCATAAGGCAATGCGTATAAAGCTCTTAGGATAGTGCCTTGCACACAGTAAGCGTTTAATGTTTGCCGCTAGTGTTCCTATCATTTCAATTCTTTAAAAAACACTCTTTTATTCTGTAAATCACAATACATGCATGCAATGACTAGAAATTTAGTCAAAAACATTCTCTCTACATTGATTTAAAATAAGAGATAACGTGAAAGTCAGTAATAGAAGAGAAAATAAAAATGTAATTTGAGGGAGAAGAAAGTTAAATAAAACATGTTCTAAGAACAAAGAGAAAGCAAGTCAATGAGAGAGAGAAAGGAAGAAAATGAGCCATAATACTGGGAGGCCTAGAAACATTGATGCTTATGTACCTTTCTGTGATCTCATCCTAAATTCAGACAATACATCTTGACAAAGATGTGACTATAAGAAATCAGAATCTGATACTACCATTACCCAGGCTGCCCCCGCTTTTTACCCGTCAAGCAAATAACTTTGTGCCTATATAGAAAGTTGCTGGCACATGGTTAAACACAGTTGACCAAACACAGGATTATCTCTATTCCTCCTTTTAAAAAAAAATCCCATTAAAATAACATTAAATGAAAAACAAAAAGGTATAAGTCTATAGAAGGAGGAAAATGAGAGAGGACCAGAGCAGACAAGAGATGGAAAGTAGATGAACATCCAAGTGGCAAGGCAACTGGCTTAGCAGAACAAGGAAAACTGAAATCCAAATATCTAGAATATTTAGTAATCTGAATTACTAAATGTCTCTTTAGTAATTCAGTCTGTTAGGGGGAATGCCAACAAAAGCAAGCTAGCTTATTCCACTAAAACCCAGAAAGGCTCAGAGATTAGAAGCATCAGGCACTTTTGAAAATAGGAATGTAGGCTGAAGCTGAAAACAGGAGGTGTCTTAGTCTGTTTTATGTTGCTATAAAGGAATACCTGGGGCTGGGTAATTTATAAAGAAAAAAGGTTTAGTTGCTCACAATTCTGATGACTGGAAGGTTCAAGATTGGGGATCTGCTTCTGGTGAGGGCCTCAGGCTGAATACAGAGACCCCATAACGAGAGAGGAGGCAAGAGAAGTTGGGGGAGGTGCCAGGCTCTTTTTAACAACCAGGTCTCATGGGAACTAATAGGGAGGGAACTTACTCATTCCCAAGGAGGGTATTAATCTATTCATGAGGAATCCACCCCCATGATCCAAACACCTCCCATTAGACCCCACCTCCAACATTGAGGATCCAATTTCAACATGAGGTTTGGAAGGATCAAATATCCAAACCATAGCAGGAAGACTGGTTGAAAGTCTTTATGAGGGCCCCTTGGAACTCCAGATTTCTGCTACTTCCTTTTGCAGCCAGCCACTCATCCCTCTCTTAACCCTGGCAGAACACTGGACATGTATCCTATTAGAATGTAAGCTCCATGAGGACAGGGAGTTTCATCTGTTTTGATTGCTAGTGTATCCCCAAGCACCTAGAACTGTTCCTGGCACAAAGTATTAAGGGGACACTCAATACATATTTAATGAATAAGTGAATGATCAAACAGTAGAATACAGAGTACTGTACTGAAAACAAGAAGATTAAGTGAATATCTGCCTTAAAAACAAGCAAAAACCATGATGAGACATCCAGACTCCTGGAAGGCTGGCAGCCAGGCTTAAATCCTCCCCTTAACCCCAAGTGGGGTATCTGATCTCCTTTTGGGGGTATCTGACTAGCCCTAGAGAAGAAATCTGTAGAAACCAATAGAGTTCTGAAGACAAAATAGCCAAATCTCTGCTCTATTACCTATTGTCACCACTCCGTAAGATCTGGACACACAAAGGGGTTCCAATTAGAATCAGCCAAGAATCAGTCAACATTTAAGCAAAGCTGCTAACATGAAAGACACAGATAAAAAGAAGGTTTTAAAACACACAGAAGAAAGGAAATGCAAAAGAAACAATAAAGACAATAGAAAGAACAGGAAAAAAGTCCAATATATAATTAATACTTTCAAAGAGATGAGAAGATACCATACCCATATAACCAGAATATTTACTATTAAAAAATAAAGTATATATGTGGAATCAATCAGTGGGGCTGAAGAAGTAGGTATTCAGAGAATAAAAGTTCTTTTTTAAAATGCCAAGAAGACAAAACAATTGTCAAGAAAAATAGACACTATTAGGATGTATATTTCTTAGAGAAGAAATCTATAACTTAGGAAGAAAATTGTAGACCACCATGACATTTAATTTGAAGAATTCATAAGTATTCTTCCTACATAGAGTATACAGTACCATTAAAATAACACAAAAATAAATTTTATATGTTTTGTAAGGACACATGCAAATAAAAAGATGTATATAAAAATTAGATATACATTAGACTTAGAATGTCTATGAGCAGGAAAGGAATGGGGTAGGAACAGCATAAAAAGGATATGAATGAAAACCATCAGCATAAACATCCTTGGGAGAGAAATAGCAGATCTAAGCCTTGAAAAAAAAAAAAAAAAAAGAAAACCATCAATCAATCAATCAAATAAGAGATGGCCATTGCACAGATCAAAAATGAGCATAAGTCACCAACTGAGAAAAATGATTAGCTGAAGCTTTTGCACCTGAGTTAAAAGAGAGAGTGCTATTGCATTATTCCCAATTCTTTTGGATGCAAAGGACAGAAACTCCACTTGTGCTAGCCTGAGCACACTGAAAGCAATGGACTGGCTTACTGAAAAACCCAGGGGTAGTCCTGCTGCAGGTAGAGTTGGAGCCAGGTATTCAGATAATGTGTACAACTCTCAGGTCTGCTATCCCAAAACTTACAGAAGTAAAATAACCTTTTTACTTTGTTCATGAGTGTGTGTTGCATGTGCATGTGTGTGTGTGTGTTAGGAATTCAGTAAAGGCTCAACTGAGCAGTTCATTTCTAGTCTACTTGGTGTCAGATGGGGAGGCCAGGGCCAAAGGTTCCTCTTCCAAAATATCTTCTTCATTCATGTGTCTGGCACTTTGGTGTTCCCTGCCCCAACCCCTACACACAGACACACCCCACACAGTGTATTGTAGATTCATTTTTACTCTATTGCTACTTCTGTAAACTACTTTGATGGTAAATAACTTCATATATTTAAAGTTTGTTATTTCTATAATCTCTTTAGCAATTCAGTCTGCTAACATGGCACCTAGGAAATATTCATGGCCTCGTACTTGTTCTGGGTCCATAATTTAGTGGACCTGAGAGGCTTCACAGAGAACTAAATATATACAAATCTTGGCTGAGAGCAGACTCATGTTCTTCTGAAATCGGAAGCCCTGTAGCCATATTCAGTGCAGTACACAATTACAATGTGCTACATAAATGTGGGGACTAACAAACAATTGCAGACTGGATTTTGAATCTACATAGAAAAACTCCCTTCTTTTCAACTTCAGCTTGCTGCAAAAGTTTTCTTATACTTAAGCCTCAGAGGTGTTGAGGTTTTGTTTGTTTTGCAGAAGAAAGAGGCACAATTAGAGGTGCCTCACAGGAAGAGTAAGCCAGCCTTAACTACAGGGAATTCAGAGATGAGATCTGTGATGTCCAAACATTTTTTATTGTATACTTCATCGGTAAGGACTTCGAGCATGTAGTCCTAATATATGTGTCTTTGTAAATTATATACCTGACTTACCATAATAACAAAAGGAAAAGACAAAAATTAAATGTAGCTGTGATTTCTAAAATTTTTTCCTGTACCTCAGAGGACTGTCTTGGAGACTAGAGTCAGAAAAAACAGTAGACAGGCTTTTGCAATTACCAAGTGAGGTTTTTAAGAAAATTGTTCAATTGTCAAGTCCATCTTTAGGATACTGACTAAATAATTTAAGGATGTTGATAGAAACAGTACCCTATCCTTTCCTTTTTTGGGAAGGAGGAGTAGGCACGTTATTATGGGATAGGAGGGCTGAACACTGCAGTATCCAGTGTTAGCAGTCTAAGAAAAGAGGTCAGGGTGGCAATTCCATTGTGAGACATAATTAATATTTGTTAAGGGCTTAGAGCCAATCAGATTAAGAGGAAGGGTCAAAATCATGATTCATTATGACCGCCATGTTCCTGAATTCCAAGCAGATTCCAAAAATGTGACCTAATCTGCCAAGAGCTTTGGCAGATTTACAGACAGACTAGCTTGAGTAAAGTCACCAGCATTGCAGTGCTCAAGATCCTCACTTTGCAATTGAATAGAACTTGGCCTACATTCTTCTGGTTTCAGAATAGGAGCCTCCACTCTCAGCAAAATCTGTTCAATTTTCCTGTTCATCATTCAAGTTTTCTCATGATCTCCATCCTGGTCTAGCTTTCATGCAGTCATTCAATATTTAATGAGTACTACTATGTGTCAGGCAATGTTATAGGTGCTGGGGAGGCAACAGAAAACAAAACAGACATAGTACTTTCCCTCATGGAGCTTACAGCATGATGAGGGGGGCAGGCAATAATATTAGATAACACTAAGTTAAAAAGAAGAATAACACATGTTTTAGAGTGACAGGGGCAACTTCTACTTTTAGTCAAGATGGAGTAAAGAACTAGTTTTGCCGTCCTACCCGTAGCAACCTAAAAACAGGTAAAATAAATGAAACCACAGTTTGCAAAACACTGTGCATCAGGTGACAAGAGGACAGTGATCCCTGAGAGATGGGAAACAGATGAGGTGTATCCTACCACTCCCCCAGCACCCTCCCCTGAGGGAGTTTCCAGGCCACAGCAGAGAGGGGGAATTCAGGAAGAATCTGGTGGACTCCTTGAGTTAAGGTGATGGAGACAAGAAGAGATTAAGGCAACTAGAATTCCTAAGACAGAGAACCAGAGAGAAGAGAGTGTACAGAAAGAAAATCCAGAAACTAGCATGAGTATGGTGAGTGATGATGGGCTCTTGCAGGTGAAGTAACTACCCAAGGCTGAGAGAAGAACCATGTGCAAGGTATTAGAGGGAACAGTACCTGATGCTCATACAGGGCCAAGAAGAGTCCCTCCTTCCACCATCCAGGTTGAAAAAAATCTCAAGATCTATGGAGCATTGAATAGACACACAATCCCCTTTTGCTTCAATAGAGGCAAAAAACCTAGAGTGGTAACTGCTCCAATCCTGCTAAACAAATCTTAAAAGCAGAACTGAAAGGACAAATCTGTTTCCAAATAACTTAACTATATTCCAGAATAAAGCTCAAGGATATTTATAGGAATACAGAAATATCCAGCACAATCTATCAAAGACCTCTGCAAGTAGATCCATGCCCAAATTGGTATTGGGACTGCAGATGACTAATAAATAGAAGAAAATGTGCTCAACCTCCCTAGTAATCCAGGAAATAGGAAATAAAATAACAATAAGACACCTGTGGAGGATTTAAACAGGCAAGGAATGTGGTCAGAACACTCTTTAAACTAATGCACTTCTATTACCTTTAAAATTTTAATGTGGTATGTAATTCTCTGGGTAGTCTCAAGACAGAAATCGTTCATATTTTTATTCTCAAAAAATACTGAGATAAATGAATAATACCAACAATAATGCCAGGATTTCAGTACTCTAAAATATGTAATACTGGAACACTGAAAGAAAATAGCATTTTTATTACATTTTCTGAGATTCCCCCATATTCTGAAAAAATATTTTATTTATTTTGGGAACCGTGTAAATTGGAGTCACTGAGGTTGCAGGCTTGGCACTTTCCATTCTCACCAGTATCTAAAGCTAGATGAAATTAACAGGTTTGTTATCAACATGCCAGAGTAAATACTTTCCATGCCCTTTTTAACTTAGCTTACAGGTCCACAGAGTTGCCTGTGTAGGAGTCAAAACCCAATAGCATAGGCTATAGGTGAACCAATAATCTAATCATATCACAGGCTGCTTTTCTTTCTGACACCGCAGGGGCCTATGTTTTCTTCAGGGAAGGTCTAAGGTGAGTGGCTGACAAAGAGCGTGTTTCTGCTGAATCATTTAATTACTTGGTATCTGAGTACATTCCATATCAAGGCCAATATCCAGCTTTTCTGGCTGAGTTCTGGAAATGAGCAAGGGCCTGGCATTGCTCAGACTGCCATTAGTTAGCCTTGCTCATGTGAGTTCTGCAAATGGGAGCTTTGATGCTGGATACTGCTGACTGTGAAGGAGAAAAATCCCCAAACCTCCTCTGTATATCTGGAGGCTAGATGGATCGTGTGGGAAGGGTGTGATGAGGGAAGGGGAAAAGAGAGAGATTTACTCCATCTAATTCCCAGCCTTTCCTCTGGAGCTGGACACCCTCCCCTCCTCCTCAGCTGGGCTCCTTCAGCGTCCCTGTTTTTTCTCCTCCAGGTCTACGTCTATTCTTTAGAACTTTGCCTCTCTTCTGCCAGGACAATTTATTTTGTCAAGGACTTCCTCAATTATTCTGTCTTGGAGAGATCCAAGCCAGGAAAGAGAAACCTCAGTTCTCCTCCTGGTACTTTCTCAAGTGGAACAGCATCTGAGGGCAAACTGTAGAATAAGATGATGATCTTATCAGGAGAATGAGAAGGAAGAGGAAGAGGAGGAGGAAAAGAATAAGGAAGAGGAAGAAGAAGGAGAATATACAGACCTTAGCTACCCAAATACTAATACTGTCACTTTGCTCTGTTATAATCACTACTCAGAACTGGGATATACTTTAAAATATACAGCCTATACATATTTTTAATAGAAATTCAGATAAATTGAAATCTGAAAAAGTAAAATCTAGGTTGCAATTTGCCATGCTGAAAACGTTTTCCAGTCCAATTGTCTACACCAGAGGTTGCTACACTTCTTTCCTAAAGGGGCAGATAAAACACTTTAGGCTTTGCAAGCCATAAGCTCTGTTACAGCTATTCAGCTCTTAACCTTTGTAAAAACAAAAGCAACCGTAGACAACAGGGAAATGAATGAGTGTGGTTGTGTTCCAATTAAACTTTATTTACAAAAGATGTGGTCCTTTGGTCCTCTGGCCATAATTTGCCAACTCCTGGTCTGCACAATGCCTTTTGTCTTTTTATATTATGAAAGAAAGATACATTTACAATATGCAAAAAGACATGATTTATAGAAAAGCTACACATTCACTGTGAAAAAATTCATGCAGTATAAAAAAGGTAGGTTACCTGAAATCTCACCACCCTGAGAAAGTCACTGTTACTATTTTGACAAACATCATTGCAGATACACTTACAGAAGAGATTCGTGTGTATGTATGCTTTTTTATACATGAATGGAAGCGTCTCCACATGATGGTTTATAATCTGCTATCTATGTTCAAGAATGCATTGAGGGCATCTTTTCATGTGAACATATTTAGATCTATATCTTTTTTTCAGAGTGCTTTAGAGGGAGGTATCTTATCTCTTGTGATGGGCATTTGGGTTGCATCGCTGATATCCTCTAAATCTCTACTTTCTAAGAGACCACTGCTTGAACTCCTCCAATGACAGGAAATTCATTAACTCTTGAGCCCATATGTTTTATTTCTAGACAACAGTATCTGGGGACTTCCACTCCCTAGAGCTAGAGGGCCTATTGCAGTAATAAGCCAGAGAGCTCATATTGAGTTAGTAATCAACTAACTTGCATGGGTGCCTCCATTTTGGGTCACTCCCACCCAGGCCTCTGAAGGTTTCCACCCATGTAAGTGTGGAACTATGCTAAATTGCCTTCTGATCTGTAGCCACAGTTTTGGTCATAGCTCCTGCCTATGGCAATACACGTTTCAACAGGTTACTTGGGGATTTCCAAGACTGTGGGTGCTTCTCCCTGACCTAACTTCTACATGGAAATATGGCAGTCTCCGACTGAGCAGAAAAACCAGTTTGGAAGACACTTATTCCCAGGTGACCTACTCAAAAGGAGGGAGCTCTCCCTGCCTTCCAGGGCAGGTCCAGACAAAGAGTGAAGCCATGTGCAATAGGACCAATAAAATCCACAGGGAGCAAAGCTGATATCCCAAAAATGTTGTTCTGAAGTGAGATCTCCATCTCTAAAAAAATAAAATAAAAAATTGTTCTGAAGTCTGTGGAGACCTGATCACCGAGAGACTGACTGATTTGCCTCACTTTTTCATTTCTTCACCATCTCTTTCTGACTCATCCTTTAGCTACAGTGTTGTTATTGAATATTAAATAGAAATTCACAGTAGATTGACATATGAATTGCAATTCGTTAAAAAAAAACAACTGTCCTGAATTATAAAACCACTTCTCTTGCTTGTCTCGTGAGGGATTAAATGGCCAAGAAAGCCACTTTTTAAAACTAAAATCTAATTTCCATAGAATTGGGACTTTAGAGCCATTCTCTTACAATCCCTTTATTTTAAAGACAAGCAGAGACCCAGCAAAGTTAAGTGACTGTCTCAAATTTACACAGCTTGTTAACGGCAAAGCCAGGACTTAATCCCAAAGACCTTATCTCATAAAGCATAAATTTCACTCCACTCCACTGACACTCTTTCATAGGAAACTGATTTATTTGTTTTGAATGCCACTGGGTGAGGGGGTAGAAAATAGTTCATTAACTATTTTATAGCAAGAACATAAAAAAAAGGAAAAAAAAAAGTTAAAAGAAGGCTAGAGAAAGAAAAAAAAAAATAAGAAACCAAACAGGCTCATGGAATTTGGCCCAACAGCATAGGGAACTCTGTAGACAATGTAGATCCACCCAGTTATCACAAATATGAGCAAAGGAGCTGAAATATTTATTCCTCCACACTGGCTAAAGGCTAGGGATGGAGGTGGAGGACATTAATTCTACACATTTCCAGCTGCCCTGTGCCCAGGCAAAGCAAATCCTGCAGCTGGAGCTGGTACTCTGAGAATATGATGTGGGTGCTGGCAGGAGGGAATGAAAGCACGCCTGGAACCAGTGTGCACGAAACTGGAAAAGGACTGGAGGGGGTATGGCCAAGCACTGGCAGCAAGTGCTGGAATTAGGCATGTACTTTAATATAAACTAGAGTAGAAGATTGATGCTTGCTTTTCAAACCCATGATTACATGCTTGGAGTTACTAACTGCCAGGGTAATATATGTACAAAATAACAAAAGTGAGTCAATAAGAAATATAAATAAAAAATAGGAATTACAGTTGTATGAAAATGGAATGTGAATCCTTTAAGTTTGGGAAACATCAGCAGAGTAGAAAGGACACTGGATCAAGGGCATCGATAAAAGCACAAAGTATTGGGTCAGCCAGCCAAGGTTTGAATCCTGGCTCTGCCAGTTTTGCTCTGTAAGACCTAACCTTCCTGTGACTACGTCCTTAGGTTGTTAGGAGGATTAAAAGGTTTAATATATGTAAAGCACTTAAAGCAACATCTGCTACGCAGAAAGTGCTGGTTAAGTATTAGCTCTTATCATTCCTGCCTTGCTATTAGGTTGATGCAAAAGTAATTGCGGTAATAACTTCTGTACTAACCTAATACTATCTCGATCAGTGCTTCTCAAACTATCTGTGATATTTTATTTTCAATCTGTTGCAGGCTGATGCCTTTCCACATAAAAGAAAAATGAAATAGACATAAAATACAAAGCTGCATTTTAAACGATTTAACAGACATAAAATTACTCTGTCAAATTGCTGTAAGTTTCTACATGCTCATCTTCAATTTCTATGCTCATCCCTTTGTAGATGGGTAACGGTTTGCAGACTGTCACTATTCCATGAACCACACTTTGAACAGCACTCAACTAGAAAAACCTTCGACAAGCCGCTTAAGTTACTGGTGGCAATATGTGGTGTTCCAGCTTCCAGGTTTTTTCAAGAGACTAATGAGAGAAAAGTAAGAGTAAGTACATGAAAGCACTTATTAAACTATAAAGTGTCCCAGGAAGGAAAATTAGTAGCATAGCTTAGAGGAGTCTATTCTGTGGTCTGTGGCCAAAAAATACAAACTCCAGTATGCCACCCTCTCAGTCCCTGTGGTGTCAAGCTGTTCTGTTTCAGGTGTATCATTTGAACTGTTAGTACTTGTGAATCAGTCAAGCATTTCCTAATGCTGAACAGAACAGGAAATAAAGACCCCTCTGGCAGTCTGTGGCTTGCATCCCACAAACCACCGCCATCCGCAGCTTGCTAAGACCACACTCCTGGGGCAAGGCATGCATTCATACACCTACTCTACCTGTGACACCTCTTCTACATGTGCAAATGATTTCACTAAACCTGAAACTTGCTTAGGGGTCAGAAGGAAAGCAAGAGGGAATATAATGCCCTGACTGCAGTCCCTAGTTCCCAGATTCCCCAGGGCCCACTTGTCCTCAGTTGGTGAAACTCAATACACAGACATCCCTCACCAATGCTTTCAGACTCCATTTCAAGTGTGGACTCTGCCCACACTGGTTCTAAGTGACCTACTTTGGCCTCACCTCTTTTCTCTCCACCCTGTCAAACAAGAAAGCGGCTACCTAGGAATACTCTAGAAGTCCGCTGAGTGGTTTTCTGAACATCCAGCTTCTTTACTCTTTCTGGACTCCAAGAAGGCAAGCCCCTTGTCTGATTCATCTTTGTACCTCTCCCATCACCTTTAGCATCGCAGTTGGTACACAGCGGGTGCTTGGTAATGTCTGTCGAATGGCCAAAGGAATAGTACAAAATCTGTGGAAGCGGAAATGGCTCCTCCATTTACCCGACCTTGAACCCTTCCAGAAAAGACCAACCAAATCCCATTAATTCATTAGGCAGAACTCTGCCAGGTACTGGACATTCGGAAACAAATTTCAGGGGGTCGGGGCAGATGGACGGGAAGCTCATGGTGGGTGGATGTACTACAAATTCTATAATCCGCAGTTATACCTCCACTTTCTGGGAAACTTCTCTCCGTGGCCCCAGGGCCCTTTAAATGTTACTATGCGTGTTTTCCTCCATAGTTTCTGGAACAGAACCAAACTTTCGTGTAGGGGTTTGGCAGCGCTCATCCTCACAGCCCTGGGGACCGCTGGCACAGGGGCAAGCGAGGCGTTCGCACGCGAAGGAAACTTGCGAGGAGTCAGGGCGGCCCCGCGCGGGGGCGGGTCGTAGAGTGGGGGCCCTCAAGTCCTAGAACTTCAGGTCCTCCATGAGAATTAGAGGAAGGGGGATGGCCAAAGACGACCAGACGTCCACCGAGCTTCCACAGGCCAGGCCTCGCCCCTCCTCCTGCGGGGCCACAACGCGGGCTCCCCGGCCCGGGACAGCACAGCCAGGGCGTCCGGGCGGGAGGCAGGGCCCGGCGCGGAGGAAGGAGCCCGGGGCCGCCGCCGCCCCGCCCACCCCAGCGAGGCGGAGCCGGCGCCCGGAGGAGCAAGAGGAGGAGGAGGAGGAGAGGTCGGAGCCGTCTCCAGGAGCCCTTAGAGACCGAGTCCCGGCGGCGACGGCGGGGCAGCGCACCGGCAGGCGGGTGAGTACCAAGCGGCGGGCGCGGGTGGTGAGTCGGGTCCCCGCGGGGTCGGGGCGCGGCGCGGGGCGTCGGCCAGCGAGTTCGGGGGCCGCCTCCGAGTCCCGGGTGCTGGGAAGCGAGATGGAGGGAGGGAGCGGAGGAAGGAAGGAAGGAGGGAAGAGTGTCCTGCTGGAGGGCGGGGACTGGTCTGGGCGCTGGGCGCCGGAGACCGGGGGGAGGGGGAGGAAGGGGCCAAGGGACACCGAGACCCAGAGGCAGAAACGGCGCGCGCGCCCTCGACGGGCGGCCGCCCGAGGTTGCGGGAAGCCGCCCCCACGGCTGTGGCTGGGGCTAGGGCTGGGGGTGGAAGGAAAGGTCTCCCCTTGAGCTCGCTTGCCTCCTCGCCAGCCTGCGGCCGTGCGCCCCGCGCCGGGTTGGGAGGCCCCCAGTGTTCCCAGCCGTGGCTTGTGGTGGTGTCAGGCGTTGGAGGAGGGCTGGCATGTGGGGGCGACAGGGACGCCACGCCCCTCTGCCTACTTTCTACCTCCCGGGACCAGCCGGCGGGAGCGCAGCCTTGGAATCCGCTGGGCGCTGGGGGTCTAGCAGGGAAATAGCGGGTCGCAGAGGGGAGAGCCCATATGACGCACCCCGCGAGGGACCCCCGAGTGGGGACCCGAGGCTGCTTTTCTGCAGACTGTATTTGCAAGTGGTAAGGGGGAGGTTGAGGCTTAGTCTTGGGTGATTTTTTTTTTTTTAATTATTGCCCCGACAGTTATCCCGTGGGGCAGGGTGAATTCTGTTTTTCATTTTAATTAGGGCATATCAATTAAAGCTAACTTTAAAACGCTGTCACTTAGCACCTCCCGTCACTCACTCGTCCCTCGCTTTGTGTGTCCTGTAAACTTGGCTTAAATCATTCATAACTCACGATAAGGAAGCCGTGATTCTTGTTCACGTCGCCGCAGTGGAGTGAAACTTTGCCCAACTGGGACTGAGTGGAGGCATTGCTGCGGCCGGTCATCTGGTGGTCATCCTGCCGGGCGTGGTTGTATACAAACAAGTGGGTCGAGAAGGAAATCTCTGAACACCAGAGGTAGAAGGGAGGTTCCTGCGCCCACGTGTCAGGGCGCGTTTAATGGCTGCTCCCAGCGGAAACAAACGGGAATTTATTAGACCGTGTGGAGTTGGACAAACTTCACATGATTAGCTTCCTTCCCATCAGTTACTTCCTCTCCCCCCTGCTGTCTTTGCCGACACAGTTTATATTTCCTGGGGCGGTTGTAGCTTCGCCTGAATAGGCTGTGTATAATGAATCTTTTGGATGTCGTCAGAGGCAGGGTCTGCGTCTGTGCCTTCTCTATTTTAAAAGCGGAGTTTGGCTTTGTTTTTAAAAGTGCTAGTCACCAGACTGCACCCTTGCCAGCGCTTCGCAGCTCTCGAAGTAAATTATCGCAGGATGGCGGCCCTCACCTAGGAGAACCAGGAAGGCAGGCAGCGCTAGAACGACGGGATTGAATTTTACTATTGCCAAAACAATCACATTCAAGTAAGGAGCTGTTTTGTTTTGTTTTTGTTTTTTTAACCAAATTATATATACTAGCAAGCCCCTTTTCTAGTAAACTAACGTTATTCACACACACAATTTTTAAAGTAATCAAAAATTTTACAGAGTCTTAAGTGATAAAAGGACTTTCAGATAAAATGTTCAGTCCCTTTGCCTTCTCTAATAGTTAACCAGCGCCGTAAAGCCCTGGTTTAAGTCCAAAAAATGCTGAAAAGTCTACTGCGTCGTTAGACCTTATAAATAATGCAGTCCTATTTTTGCTGTATTTAACTCATGTAATTTACTAGATATCGAACCCCCAACAGGGCACACAGCACTTAGATTTGTGTAGAAATATATGAAAATGTGAATCTGTGTTTCACAAGAGCCTGAAAAAAATAGAATTATAAAAATTTCCTGTCCAGAAAGCTCCAGTCTTACTTGAAAGCTCTCTAACAATTAGATTTGTGGATTTGTGTTGTCACTTGTTAGAGAATATCGGTGGTTTATTAAAGTGTGAGAGCAAAGGGCTTCATGGTCAGAAAACTTGAGGAAGTGGTTAGCCAATATCAAATTAGTTTTTTTTAAAATTAGAATTATGTGATTTATTGTGTTTTGCTTTGTTTTGGAGTTTTATGTCAGCTTAAGCTTAACCTAGGAAGGCAAGTTGTGAAAGCAAGTAAATTTTTCTGAGCCCTAACTTGGAAGAGAAGCTTGTTTAACAGTGATTTGGGGTGTTGGCTTTGGAGTCAGACAGACTTAGATGAAAATATTAGCTATTTAACCTTTTTCAGTCTGATTTATAAGATGGGGATAATAATGGTCTCTATCTGTAGGGCTTTACAGAAAGTATATGAAAACTTTGTCTTTGGAAAACACTTAAACTGGACTTAACACGCAGTACATGGTCAAAATTATTAGATATTTATCTAGCTTGTTCAAGCAGCAGGCTACTGGATAAATTGCAGGGTGGCAGCTTGAACCTTCCGGAAATGCTAGATAGAGCAATTTCAAATTCTACAGAAAGTAACTGGTGTGTGTGTGTTTGTGTGTGTGTATGTGTGATGTTTCTACCACAGCAATATGAATAATTATGATTAAAGGATTAATAGTTTTAATATGCTTTTAGTGCTAAAGTTACAGTTGCATAGTAATTTTGACAGTCAGAAACATTGCATTATCCTTTACATTTAAAGAGAATTTATATTTCAAATAGTTGTGTTTATTAGCCCTAGGTAAGAAATTAAGCCAGGAACAGAAGTATTCATCTTTAACCAAGTGTAATTCTTAATCAAAGTATGAAAACATGTGACCCAAGGGTATCCGGTTATTTACTTTTGCATGTGCTGATGTCCAAGGCCAACAGATAAGCCATAAGAAGTGTTAGGCTGATTGTGAGTCGTTGTTTTATTTGTAAACTTTCATGAGATTGGGTGTTCAGTTAATTCAGGAAATCTACTCATCACATTGTTGACTCATTTCCTAAAATCTAAAAAATTTTTTAAATGCCTTCATCTTGCCAGGCGCTGTGGCTCACACCTATAATCCCAGCACTTTGGGAGGCCAAGGTGGGCGGATCACCTGAGGTCGGGAGTTCAAGACCAGCCTGACCCACATGGAGAAACCCCATCTCTACTAAAAATACAAAATAAACCAGGCGTGATGGCGCATGCCTGAAGTCCCAGCTACTCGGGATGCTGAGGCAGGAGAATCACTTGAACCCAGGAGGCGGAGGTTGCGGTGAATCGAGATCGTGCCATTGCACTCCAGCCTGGGCAACAAGAGCAAAAACTCTGTCTCAAAAAAAAAAAAAAAAAAAGCCTCCATCTTTAAAACAAACCCTTTAAAGCTTCTTGTTTTTGTCCTAATGCACGTCAGGTGCACAGAATTGGGCTGAACCAGGATCTTAGCTCATGCCACAGATGATTTCTCATTTTACTAATTGCTCCACTGGGACACAGAGATGTGGTTTATAATAATTTTAAATAACTATAAAGGGTACAGTGTGATTATTAATTGTTTCTTGCCTATGACATTATGCTCTGAAACAACTGAAGCATTTGATTGAGTAAATTATTGATTCGTTTCACTCCTAGAACATAACATAATGATTTCTGGCTCATACTTCTAGGTGAGTAGACTGTGAGCAAGTTACTTAATCTATGCTTCAATAAGTGTTGTGAGGAATAAATGAGCTAATCTATGTATATAGCATTTGGAATAGTGCCTGGTGCATAGTCCACATTCAATAAATGTTAACATTAAATTATTGAAATTTTCTCTAAATGTTGTATAATGAGCATGCATTATTTTTGTAACAGGAAAACAGCTATACAAAATTTTAATATTTCCCCCAAATCTAAAAAAAGCTCAGTAATTTAAATAGTCCTGCCAAATAGTACTTAAAAAGTAAGAGAATTAGACAATCATCATTTTGTCTTTTAAATGTGAAATGGTTTGCAATATTAATTTGTTAAACAAGTTAATTCTTCCAAATCTCAATTCCATTTTCTTTTTTATTAGAGACTTTAAAAAATCAGTAATACATGAAGTCTGTTACAGTTTAAAATGGGGAAAAGCAGTATGCACAGTTACATTGTGTTATTACAATTACAGCTAGCTTAAAAATTATTTTTAAACCATAAGAAAAGCCTAGAAGAAAATACAGACAAATTGGTGATGGGATTATGGTGCTCTCCCACCCCCAACCTGCTTTTCCCCTATTTTCCACAATGCGCCTATATATATACTAAAATATAATTCATTTGTGTAATAGTTACTAAACAAATCTGGTTTATTAACTACAAATACTAAAAAAAATTTGCGTAATAGTTACTAAAAAACAAATCTGGCTTGTTAACTACAAATAGCAGGATTTTATTGTTGTTTTGGAAAAAGCACCAACTTTATGGCAGTTGAATGTCCTTCGGTTAAATGTCAAAACCTTTGCAGTGAGAATTGTTTAGCGGTAAAAGAGAAGGCCTTTCAGAAGCTTGTAGTTTGATCTTCATGAAGAATATTTGAAAAGTCTACCAGTGGGTTTTTAGGATCTGCATATAGACCTAGTCCACCAACCTTGACTTTATGGAAGTTGTGACTTCCCAGATCCAGGCCTGCCTTGATGAGCTGCGTTTTTACAGCACCTTCAGTATATCAGACACCTGGAAGACAGTAATGAGGCAGATATTGGTGCACTTAGTTTAACAGGAAGGTTGGATAGATAAAAACTAATTACAGCACAATTGTATATATTATATATCCTGAGCCCTTTCTAAACTCTTCCCGTATACAGTCTTGCTCAGTTGTCACAACAGCCCAGAGGAGGAAGCTGAGGTTCCTTAAAGGTCTGAACCTTGCTCAAGTTGCAAGGACAGAATTTGACCCAGAAGCATCTTAACTCCACATCTCATGCCCTCTGCACGGAGATGGAGGTGCATCCAGCCAGAGGTGAGAGTGAAGTGGGCTTTATGGAGTCAGTTTTGCTTAAAAACTATAAAACTAATCAAGAGAAACATGAGGAGGAGACTCCTTTTAGGTGACCTTCCTGAGGAGAATCATCAGTGCCTCTCCATCAGGCTTGCCACTCTTTAGCCATAGCAGTTAACACTTCCAAATGGCTGCTGAGACCCAGCAGGCCTGAAGCGCACACAAAGGCCCAGTCCTTGGTGACCCTGTGAAGCCTACCTCTTTCATCCCTGGACTTCCAAAGGGGGTCTGGATAGTACAGATGAAGGAACTGACTCGCTAAATCCTGTTCTAGAACCAGCACATACCCACAGATCCTGACCTCCCCACTTTCCTCCCTTAGGAATGACAGGAGAGTAGTTAACAGGTAGCATGGATCCAGGGCAGATGGTGGAGGTGACTTGACTTAAGATAACTTGTAGCTAGATTATTCCATTTATTGGAGAGTCTCTCTTGAAAATCATATCTGATGTCACTTAAGTGTTTGGTTTATCATGTTAGTCTTTATTGGGTGTCGTAAAAGTGCTCAGTTGTGAAGTGTCTGGTTACCATCCTGTGACAAGGAGGGTTTTTGTCTTCTTTTAATGGGTCTGCATTTCAGAGAATTACTGTATAATAAAAACTGGAGTGTTGGCTGGGTGCAGTCGCTCACGCCTGTAATCCCAGCACTTTGGGAGGCCGAGGCGGGTGGATCACAAGGTCAGGAGAGCGAGACCATCCTGGCTAACATGATGAAACCCCGTCTCTACTAAAAATACAAAAAATTAGCCGGGCGTGGTGGCGGTCGCCTGTAGTCCCAGCTACTTGGAAGGCTGAGGCAGGAAAATGGCGTGAACCTGGGAGGCAGAGCTTGCAGTGAGCCGAGATCGTGCCACTGTACTCAAGCCTGGGCAACAGAGCAAGATGCCATCTTAAAAAAATAAAAAAAAAAACTGGAGTGTTGGAGACTGTTAAGAATTAATACTTTCAGTTCTGCCAGAGGGTTAGTATCTAGAAGTTCTAAGAGATTGGTTGCTAAAATCTTCTGTAATTTTCAGTTTCATTGATTGTATAATAAGTGGGTGACTTTGGGCCCAGAGAGTCAGAAGGCTTTGTATTCTGTATGCTTTCTGACACAGTAGGCCACCACTCCCCTTGCAGGCAAGGTCATGTAATTGACATAGGATCCCCTTTAGTTGACCGAAGAGAGAAGTATAAGCTCTGGTTGAACTTGAGTTTGCGTGATCACACATGCTCACTGGAGTGAAGTCTGAATCAGTTGCCATCTCTGCACTTGCATTGTGTGTAGAGAATTGTCTTGATTCAGAATGGCTTTGTGCAAACTCACATGAGCCCATTGGAGGCAGAATCTTAACTTCATTGATGTGAAATAATCAGGCTTTTATTTAGCTTCAGATGGCACTAGCCAAGACGTCCTTGACCACTGGACACTAAACCCTTAACTCCCCACTGGGACCCTTTGACTCAGACCCCAAGCTTGCAGTTACCTCAAATTTTGTGTTGTTTTGGGGGGATAAATTATTGCAGAGGAAAAACATAAGGTTTTTTCTCAAATGAAGACTCAAACTGAAATCCATTAAATCCCAACATGAGCTAAATCTAAGGGTGGAAAGAGGAATCAAAATCTAAAAGCCTCTTGGACTTTATTGAGGCTTATTGAAGACCTTATTGAGATAACATCATCATACCAAGTTTAACCAGAATCTCAGGCAAATTAGAAAGGTGTAACCTTTAGACTAGGTGCCTGAGCTGTGCCTAGACTAATGAAATCTTCTGAATTATTAGACCATGGCCTGCACATTAGACCATGGGGCTTCATGTGGGTATATAAGGTCATGATTGGCTGTGCAGATAAGTTGTCATGGGAGGGTTGGATGTCTGGCCAAGAAGCAGAAGGAATGGATTGTGACTTCTTGACAGGGATACCTTGAACTGTTATACAGGTTGTTCACTGCACAAAAGTGCCTGGGCAAGGAGGCAAATGGGAGGCTCACATCTGCTAAACAAACAAAACCACATGCATCCTGGAGTAGGATTGCCTCTGCTAGGAGAAAAGGGAACTTCTTTCTGATGCTATCAAGCCTGCAAAAGTCTAGGTGTACATGGAAGGAATGCCTTTTTTTAACACACACAAAGGCACAATATGGCTACCAGCAGCTCTGCTTCTCAAAGCCCCTGTAGCCACAGTAGTCCTCTAGATGCCATCAGCTGGCAGAGTCTGTCACTTAACCATTTGGTTTATCATGTCAGGCTTTATTGGGAAACATATAAACTTCATGAATGTCAGTGGAATGAAGGAATAAAACCATGTTTTCTGTGGTATGTCAGCAAGGTACATGTAAAAAAGTAATACTGATTATATATGCTAGGAAACAAACATTCAGTGGTACACATTGCCTATGATGAGTTTCTTTCTCTTCAATTCATTATTTCTGAGGGGTAGGTAAAGACCAGCACTTTGGGTGCTGTTGACATTGTTTATTGCTACTTAAACACCAGCATGCTCAGTATTGCCTAATACTTGCCAGGGTCACCAGCACCCGTTGTGTAGTTGGCCTGGTGCAGGGAATGGAGTAGTAGTAACTCCTGGGAACGTGGAGAGGGATTCATGTTATTTATTGACCAGCCGTAGGCCTTTTTCCTTGGGGACAGGATGCAAGTAACAGTGGTTGCAGGAGCCTTTGGAACTTACCTATGAGTAGCTGCTGCTTCTGGAAAAAGGCTTCTAGTTTAGGTTAAAAGGTGCGGAGTCTTGTTATCAAAGGTACCACAAACTCAGAGAGTTTGTCTGTGTTCCCCTTAGTACCAACTGGTACTACTTTCTTGCTTTTTTAAGTTGATCCTTTAGAAAGCCTGTAGCCAGAATCAACTTCCTTCTCCTGGCTCCTCTTCTGGGAGGCATTTGCACAGCCTGTAGGATCAGCCATGTTTAGTGAATCTAACTGCTAAGGCAGTGGTCCTGAGGATCAAGGTGCTGGTTCATACTTCGGACCTAGGCCATCTGCTGTTTTCTGGAGACAATACACCTTGTGAAAAAAACTAAAAGATGCAGAAACGTGAATGCCTTTCACATTTAACCTGGTTAAATGCAGCTATCTTCAGACATACTCAGATTCCCAAAGCAGAAAGAGCAGAAGATGACAATTCCTAAGAATTTCTTACAGAATTTCTTTAAATAGCAAATTCACCTGTTGTGTTTATAGTATGATTTGATTACACAAAATTCCAGGAGTCTCAAGTTTTCAAGGAATATCTCTGTCAAATTCAGCAGAATATTCCAGCACATGCCTTGCCCTCTTTTTTAACATAAATATTTGATGAGCAGCATGCTTTATCCAAGAGCAAATCAATGCTCCTGGCAGGCTGCCTAGAAGGTAATCCTAGTGTTCCTATCTTTGCCTCCCATTCACCTACAGTTCTCTGACTTCCTATGGCTGTAATAAATATCCGGGGGCTCAGAGCCACCCACATCCAGCAGGTAATATAACACAGGGCAGAAATTACCCTCTCCACACTCACTGTGCTTACCTCCTGAATTCTGGACTGAGATTTCTCTGACTGACTTTCACATGAGAACCTACCTGCCTAAACCCAGGTTTCTTCGACTCCTCCTCCTGAGCTGTTGAACTCCACCTTAGCTTTATCTCTTCCATGCCAATCTTGTCCTGTTCTTCACACTTCTGGGAAAATTGCTTATACAACTTCAATATTTTTGAAAATATATAATATATGATCCTCAAGAAACATTATAACCATATACAAAGGTAAACATTTTTGACAATTTCTTACAAGAATTCCCTACAAGATTTCTTTTCTTTTCTTGCTTCCTTTTTTTTTTTTTTTTTTTGAGACAGGATCTCAGTCTGTCATCCTGGCTGGAGTGCAGTGGCACAATCATGGCTCACTGCAGCATCGACTTCCCTGGCTCAGGTGATCCTCCCACCTCAGCCTCCTGAATAGCTTGGACTATAGGTGCCTGCCACCACACCTGGCAAACTTTTGTGTTTTTTGTAGAAATGGGGTTTTACCATGTTGCCCAGGCTGGTCTCGAACTCCTAGACTCAAGCAATCTGCCAGCCTCAGCCTCCCAAAGTGCTAGGATTACAGGCCTGATCCACCGTGCCCAGCCCCAGGATTTCTTTAAATAGCAAATTCACAAAAATCAAAAGTTTTCAAATTCAAAAACCTTGCTCCCATCTTATCCCCATCCATGCCTTTCCCATATTCTCTGCAAGTAGCAACTTGTAAACACAAGCAAATAAGAATATATGGTATTTTAATTCTCCCCCCTTCTCTCATTAAAGGTGGTGTATATACTCTTCTTTACCTTACCTTTTAAAATTAGTGGTATGTTTTAGACATCTGTCTCTGCAAGTATCTCTTTCTCACACACACACAGAATAACAAGTTTTCCATCATGTGGATGTACCATGGTTTATTTGACCAATCTCTACTGCTGGACCTTTGGGCTGTTTCCCAGTCTTTTGCTATTACAAACAGTGCTGTGATGAATAAAGATGTAATAAATCATTTTGCTTTGTGAAGGTGTACTTAAGGATTGATTCCCAGAAGTGGGACTGCTGAATCACAGTGCTCTGTAGTACCCCTCCGGAAAGATTGAACCATTTTGCCCTCCCATCAGGAATGTATTGGATGTCCCGGTTCCGTACAGCCAATGGCCATAAAAGTGTCAGCTCTTCTTATTTTTGCTAAGCTGGTTTCTGCACAACGGTAATTTAGAGCCATTGAAATATTTTTGATTATGAGTGAGATGGCGGTTTGGGGCGGTTCTTACATCTTTTCTAGAATGTTGATCCTCCTGTGGGCATTTGTTGACCTTTCCTCTTGCATACATCTCTGTCAGAATCTCCTAAATACAGACTTACAAATGTGATGGCTCTTTTGGGCCTAAGGGTAGAGTGGGCTGCCAAATTGTCAGTGCAAAATCAAGAGAAGTGGAAAGTAGGGTTTTATGCCAGTTGCTAATGTCTGAATTAAAAATAGTTTTCAGCTAATGGTATTACTAAACTGGGGCTTCTCCAAAAAACATGATGAAGATGATCTTCTAGCCTAGAATTTCTCCCTCTCAAACAAAAACAAAAGAGAGAGATTGAGAATATATACATTTCAATAGCATTTCCTGCAAAACTTAAAAACTTCCTTTTAAGAAGCCTAGAATTTTCCACTTGCACTGTATCTCCTGAAGGAAGGTTATACATGCCGTATTTTGTTGTTGTTGTTTACTGTCTGAATTGGGCTCCTGTTCTCCCTTTAATTTCACCATCAGAGCTCTGTCTACTGTATTTCCAGGGTGAAAGAGAAGATGAAAGTAAAAGCACAATGTAAGAAGTCAAACCAGAGCTCAGGACTCTACAAAGGATGTGGGATCGGAGTTGCATGGAATCATCTTTCTTTTTGAAGTGCTCTTTCAGTCAGCTCTTGGGATGCTATTTTAATATAAAATTAATTTTCATCTTTCAAAAACTAAATGCCATTGAAAGAGAGGGAAATTATGATTTGATGGGAAGATGGCAGTGGCTTTGTTTTTGGAAATTCACAAGAGGCAGTCTTATGAATTTGAGTATAAAGTTAGCCTATATCTCCATCAAAAAACAAAAAAAAAGCAAAAAAACAAAAATAATTTTTAAACTCACAACAAAAAACTCTGTCTCTGGGAGTACCTACACTAGCAATGAGTGGCCCATGAAAAATCCCAAAGGAAAAATTTTATCTTCCAGGCCCAGTGCTCTGTTTCTTTTTAGCTCCTGAATATGTACATTCTGACTTTTATGAAGGTTGGTTTAAAGCTCTCTGGATGTTTTGTTTTCCTTCTAGCACTTATCTCAATCAATTGTTATATTAACCTACCTCACTGCAGTGTCAGCTTCATAAGGACAGGATCTTGGTCCAGTACCTAGAAGGGGTACCTAGCACCTTTGGGTGCCTAATCAAAAGGGGTTGACTGCTTCTGGAGCTAGCTGGGTCTCTGTGGTCCTGTATCAGACATGGGCCTGAAGGAGGTCATGTCAGCCATTCCTTGGCCTTTTGACAAGATACCCTAGCCCAGGGGTGTCCAATCTTTTGACTTTCCTGGGCCACAGTGGAAGAATTGTCTTGGGCCACACATAAAATACACTAATACTAATGACAGCTTATGAGCTTACAGACAAATTGCAAAATAATCTCATAATGCAGGGCGCATGCGGCCCAGGACGACTTTGAATGCGGCCCAATACAAATTCATAAACTTGCTTAAAACATTATGAGATTTTTTTTGCGATTTTTTTTTTCAGCTCATCAGCTATCGTTAGTGTATTTTGTTTGTGGCCCAAGACAATTCTTCCCCTTCCAGTGTGGCCCAGGGAAGCCAAAAGATTGGACACCCCTGGTTTAGAGCTTGAGTTTGCGGTTTCAGTCTCCTGGGCAAATCACCTGACTTCTCAGATCCTGTTTTCCCGTTTGCAAAACAGAGATAATAACACCGTATTTCAACAGATTTCAGATGTCATTGATTAGATGTGCCGGTATTCTATGTGCCATTATTCTATGTGCCACTATTCTATGTGCCACTAAGAAAAAAAAAAAGCTGCTGATTAAATTATAATGCACATCAGCTGTAAGAGTGTGTTAGTTTTTCTATGGCCGCTATAACAAATTACCACAAATTTAGCAGCCTAACACAACAAATATGAATTATCTCACAGTTCTGTACATTGAAAGTGAGGGTGGGCTTGGCTGATTTCTCTCATCTGGGTTTTACAAGGCCACAATCAAGGTGTTGGCCTCTTATTGGGAGGCTTTGGGAAGAATTCATTTCTAGGCTCATTTAGGTTGTGGGTAGACTCCAGTTCCCTGCAATTACAGGATGAGGGCCTCCGGCTCTTTGCTGCCTCTTAGCTGGGAGGCATCCTCGACTCCTAGAGATCTCCCTCTGGTCCTTGCCCTTGAGCCCATATCAGAACTAGCAACATTATGACAAATCCTTCTCGTGCTTGGGATCTCTCTGATGTTTTTTTTTGTTTTTGTTTTTGCTGCATCTCTTTGCCTCCAGCCAGAGAAAATTCTGTTTTTAAGGGCTCCTTTGATTAGATCGGGCCCACCTATAGGGTACTCTCCATATATTAAGGTCAGTAACCTTAATTGCATAATGCAAAGTCCCTTTTGCCATGTAATGTAATATATTCACATGTTGCAGGGATTAAGACACAGACATCCTTGGAGCTTTCTGCCTACCATGAAGAATCATTCCAATTATCAGGGATCTTAAAATGTGAACAAAATATGCTTCTTAGAATTGATGAAACACCATATTTGGCTTAGGAATAAAACAGCTACTGATATATTTAAAGTACTTAGGGTGTTACTAGTAAGTGCTCAGATGTTAACTGTTGTTATAATTGACATCATTATCATAGTGGTCACGTAATATCCATCATCTTTAATATCAATTAAACTTATTTCTACAGTTAAATGCATTTATTAAACCCTAATTGAGAGAGTATAGTGTCCCGGCAGTAAACTGGATGAAGCTGATGATAGTTACCCTTTGAGTATCAGCATATGCTAGGAACTTCACATACACTTTCTCACTCCTTATAGTAGCTGAGCTAGGGAATACTGGCTCCATTTACAAGTGAGGAAGCAGGTTCTGAGAGGTTGAATACTGTGCTTGGAAGGTTATAGGCACAGTAGTGAGTGGTCTGACTCTGAAATCAGTACTCTTTTCATGGCACCGTTTTGCTGTCCAACAGCCTCTGGTAATACCACATTGAAAAGTGTGACAGGTGAGGCATCCGCCAGGTGGTCTGGAGGAATGGGCTTCTGGGAGTGGAAGGGACACAGGGAGGAGACACTGCCCTGTGTTGTCTCTCTCGTACTTGGATGTTTCTTTGCTATTTTTTGTGGACAAAGGCCCTGTCTCTTCATCTGTTTTTCAGTTGTTAATAAGCTCCAAGTTGATCTTTTTTTTTTTTTTGAGATGGAGTCTCACTCTGTCATCCAGGCTGGAGTATAATGGCACAATCTTGGCAACCTCCGCCATCCGGGTTCAAGCAATTCTCCTGTCTCAGCCTCCTGAGTAACTGGGACTATAGGCATATGCCACCACACCCAGCTAATTTTTGTATTTTTAGTAGAGACAGAGTTTCACCATATTGGTCAGGCTGGTCTTGAACTCCTGACCTCAGATGATCCGCCCACCTCGGCCTCCCAAAGTGCTGGGATTACAGGCGTGAGCCGCTGTGCCTGGCTGATCTTTTTTTTTTTTTTTAATTCAGCAAATGTTTATTGATTGTCTACTTGGGGGATACAACTGTGAACAAGATACACAAAATTCCTTGAGTAAAAATCACATGACGAGGTCAATTCAGAAAGGGGTAAGTGCTGTGAAGGTAGCAAAGCAGGGGACTGAGACAGAGAGATGGACTGGGGATGGAGGTGACCAGGAAAGACCACTCTTTGGAGGGGACATTTGAGCTGAGAGCTGAATGAGCAGGAGGCAGCCAGGTTAAATCTGGAGAAGAGCATTCCAGGTAGAGGGAACAGCCAGTGCAAAGGCACTGAGCTGGGAATAAGCTTCGCATGTTTGAGCACAAAAAGAAGGCTCCTGTGGTAGGAGTGTAAAGAACAATGAATGAGTGAATGCATGGTAGGAGATAAGTTTGGAGAAGTAGACAGAGAACAGATCACATAAGCCATTATAAAGAATCTGAATTTAATGAAAATGCAAATAAGAATTTGCAGGGAAATCTGCTTTTTGTTCAGAAATAAGCTGTAATGAGTGTGGCATTTTGCATACACACTGTGTTATTTTTGAAGGGAGGAAAGTTTAGGGTTTTGGAACTGCTGCTTTTTAAACTATTTTAAGTGTAACCAGTGCAAAGGGGAAAGAGGAGGAGGAAAGTGGTTTGGCAGAACTAGGGTAAAAATAGTGACTACCTGAATTCAGTAAACGAAGATCACAGTCTGTAGAATTTTCCTAAGACACAACTGTAGATTGTCTCAGGCTCTTCAAATTCAGATAGACATTTGCTGAAAACTGATCTCATCATCGTCCCCTTAAAACCTGCTTTCCTGCCTGTTTTCTGTAAGACATTTCCATCCACCCAGGTTGCTAAGCTCTGAACCCTTGAGTCATCAGGAACGCCTCCCTCCCCTTCATCTCTCCCTAGCTTGGACACCCTGCCCCCAACTAAAGCCTGGGTCCACCTCCTAAAGCGCCCGCATGTCTGCTTCTCCCTACCCCCATGCCTCTCACCTGGATTGTTGTTGTGGCTTCCTAACTGACCTTTACCCTGCACACTGCCACCAGCATGATTTCTTGAAAACATAAATTTCAGTGGGTCACTTCCTGAACTCATAGACAATAGAAAATTGTCTATGAGTTCCCCAAAGGCATCGCAGTCTAGTAATGAAGATTCACACTGCCCAGGTTCAAGGCCTCGTGATGCTTCTTACCACCTCTGGCTTGGGAATGTTTTTAACGGCTGTGTCTCAGTTTACTCATCTCTGAAACGGGTGTGATAATAGCACTTACCTCACAGATAAGTTATGAAATGTAAATGAGTTAATAGGTGTGAAGCACTCATAACCATGCCGGCCACACAGAAATCCTCAGTGAACATTATTCTTGATCTCTCTTTCCTTTGTAGAACAAGCTCATCTTTCTTGTGGCTCTCCACAATAGCTCCTACCTCCACCTTTCTCAGTGCCAGGCAAAGCTTGATCAGCAGACAGACCTCTTTGTTAGCAATCTGCAGCTAGATAAGTCCATATTTGGTAATTTTTATAGCAATTTGACCATCATTTTACATCTGTTGAATCTGATTAGGAACTGGACTTGTATTTTGTCCCATTTTTGGCAGTTCCTTTTCGCTGAATTTTTATGAAAGAATTGGTCCATATTGAATTGGAAGTAAAAAAAAAAAAAAAAAAAAAAAAAAAACCCCTGGTCTTTCCCCATGAATAATTTGAGAAGCACTTCTGTGTCCCCACACACCCACTATGTGATTCACATTGGCCAAGTTGTCCAAACTCACTGTGTAACCTTAAATCTCTCTGGATTTCCTCACACTGTTTCCTCTGCCTAGAATTTGTTAGACATTTATTAAGTACCTGTAATAAGTACAAGACTCTGGGGACATAAGGATGAATAAGGGTCTGCCTTTGCTTTTGAAAATGTTTCCTTCAAACCACCTAGTAAATTCCTACCAGTCTGTCGAAGCCTAGTATAGTTTCATTTTTTCCTTCATCCATTGAGAAAACATTTATTGACCAGGTGCAGTGGCTCACACCTGTAATCCCAGCACTTTGGGAGGCTGAGGTAAGAGGATTGCTTGAGCCCAGGAGTTTGAGACTAGCCTGGGCAACCTAGTGAAACCCTATCGCTACAAAAATTTTAAAAATTAGCTGGGTGCAGTGGTATGTGCCTGTAGTCCTAGCTACTCAGGAGGCTGAGGTGGGAGGATTTTCTGGGCCCAGGAGTTTGAGGCTGCAGTGAGCCATGATTGCACCACTGCACTCCAGCCTGGGCAGCAGAATGAGACATCGCAAAAAAAAAAAAAAAAAAAAGAAAGAAAGAAACAAAAGAAAACATTTATTAACATTTATTAAACACCAGACACCAAACACCAACTGTTTACTAAGCACCTGCTGCCTTCCCTTTCTTCCCTAAGGACCAGTAAGCTAATGAGGAAGACAGACACAAAAACAAATAATGACAGAATAATAGGCATGTTATATGGCAGTGTGAATACAGAAGTATGGAAGCACAGAGGAGGGGTGTGCCGGGCTATGCCTGAGCCAGGGCAAGGCACTGGGGAGATCAGGAATGGGGTCATAGTTAGGGTGGAGACAGTGTGTGGAAAGATTATGATCCAGGTTTTGGGCCCACAGCCAAAGCCCAGCTCTGCCATTCACTAGCCATGTGACTTTGAGAGACTGCCTCTCTGAACTTGCCAGGTAGGTAGGTATTGCTTTCCTTATCTGTAAAATGGGGAAAGCAGTACTTACCTACTTCACAAGGTTGTTTTGAGGCTCACTTGAGATTGTATACATAAAGTGCTCAGATGAGTACCTGACCATCAGTGTTTACCTGATGTCACCTTCTTGTCCTCTTCTCTCCCCCATCTCTGGACATATGTAAATTTTCTGCTGTCTGGGTTCCCAGTAGCATGCTATTCAGCCATCATACTAATTATTACATTGAATTATGTAGCTTTATCTACCACATTTCTGTTTGCTCTGTGGAATATATTGTACCCGTTGAATTCAGTGGCCTTTTTTTCATCTTTATATTGTCAGTGATAGGCAGTGTCCCATGCATAGAAGATTCAATTAATGTCTAGAGAAGTTGTATTGTATCAAAATAACTTAAAGCACTTTGCACTTTTCAAAAAGCTTTCTGAGGAGTCTAGTCAAACATTAATTTCCACTTTACAGATGGGGACACTGAGGCACTTTCTAGAAAGCTTCTGTTACTTGCACAAGGTCATGGGCTAGCAGAGGGCAAAGGTGGAGTTAGAGCCCCACACCTCTTGTTCTCCTGCTTTTGTGCTGCCTCATTAAATCTAGTGAGCTGGGAGTTGTCGGGTGCTGGCCAGGCTCAGGACGTCTTGTCACCGGGCCCTACCTGTCCTGGGAGGACGGCTGAGTACGCAGGAGTCAGTCCTGGAGAGAGCCCCATCTATACTCTTCCCCACCCCTCTGGCTCACTGCTGCCCCACAGGTATTTAGGAGTCACACCGTAAGTGGCAGGGCCCACCTGGAAACCTGGGGTGGGGATGAGGGCAGAGGTCTCCAGCTGGCTTGAGCTGGAGGCAGAGGGCCCTGTCCTAAGAGTGAATAATTTGTAACTAGACTGGAGGGTGAGTGTGTCCAGGAGGAACAGGAGTCCAGATGAAGGCAGGGGCTTGGAAAGTCGTGAAAGCCCTTGCACGCATATCCAAAGAGCAGTGAATCTGTTTCTTAAATTTCTTTACTCCCCTTCATAAACTTCCCAATACATTTCCCTTCCACCTTCTTTGAAAGGGTGCCCTTTGCACTCTGCCCAGGAGCACGCTCTATGCTCCAGTTACTACGGTCGGCTGTAATCTTCATTAGGGTGGGTGGGGCAAAGGGATAAACTCACACTAAGGACTCTGACCTAAACTTTCTTGACTTGAGGAAAGCTCAAAATGTATGATTTCGTACATTATCTTTTTCTTTCATTAGAAGAAAAGAAAAAAAAGTCTCAAGATAATAGGCTCTAGCAGCTTCCGCAGCCTCACTGAAGGCAGAAGGGACCAGGGCAGCGGTTCATAAACTTATGTGCATGTTAGGATCAGCTGAGGAGTGACTGAAAATCATGGAGCCCCGGCCGCACCCAGCCCTGGCATGGGGCCCAGAGGGTACAGTCTCTAATAAAGCTTCCAGGTAACTCCAGGGCATGGTCAAGGCAGGAGCACTGGGAGAGCAGCCTTCTTGCTGCCGGAGTGTACTCTAAGTCTCTGCAGTGCAGATGATTGACAGAAGGAGAACTCGGGATTTGGCCGCTGAGGAGTCTTGTGGATCCTGGCTCATTTCCTCATCTAGTTACGGAGTCTGTGAGAAGCCTTTGGGCACAAATCCTCCCTCATGCCGGCCCTCTGAGCCCCTCCCCGCAGCACATACCGAGCCCTACCTTTGGGCTGTCTAAATCTGTCCATTAAGAAAAAAATGAACAGAAAACTCTTCCTACTTACAAATTATTGGTGTATGCTGCTAGGTAAAAACAAAAGGAATGTCCCTGAAGGAAGAACGTCACCGCTTCCATTTCGACACAGTAACCCACAGGGTAACAGCACAGCACTCTGGGGATGAGGGCCACAGGTACACAAGGAGCCTCCGCAAGGCCTTGTCCTGGCAAGTCGTGTTTCATGGAAAGTTTTCTTGAGAAAGCTAAATCTGAGGATTCTGGGACATGAGTGTTACTCATGGCCAGCGTCATCATACGGAGCCTGGGAGCAAATTGTTTTTTCAAGAGGTGTATGTAGGCTATTGAATTTTGACTAGAAATGGCTTTAGTGGTCAACATTAATTTTGCTTTATATCCAGCAGCATTTCTTATTTTTATCAGGGATATAAGTGAAGGAAAAATTGTGAGGGAAGGCAACCTGTAAAGTTCTCATTCATAGAAACGATTTGTGGCCTTGATTTCCTGGATACAAATACCATTTAAAAAATTTTTAGAGAGGTTTTGTTTGGATTGAATTTCCAATCCACATGTATTTCTCCATTCCCCCTTGAGAACTAGAAGTCTTTTGTATGGTAACACTTTCCAGAAGCACCTGAAAGGAGTCCTTTGGGAATGGCCACAAACTGGATAAAAATGAAAAATGGAATCTCAAAAGTGCAGCTTGGTTTTGAAACTAACTTTTTACAACTTTGATTATGGGAAGTAACTTTGTTGTGTGTCTGTTGTTGACCTGGCATTACAACTCCATTAGGGCAATATAATTAGTTCATTTTACAGAAGACAGTACAACTCAAGAGAGCTTCAGTAACTTGTACAAGGCTGCAGAGCCAGAATTGAAACCTGTGCCTGTTTGAGTACACTACCCCTAGGACTAAAGAAACACATAACTCAAGTGTTAATTTTCTAATAGCTTTAAGAGACGTGTTTCCTTTTACTGTCCACAGAAGATTGTCCTGATAAGCATATAAAACATGAAAGCATATAAAGCATTGTAAAGCTCGAGAATCAGAATCTACAAGAGGACAGAAAGTCCAGGGAAGAGAAAGTGGAACTGTTTCCTGGCAGGTACCATGTTTATAAAAAGCCCAGCAATCACTTATGTAAATTCATTTTTAAACTGTCTCATGACAGCTGCAAAGACTGGAATTGTCAGTTCCCAGCTTCATTGTCTTTTTATTATTGTGACCCACCCTTGTTAAGCAAGGAATTAATAGGTAGGAACAGTTTTGCTAATGGTTATTATGCCTTTAGTTGACTGTTACACTACATGCAGGATTTTTAGTTATTTCACCAGAAAACAATGCGGAAGAAGTTCAGAGTGAATGTTGGAAAAATGACAGAATTAAAGAGTTGGCATTCTCTAAAATTTCTAAACAGGAAGGGCTCATGGCTGGCAGTGTAGAAGAGTGCTAAGGGACAAATCTGAAAGCTGTTTGCTAAGCAAGCACAATTTTTTTTTGTTTACTTTATGTGTTTCTGTAATGTTTTCTAATGATGTTTTAAATTTTTACTTTTAAAGGTGGGAAAAGGTTCATTGTCAGTATTAAAAAGGGGGCTCATGTAGTATTAGAGAGCAGGAGCCTGACTGGCAGGGTTTAAATCCCAGCTCTGACACTTGCTACCTATGTAAACTTGAACAAGTTACCTTATCTTCCTCCTGGGGTTACTGTGAGGCATAAGTTTTAATTACATATATATGTGTGTATATACTACTATATACATATATATATACACATATATATATGAATACTTACAACTATGCCTGACACTGAATAGATTAGATACTCAATAAATGCTTGCCATTTTAATTAATTGGAACTTAATTTAATTGGAGGAGGTGATAGAGATAATGGGGGAGGAAAAGATGCAAAAGTTGCCACAATTCAGCCTTCTGCAAATTCTTCCAGTATAATTAATTCTGTTTAGCTCAGTGATTTGAGGTTCATTTTTTTTTATTCTCATCGTATTCCATGTTTATATTCTACAGTATGGTATAGCGGGATCAGTGAACTATTTAATTTTTAAAAACTTAACATTTTAACTCTACTTTTAAAAAGTGTTAAATGTGGCCTCTGCTGAAAATGTACTTTCAGTGGGGTCAAGGAAGACAGGAGCTCTGTGCTGGAGACAGAATTGTTCCAGTTTCCTTGGAACAGGGGCCTCCCATGCTTAGGCCCTAACTGATGCCTAAAAATCATAATGAACAATGTTGTTTTCATTCTGTGGTTAAAAGGAAGCATACCAATTCTTCTGGAGAAATATACTTTTTTTCTGGCCCTAAACTGCACCAGATTTATCATGTAGGTGTAGGTTCTTACGAGAGGGGCTTTGGGGATAGGTTCTTCACCATCTTAAGTGGTTCTTCCTGGTAAATATTTAGAGAAATTTTTCTTGTGGCTATTTCTTATGATGACCCTTGAAATAATTAGAGGATGCTATTCGTATTCAGCAACTGCATTTCTACGGGAAATAAGTCCAAGAGCATGTTCTCTTGATCTAATTTGATAAAGGGCCCAGTTTGGAAAGAAGAGTGGCCAGAGTCAGGAGCTTGCCATCTGGAGCTTTGGGGACAGAATTATGGGATGTTACAACAGAAAGGGGCCATCGTCATTATGGAGCCTAACTTCTTTTTACAAATGAAGAAATGGATGCCCAGAGATTTGCCAAGTTCACATAGCTAATTGGTGGCAGCTCCAGGATTCCTGATTCCAGCTGCCCATTCCAGCAACTATATCCTTGTCATGAAGAGTGTACTTAAGAGCATCTCTGTGCAAAACGTTCTGCAATGAAGGACAGGTTCAGTCTGTCTGGTGTCATAGCCACCAGCCACTTGTGCCTCTTGAGCATATGAAATATGACTACTGTAACTTAGGAGTTAAATTTTGCTTTATTTAGTTTTAATTAAACTTGTTAATATATAGCTACCATTTTGGGTAGCTCAGCTTTTATAGACATTTAGGAGGAGGAAAGGCCTTATCCTTATCTCCTACCTCATTCTCACCAAGTGAGAGGCCTTCTTTTCGAATGGCTCCTGTGCAGCTGCTTTGTGCCAAACCAAGAGAATCACTCTAAGTCTTATCTCCTCCCCTCCTACCTCTCAAGATGAAAGTTAGCTCCTCTGTAAAATTGACATGAGTGGAGTAGATGGCTCATTGAGGCCTCTTCCATTCTGAAGCATTATGACTTTAGACCTGGCTCTCTA
Organism: Homo sapiens; assembly: GCF_000001405.40. NCBI lineage: Eukaryota > Metazoa > Chordata > Mammalia > Primates > Hominidae > Homo > Homo sapiens. The sequence continues at coordinate 67,812,442 of NC_000001.11, read as the reverse complement.
GTGATTATCAGTGACCTTTAGCAGGGCACATAGTCTGCCCATACCTCAGTGTCCTTATCTGTCAGCTGAAATTAACACCCGTTCTACCCTCTCTCAGATTAGGAGAGGCTCAAAGTAGAAAATCAATGAGATGAGCTCCATTTGCAACCTTTATTTTTTAATAATCTATGGTATCTGGAAATATTTTTGGTTTTGATACAGATTTTTTTTTCCAATAAGCTGCAGCAGATCCTCATTGCCAGAGTAGAGAAAATAATAACCCACAGCCCATATGAAATATGAGCTGGGAGACATGGTACTAATGAAAGATGACTGATTTGATCAGTGGGTGCTAGCTTTTATAATAACTTGCTTAACTTGGCATTCCCTAAGCCATTACTCCATAGTCAGCTGTTTATCTGGAAACCCAAAGCACATCCCTTTTCCTGAGAACTGTGACTGTCTATCTTGATTTTCCTTCTTTGGCTCCTTTACTTATTGTCAGCCTATGTAAGTTTCATTTGAATACTTGGCACTGCATGTTCTTCCGTAAACAAATACAGCAAAAACCCTCCCATGATTGTCTCCTTGGTTATAGCCTCTACATCAATAGTTTTCAAACTTAATTCCTAGACAGTGATTCTCAACTGACATGTCTACTGCTTACTGCTGAGCCTCAGCTCTCTTCAGGAGTATGCCACCAAACTTTGATTGAAACATAAAATGTGTTTTTGACACCACAGAGTAAGTAGGTCTTTTGACCTGATGTGAATAGGGTACAGCTTGCTCTGGGCAACAGGCAGTGTAACATCAAGTTGAGGCTAGATGTTGCAAAGATGTAACAAAGAGATGTTGCAAAGAGAGCCAGATGTCACTTCTGAAAATTTTTGTCCCAAGCATGTAAGATAGCCAAGTCAGGCCAGTGATGTGGTACTGGAGGGTGACCCAGTGCAGAGTGGCTTAGTTGTGGATGCCCCTGGAAACCCCAGGAAGTATTATTTTACCGCAGCAGGGTTTGCCTTGTAATTATGGTTGAATCGCTTAGTGTTGTGTTAGTCCTTTAATTCTGTCAATGGTGCCACCAAAAATTGTAGTATCTCTAATGGCCAAAGAGCATTTCCCTGCCCCAGAGGTCCCTTGGGGATGGCTGCAGGGAACCAGGTGAGACCTCGAAGGCACACATCGAGCTCTCCCTACCCAGTTCAATCAGAACCAGTTCAACTGTATGTGTTCCACGGATCAGCTTTCTGAATAAGATCCCTTTTGAAGAAAGGATTCCTCTGCTTATAAAGAAAAAAAGAAAGTTGAAAACTATGACTTCAGAGCAGCAGTTCTCAAATTTTGATGAGCATCAGAATCACTTGGAGGGCTGTTAAAACACAGATTGCTGGGCCCACCACCAGAGGATTCAATGTGCCTGAGTTGCAGCTTGAAAATTTGCATTTTTAACCAGTTTCCAGGTGATGCTGATGCTGCCGGTCCAGGGGGTCGAACCACTGATTCTAGCAAACAGAAATGTTAACACTAACTACCTGTTGTATTACATGTAATAAATTCAGTGTCATTTGGTGCTAAAAACCTTTTAGAGTATTTCCGTCCCCATGTACAAAGAATAAAACTGAGACATAGTGAGTTTCAGTAACTCATCAGTCATCATTGCGGTCATCACAGAACTGGAGTTAGAACCAGGTCTGGGTAAGGCCAGATCCCTTCCATATCCAAAATGCCACTCACCTTCCTTGTAGACCTGTCATTCCCAACCTGTGGTCCAAGGTGGGGAGGAGGAGGGAGAATTTATTGTATTGGTTTGCAAATCCAGATGTAAAGCAGACATTGCGGCAGACTAAATGTCTCACAAATCAATCTTTTTTTAGTTTTAATAAACTTTAAATTTTATAGCAGTTTTAGGTTCACAGCAGAATTGAGCAGAAAGTACAGAGAGTTCCTGTATACCCACTGTGCCTATGCATAGCCTCCTCCACTATCCACATCCCACACCAGAGTGGTACATTTATTGTAATCAATGAACCTAAGTTGACACATCATTATCAGCCAAGGTTCATAGTTTACATTAGGATTCACTCTTGGTGTTCTACATTCTATGGATTTTGACTAATACATGATGACATGTATTCACCAGTGTAGTATTATACAAAATAGTTTCGCTGTCCTAAAAGTCCTGTGTGCTCTGCCTATTCATTCCTCTCTCCCTCCTAACCCTTTGACAACCACTGATATTTTCACTGTCTCCATAGTGGAATGTCAAATAGTCAGAATCATATAGTATGTAGCCTTTTCATATTGGCTTCTTTCACTTAGTAATACGCATTTAAGTTTCCTCTGTGTCTTTTAATGGCTTGATAGCTCATTTCCTTTTAGCACTGAGTAATATTCTATTGTATGGATGTATCAAAGTTTATTTACCCACTGACTTACTAAAGGACATTTTGGTTTCTTTCGAGTTTTGGCAATTATGTACAAAGCTGTAAACATCCATGTGCAAATTTTCGGGCATATGTCTTCAGTTTATTTTGGTAAATATAAAGTTGTACGATTACTGGATTATATGGTTAAAACTATGTCTAATTTTTTTTTTAACTGCCAAACTGTCTTCCAAAGTGGATGTACCATTTTGCGTTCCCACAGTGAATGAGAGTTTCTGTTGCTCCACATCTTCACCAGCATTTGGTGCCATCAGTGTTTTGGATTTTGGCTATTCTGGTAGGTGTGTGGTGGTATCTCGTTGTTTTCGTTTGTAATTCCCCAGTGACGTAATATTGAACCTATTTTCAGACACTTACTTGCCATCTGTATGTTTTCTTTGGTGAGGTATATGTTCAGGTCACTTTTGATCATTTTTCAATCAAATTATTTTCTTATTCTTGAGTTTTAAGAGTTCTTTATATATATTTTGGATAACAGTCCTTTATCAGAAGTGTCTTCTGCAAATATTTTCTCCCAGTCTGTGGCTTCTCATTCTCTTGACATTGTCTTTGGCAGAGAAGAAGGTTTTCATTTTAATGAAGTGTAGCTTATTCTCTCTTTTGTGGTTCATGCCTTTGGTGTTGTATGTAAAAAGCCATTGCCATACCCTTGGTCATCTACATTTTCTCCTATGTTTTCTTCTAGGAGTTTTCTAGTTTTGTATTTTACATTTAGTTCTGTGATCAATTTTGACTTAATTCTTGTGAAGGCTATAGGTCTGTGTCTAGATTCTTTCTTTTTTGGTGGGGGCAGGGAATGTGGATGTCCAGTTCTGGCACTATTTGTTGAAAATACTATTTTTGCTCCACTGTATTACCTTTGCTTCTTTGTCAAAGACCAGGTGACTATGTGGGTCTGTTTCTAGGATCTGTTCTGTTTCGTTCACCTGTTAGTCTGTTTCTTTACTAATACCACACTGCCTTAATTTCTCTAGCTTTATAATAAGTCTTGAAATCAAGTGGTGTCAGTCCTCCAACTTTGTTCTTCAATATTGAGTTGGCTATTCTAGGCCTTTTGCTTCTTCGTAATACTTTAGATTCAGTTTGTTTATATCCATAAAATAATTTTCTGAGATTTTGATTGTGATTGCACTGAATCTATAGGTCAAGTTAGGGAGAACTGACATCTTGACAATATTGTGTTTTCCTGTCTGTGAACATGGACTCTCTTTCATTTAGATCTTCTTAGATATATTTCATCAGCATTTTATAGTTTTCCTTATACAGATCTTATACATGTTGTTAGATTGATACCTAAGCATTTCATTTTGGGAGTGCTAATATAAATAGTAATGTGTTTCTAATTTCAAATTCCACTTGTTCATGACTGGTCTATAGGAAAGCAGTTGACTTTTCTGTGTTAACCTTGTATTTTACAGCCTTGCTATTATTTCTCACTAGTTCCAGGAATCTTTTTGTCAGTTTTTTCAGATTTTTTACATAGATGTTCATGTCATCTTTGAAAAAGGCAGTTTTATTTCCTCTTCCCCTATCTGTGTGTCTTTTATTTCTTTTATTTACTATTGCATTACCTGGGAATTGCAGCAAAAAGTTGAAAAGCAGTGATGAGAGGGACATCTTGGCCTTTTTCCTAGTCATAGAGCAGGAAAGCTCCAAGTTACTCACTATTAAATATGGGCTATTTTGTAGATGTTCTTTATCAAGTTGAGGAAGTTCCCCTCTATTTTTAGTTTACATAGTTTTTTTAAAAAAAAATCATGAATAGATGTTGGATTTTGTCAAGTGCTTTTTCTGCATCTGTTGATACGATCATGTGACTTTTCTTTTTTAGCCTGTTGATGGGATGGATTCCATTAATTGATTTTCAAATATTGAACCAGCCTTACTTACCCTGAGGTAAATCCGCTTTGGTAGCAGTGTGTAATTCTTTTTTACATTGTTGGATTCAGTTTGTTAATACTTTATTGAGGATTTTTGCATCTTCATTCATGAGAGATACTCTTAAGTTTTCTCGTAATGTCTTTATCTGCTTTTGGTCTTAGGGTAGTGTTAGCCTCATAGAATGAGTTAGGATGTATTCTGTCTGCTTCTGTCTTCTGCAAGAGATTCTAGAGAATTGTTATAATTTCATCCTTAAGTGTTTAGAAGAATTCACAAGTGAATCCATCTGAACTTGGTGCTTTCTGTTTTGAACAGTTATTAATTATTGATTCAATTTCATTAATATAAATAGGCCTTTTGAGATTATCTGTTTTCTTTTGTGAATGTTGGCAGATTGTATCTTTCAAGGAGTATGTCCATTTCATCTGGGTTATCAAATTTGTGTACATAGATTGTGCATTTATTCCCTTATTAGCCTTTTAATGTATATGGGATCTGTAGTAGTGTCCCCTCCTTTATATCTAATATTGGTAATTTGTCTTCTTTCTTTTTTTCTCAGACTCACTAGATGCTTATCAATTTTATTGACCTTGTCAGAGAAACAGCTTTTGGTTTCATTGATTTTTCTCAATTTTTTTTTCTGTTTAATTTCATTGATTTTTTTTGCTTTGATTTTTTTCTTTAATTTGAATTTTTTTATTTTATTTTTCTTTGTATATTAATCTTTGCCCATGCTTAATTTGAATTTAATTTATTTTTTCTAGTTTCTTAAGGTGGAAGCTTAAATTACTGGTTTTAGATCTTTCTTTTTTTCTGATATATGTATTTAATGCTGTAAATTTCCCTCTAAGCACTGCTTTTGCTTCATCCCATAAGTTTTGATTAGGTGTATTTTCATTTTTATTTAGTTCAAAATATTTTTAAATTTCAGATTTCTTCCTTGACTCATGTATTTTATAGAAGTGTGTTGTTTAATCTCTAGGTATTTTGAGATTTTCAAGTTATCTTTCTGTTATTGAATTCTAGCTTAATTTCATTGTTGTCTAAAAGCAGACATTGTATGGTTTATATCCTTTTAAATTTGTTAAGGTTTTTTTTATGGCCCAGTGTGTGGTCTCTGTTAGTGACTGTTCCATGTGAACTTGAAAAGAATGTATATTCTGTTGTTGTTGTTGGATGAAGTAGTCTATAGAAGTCAATTATATCCAATTGATGGGTAGTGCCATTAAGTTCAACTGTTGGCTTTAATGATTGTCTGCCTAATAGATCTGTCCATTTCTGATAGAAGGGCATTGAAATCTCCAATTATAATGGTGGATTGATCTATTTGTCTTTTAAGTTCTATTAGTTTTTTACCTAGCTTATTTTGATACTCTGTTCTTAGGTGCATACATGACAAATATTGTTATGTTGTATTGGAGAATTGACCCCTTTATCATTATGTGATGCCTGTCTTTATTCCTAGTAACTTTCCTTGTCAGCTCTGTCTGAAATTTATAGCTACTCCTGTTTTCTCTGTTAGTTTTAGCATGGTATGTCTTTCTCTATCCCTTTACAGTCATCCTGTGGTATACACAGGGGATTGGTTCCAGGACCATCCCCTCTGCCCTGCATGTAACCAAAATCTGTACATACTTAAGTCCCACAGTTGGCCCTGTGGAACGCACACATATGGAAAGTTGGCCCTCCATATATGTGGGTTTCACATCCCGTAAATATTAAATATTGTATTTTTCATCCTTGTTTGAAAAAAATCCAAGTAGAAGTGGACCTTCTCAGTTCAAACCTGTGTTGTTCCAGGATCAATTGTATGTATGCACATAAACATATATCATTGGATATATTGTTGCTATTTTTTAATCAAAGTATTATCTGTTAAATCAATTAAAATTCACTTATGCATTCTTCACTTATGCATTCTCTGATGCTTGCTTTCTTTCTTTATGTAGATCTGAGTTTCTGACCTATATCATTTTCCCTCACTCTGAAGAACTTCTTTTAACATTTCTTACAAGGCAGGTCTACTGGCACCAGATTCCCTCAGTTTTTTTTTAATCTGAGAACATTTTTATTTCTCTTTTATTTTTGAAGGATAATTTTTCAGGGTATGTAATTCTAGGTTCGTTTTTTTTCTCTCAATACTTTATATGATTCATTCCACTCTCTTGCTTACATGAATTCTGAGAAGTCAATGTACTTATCCTTGGTCCTGGATGGGTAAGATTTTTTTTTTTTCTTTTGTCTTTCAAAAGTTTTTATCTTTGATTTTCTGAGGTTGGAATATGTTATGCCTAGGTTTTTTTTTTTAAGTATTTATTCTGATTGGTGTTTCTGAGCTTTCTGAATTCTGTGGTTTGGTGTCTGACATTAATTTGGGGGAATTTTCAGTCATTATTGCCTCAGATAGTGCTTCTGTTTCTTCTGTCCTTATTTTTCTAGCATTCTTGTTACATGTATGTTACACCTTTTGTAGACATGCCATAATCCTTATTCTGTTTTGCTTCTTTTCATGTTTTTTCTCTTTGCTTTTCATATTTTGAGTTTCTGTTGTCATATCTTCAAGCCTAGAGATTCTTTCCTCAGCCCTGTTCAGTCTACTAATGAACTTATCAAAGGCATTCTTTATTTCTGTCTTTTAAAATTCTTAGAATTTCCATATTTCTACTTACATTATTCATCTGTTCTTGCATGTTGCCTACTTTTTCCATTAAAGCCCTTAGCTTATTAATCTTAAATTTAAAAAATTCCTGGTCTGATTATTCAGCATTCCTGCAATTTCTGATTCTGGTTCTGATGCTTGTTTGGTTCCTTCAGTGTTTTTTGTCTTTTAGTATGCCTTGTAATTTGAATGAAAGGCAGACATGATGTCCCAGATGAAGGAAATGTGATAAATAGGCTTTTAGGAACATGGAGGTGAAGTGTGGGATAACAGAAGTGTTCTGTACCTCTGTGGTTAGATCTGAGGCTTTAGATGAGTCTTGCATCCAGGACTATGAACTCACAAGTGCTGCCCAGTATTTTTTCTTCCCTTAGGTGGGACAGGGTAACAGGAGAGTACTGGAGTTGGGTATTTCTTTTCCCCAGATAAGTTAGGCTCTGATAAAACCCAAACAGATTAGGCTCTGGAAAAATAGTTTCCTCTGAGGGCAGTCCATATTAAGAAGAATAGAATGTTCTGGTATATTTCAGAATGCTTTTTTCACCCTCCCCCTGCTGGAAGCATGAGGGGATTTTTCTTCCCCATTCAGTGAGGACCTGAGAGAGCTTCTAGAGGTAAAACTCACAAACATGCTTCCCCTTCCCCCATTACTAGATTCCCCTGAAGTTTTTAACTCCCTGACTTGTCCACACGAAGTCTCTAGCAATTTGTTGGTTACAGCTCAGGTTTTTCCATCTTGGTGCTGGTTCCTACGCAGGCTTCTGCTTGAAGGTTTCTATTCCTGTATACTATGATTTTCTGTGTCTACCTGCCTATCTCTCCAACTTTTGGGGCAGTGGTTTGCCCTGTCACTTTACTTCTCTACTGCATCCAAGAAGAATTGTTGGTTTTTCCATTTGTTCAGCTTTTTAGTTGTTAGGAGCGAGTGACAACAACTAAACTCCTTGCTTGCCCAACTGGCTAAATGTTTATTTTTCAAATGCATTTTTATGATAAAGACACTATGGAGTCATATCAGTTGTCTCAACTGGACAGAGTTAATGTGCACCTAGCATTTTCTCAGTGCACGCTGAAAGTACAGCTTCTCCAGCTGAGTGCTTGGAAAGTTTTTGGTTTTTGTTTCTAATGGCACGAAGTTGTCTTCATAACTAGAAAAGATGGGGAATTATTTCACTAAAGCACTTTGGTTGCCTTTTCTAAGTCTAGGGTCAGTGGGAAGTAAGAAGGCATAATATTAATTAACTGATTTTTATTTGAAGAGGTTACTGGAGAAAGTAATAGTATCATGTTGCTTAATTCCACCAGGAATTCATGCCATGTGACCTCAGCTGCAGGGCCCCAGTGGGAACAGGATTTCTTCCCTCCTGCTCTCTACTGAGGCCCTGCCCTCATCTCTTGACCACAACCTTTAACCTGCTTTCTCAGCTTCTGCCTATCCCTCTTCTTTCTCTCTTGTTTGCCAAAGCCAGCCGTTCTGCCTGGACTCCATCCATCCTGTTGTCTAGATTCCTTACCCACCATCATCTCCTCTCCAGTTGCGTGTTTTTTGCTTCACTGCTGTTTCATTCAAATAACGTGGGCTTGTTTTGTTTTGTTTTGTTTTGTTGGTACACTTGCTGTGTAGCAGAAACATCATTCCCTCCTCTAACAGATGTGTTCAGGCCTGCCTCCTCTGCTCATGGTTATGATAATTAAACCCTTACCCTGTGTCAGACTTGTGCTAAGTATTCATCTTGCATCATTTACCACTGACTAGTTATGGGACATTGGATATGCTATCTACATTTTCTAAGCATCTCTAAAAAGGGAACATAACTTCGTAAGGTTGTTGTGAAGATAAAAGTAAAATAATGCTCGCAAAGCACTTAACACAGGGCCTGATATGTTGTACACACTCATTATAGATATGGCACAGGAGGCTCACCCATGAAGAAAGGGAGAAAAGTCATTGTCACCACTGTTTCCTCGTGATTTGCTTCTGCAGTCAGTCCTTCCAGGCTGCTGTTCTCTCACTCCTTTTACCGAATCACCTTCCTCCAGATCAGTGCTTCTCAACCTTTTTTTCATTGTCACCATATAAGGAGAAACATTAAGATAAATTAACTTAAAAAAAATTTTTTTTTTAATTTATAGAGATGAGGTCTCACTATGTTGTCTAGGCTGGTCTTGAACTCCCAGCCTCAAGCAATCCTCCTGTCTCAGGCTTCCAAAGTGCTGGGATTATAGGCATGAGCCACTGTGCCCAACCAACTAACTTTAAATTAAAATTTTCTCCCTAATGGGATAAATATCAAGGAATAAAATTTTGGGGATGTAGGATTGAGCTTTGGAGGGCCATAGACCAATGTAATCTAAGAAATGTTTTACTTGTATCCCCTGAGAACCAGCTTCTACTCCCTAGTGGGGGCAATGTCCCTCCAAGGAGAATGCCCACGTTAGACCCCCACCAGTGTTTTCTTTGCGAAATGCACTAGCTTTTTCTGGACTTCATCATTCTTGGTCTCTCTTAACACCTCTTAGCTCCTCTTGCTGCTGCTTCTGTTATAGCTTCATGTCTGCTTTCCTGGCTTCATCAACCATACAACAGGGACTGAGCGTCTGCTGTGTGCAGAGATGTCCAGGACAAGGGTCATGTGTAGGGAGAGAGAGAGACACCCAGCTTTGCTATAGCAGGAAACCAACCAGGGAGTGGTGGGCAGGAGTAAAGTCCAGTGGGAGCCCTGAGAAAGGAATGAACTGAGGCTGTCTAGACAGGGGCAGAGGGTAGTGTGTGTGTGCTGGGGCATAGAGGATGCAGCAGCAGGGCAAAGAGAGGTAGCCTGGGACACTACTGCCTCGGGATGGTGAGAGAGCCCGGGCCTTAAATGATGCTCTCCCTAATGATTTTTTGTTTTGTTTTCCCATAATCTTAATATATGACCTTAAAAATAACAAGTGCCACTTTTTGAGAAACTTTGCTTCTGGGAAAGAGGCAGTGAGAGCAGAGCATGCAGAAGTCTGGAGCCTGAAAGCATGAAATCTCATGGCAGAGCAGCAGGAGTGGCTGGCTGGAGATGGGGCTGTAGAGCCAATATGTGCCTGGCCGACAAGGGTTTGGAACCAATTAAATGGTTTTAAGTAGGTGCGTCCTTTTTGTCTCTCAGATCCTGTTTTCTCTCATTTTTCCATTTGCCCTAATTTACAATATCACATGTCCTGCAAACAATATTGATCTTTCACCCTGTGCCCTTCTTCCTTCATCCATTCCTTCCCTTTAGAGAACCTCCAGGTCTTTGCCCTTTGGTAGCTACAGTACCAGCCTCCTTGGCCCCTTCATATGAGTTCATTCCTCTGGTCACCCAGGCTTGAAATCATGAAATGATCTAATGCCTTTTTCTCATTCTCTGGTCAAGAAACCACAAGCAGGGCTTATAGATTTGCTCTCCCTCTGGCACTGCCCAGGTTCACCCAGGCATTCCACAGATATTTCCTTCCCTCAGCCATATTTCCTCCCCTGTACCTCCCTCCTTTTTCTTCCTCACCCCCCTTCCTTCTTTTTTCCTTCCCCCTTCCCTTCCTTCCTCCCTTTTCTTCCACTTTTTTATAGGCAAAATTTATTGAGCGAAGAACGATGCTGGTTGTCTTGTATACATTTTTTCATTTAAACCTCACAGCAACTCTATGAAATTATAGATTATTATCATCCCATTCTGCAGATACGGAACGTAATAATCATACAGGAAAGGTAATTTCTCCAAATTCACACCGTTAAGCGAGAATTTGGGGAAACCTGTGAGGTCTGACACTCCCCACCAAATTAGGCTTTTTCACTGAGAATGCTGAAATAGGACACAAATTGCTCTCTCCTCTTCCTTTTGTTCTCCACTCCAAGCCATCCCAGGTATCGCTGGGTATAATCTTTCGACAGCACGAATGTACTCATGTTACCGTCTTTATAAAAACTTCTTGGTTCATAGACTAACTGCACCAACATCCAAGCCTCCCACTGTATGGCCTGAGTTTCTATCACTTTGAAGAAATCAGCATGTAGGGAAGCGCATGGGATTTGGTGCCCAAAGACCTGGGTTCAATCCTGTGGCCACCACTTCCTAGCTATGTGACCTTGAACAGATAATTCATTTCTCTGAGCCTCATTCATATATTCATTCAGTGAATATTTATTGTGTGCTTTCCATGTGCTGACCACTGTGTGAGAGTTCCACATATTCATGAGTGAAGAAAATGGGCATGATCCCTGCCTTCCTTGGCAGGGATGCATAGGTGAGGATGATAAGACCCATCTTCTGGGACCGTTTTGAGGAAGCGACAGGTAATTTGCACATAGTACACCTGGCTGTATGGAAGACGCTACTCAACTGAGGTTGTGCTTCTCTGTTCTGCTCTAGGAAAGTTTCCTGCCCATTTCTGGCTCTTTGCTTTGTCTTGTGCTCCTCCTAACCTCCTTTACCTTTAAACATCCAGTGTAGTCTTGGTGGCTCAAACGAAAAGGTCTCCTAGACCTTTCCAGAACCTCCCTCCATAATATGAAGTTACATTTGTTTATTGAGATATTCAAGAACATTTATTAAATACTTTTTAAAACTGTTTTCAGTGTGTGGTACATAGACCCTAGGGGTCTCCATGATCCTTTCAAGGAGTTCACAAGGTCAAGTTTAAAATCATATTAAGATATTATTTGACGTTTTCATTGTGTTGACATTTGGAATGATGTTACAAAAACAGAGGTGGATAAAACTGCTAATTAAACAAGGCAGTAGTAATATCCCTTATCATCACACACTCAAAAAAACCAAAATGCCATTTTCACTTAAGAATGTCCTTGAAGCAGTAAAAATTAAGTCTCATAATTTTGAGAGCACATTTAAAAAATTCTCTGTGACATAATAAGGAAACTAAAGCTCTTCTGCTGGTAATAAAGTATGTCTCAAGGAAAAATGCTTGTGTGATTATTTCAATTGCAAGTTGAACCTGCCATCTTTTCACCTGACACTGCTTTTGCTTGAAAGAATGTCTGACAAGCTCTGATTATTCAGACTTGGATATTTGGCAGACATTTTCTCAAAAAAGAATAGTCTGTCACTTCAAGAAAAATGATTATATTTATTGCTAAAATAATAAAAATTCAAGCCAAACTTGGAATTTTGGAATACTTGTATCTGCCACCATGAGCTTGACCACTTCCCCATATTTCGACTTTGCTGATGAGATCAGGGATGACGTTAATGAGTACATTTTCAATATTGTATAATGTAATGTGTCAACATTTGGAAAACCTGTATAATTCAGTGAACCAATATTTTTCAGTGAACAATGTGTGATGTTAAAAACTCTGCATGGGTTAAAGTTCTGTTCCAATGCAAGAGAGACTAATCAATTTTAATATAGCAGAATACGGGAAGTTCATTGAAAGGATTTCAGCCAGCCTGTAAGAAGCCACTACTTATCAAGTTTTGGTTTAGTTTCAAAGAAGAATATCCACACATACCTTAAAAGACTTTTCATCTGTATCTGTGTGAGGCCAGACTCTTCATACACTAAAACTACAAAAACATGTCACAAAAATTGGATTTAGAAGCAGAAACCAAAAAAAACCAGCTGTCTCCTATTAAAAAGGTGTGCAAAGAGAATTGAAATTAAAGAGATTTACAAAACTGTAAAACAATTTTCACTAAAATTTCTTCTGTTTTGGAAAACATTGTTTTTATAAATGTTTTTGCCAAGATCTAATGAATTTATTACTATTATATTTTAATGGATTAATAAGTATTTTTTAATTTCTCAGTTTCAATTTCTAACAGTATATATCAGATTAAGCTAGTAATTGAAAGCTTTTTGGGATTATCAATTTTTTAGGGTCCTGAGACCAAAAAGTTTGAGAAGTACTATAATAGAACTATCTGTAAACAGTTCTAGTTGCTGGTATACACATGAAAACTAAGTCCTCTAGCAAAGTTTATCCATGAACGTCACTGTGGTCTGGGTTCATTGGCAGTACCTAACTAGATACAAAGTCAGGACAAATAAACATGAAATGATTGTAGAATACTATACAATGCTCTGCTGTTTATGGCCAAGCCTGGGGATTTATTATCCTAAGTACAGTAAAGATGTGAAGAAGAGCAGTTCCCTGGAGAGACAAATAAACGTGTCTGCCATGCCTTATAGCCCCTTCTTAAAAGGCCCAGTTTCTGCTAAGGGAAGCAGACTCAGACTATTTGGTAAAAATGGGTAGCCATGTTCCTAACTATAGTTGACCCTCGAACAACACAGAGTTTAGTGGTTACAACCCCCATGCAATCGAAAATGTATGTATAACTTTTGGCTCTTCAAAAACATTACTATTAATAGCCTGCTGTTGACAAGCCTTATTAATAACATATACAGTCACTTAACACACATTTTGTATGTTATATATATTACATAATGCATTCTTAGACTAAAGTAAGCTAGAGAAACGTATTAAGAAAAGCATGAGGAGAAAATATATTGACTATTTATTTATTTATTTATTTATTTATATTTTTTTTGTGAGACAGCCTTGCTCTGCCGCCAGGCTGGAGTGCAGTGGCATGATCTCGGCTCACTGCAACCTCCACCTCCCGGGTTCAAGCGATTCCTCTGCCTCAGCCTCCCGAGTAGCTGGGACTACAGGCTTGTGCCACCACACCCAGCTAATTTTTTGTATTTTAGTAGAGACGGGCTTTCACTATGTTGGCCAGGATGGTCTCGATCTCCTGACCTTGTGATCCACCCACCTCAGCCAACCGAAGTGCTGGGATTACAGGCGTGGGTCACCGTGCCCAGCCAGATTTACTATTTATTAAGTGGAAGTGGATCATCATAAAGGTCTTCCTCCTCATCATATTCACACTGGGTAGGCTGAGGAGAAGGAGGAAGGGGAGGGGTTTGTCTCGCTGTCTCGGGGTGGCAGAGGGGGATGGGGAGGCAGGAAGACAGGGTAACTTTATGGAAATACATCATAATTTCTGTCTGACCTTTTTCTCTTCCATTTCTCTAAAAATATTTCAATACAGCAGTGGTCCCCAACCTTTTTGGCACCAGGGACCAGTTTCGTGGAAGACGGTTTTTCCATGGCCAGTGGTCACAGAGGGGTTGGGGATGAAACTGTTCCACCTCAGATCATCAGGAGTTAAGTTAGATTCTCATAAGGAGTGTACAACCTAGATTCTGCGCATGCACAGTTCACCATAGGGTTCGTGCTTCCTAAGAAATTGATGCTGCCGCTGAGTCCACAGGAAGCAGAGTTCAGGTGGTACTGCTCGCTTCCTGCCGCTCACCTCATGCTGTGCAGCCCAGTTCCTAACAGGCCACAAACAGACCAGTCCATGCCTGGGAGTTGGGGACCCTTGGTGTAGGGCATTGGAAAGCAAACAGGAGAGGGCAGACTGAGGCAGAAAGTGAAAGGAACCTCCTATAAGTTCTTGAACATGGGAGCAAAAATGGAGTTTGGGCAAGGGTGGGCTAGTTTAATTAGTAGGATGGATCTGAGGAAAGGGCATTTGAGCCAAAGAGGCTGGTTTCAAGACCACCGTGGTCATCCAGTGGTGCCAGTGGAGACGCGTGTCACCTCAGCCCTGTTTACAGTAGAAATTGATAAGCCTGGCCGGTGCAGTCACCTGAGGAAGATCTTGGCTCCGAGGGGATGGTTCTCTCGTTAAATGCTATGTGCCCGCCATGATATGGGTATGTCGTGCCCTGGTTGACTGGAATTGGACTGATGGTTATTTTTTCCATTTCCCATCCTATTTTCTAGGTCAGAACCTCTTCTGGCAAAGTGTAGAGAGTTTAACTGGGAATCATTTGAGTGAAATAAGTTGGGATTTTTCAAAAGTCAGAACTATCACAGCAAGGGACTGTTTTCCCTAAGCTGCACACTGCTAGTTGTCTTCTATGGAGTGAGTGTGGAGGGTTACATTTTATTTTTGTGTAGTTCATACTTGAGTTGTTTGGCTTTCACAGGTGATTTAATTTATGGTTTTGTGCTGCCTGACTTTGAATCTCAGTGTTCAACAAGCCATGGGACTTCTTGCTTCTGAATGGTCTTGTGTGGTACTTGGTGAAGCATTTTGGGAGAGTATTTCCACCTTCCATTGACATACAAAGGGCAGGGGGTCTCTGCCTTTCAAGAACCTGTATCTTAATGGCAGGACAAGTTAGGTATGAGTAGAAAAATAATTTTGGAACTTATTCTGATGAGCATGATTGTCTGTGTTTTATCACTTAATTTTTAACTCATGATGGTATAATCCCATTGAGAATGAGCCAGGGATTGAAATGTGGTTAGCTGAGGTAGGAAGCTGACTATCTGATTTAGTTTGGATGTTTGTCCCCTCCAAATCTCATGTTAAAATGTGATCCCCAATGTTGGAGGTGGGGCCTAGAGGGAGATGTTTGGGTCATGGCAGCAGATCCCTCATAAATAACTTGGTGCCCTCCGCATGGTAATGAGTGAGTTCTCACTTTATTAGTTCACGCAAGAGCTGATTGTTTAAAAGAACCTGACATCTCTCTTGCTGTCTGGCTCACCAAGTGACACACCTGTTCCCCCTTTGCCTTTCACCATGAGTGGAAGCCTCCTGAGGCCCTAACCAGAAGCAGATGCCAGCACTATGCTTCTTATACAGTCTGCAGAACTGTGAGCCCAATAAACCTCTTTTTTTATCTAAATTATCCAGCCTCAAGTATTACTTTATAGCAACACAAAATAAACAACACTACCCCATTTCTATTGACCTTAGCAAAATATTGGCCATTAAGTAATTGACTTTACCTATCTGCACCCCACCTATGAAACACTGATAATTATAATACTTATTTTATAATGTGGACATGAGAGTTACATGAACTAAAGCATAACCCAACTAGTAAATACATATTTATTGAGTGCCTACTATCTGTCATACACTCTGTATTGAGGTCATACTGGAAAACATGATTGACATGAGCTCATAGGAAAGTGCTTACAGACATACCTAGTATGTAGTAAAATAGTCGTACTCGTTGTTATTATTTGAGAAAGGTACACTCAAGTTCAGGAATTCTTTAACGAACCAGAGTTAGCTAAAAGAAAGGTATGGAAATGCAGGCCTCAAGCAGAAAGCATCCTGAGTGTGCCAGTCTCAGCAGGGAATGGTTGTCCTTGAAAAGGAAAGACTGGGTTATCTGAATGTGCAATGTGAAAAGAGTATGTGTGTCGGGCTTTTCACATACACAGCATTCAGACACTGGGGATAATGTAGTATATGTTTAGCCTGACAAATAAATGAATCCAAATAAATAGATATGTTTAGCCTGCCAAATAAATGGATGTCTTTTGTCAGTAGGGCATTTATTTTCATCATAGGCACATAGAAGGCATGGTTTTCTAAATCGGTCACATGTTAAATTGTGAGCCTGCATTTCATAAGAATTCAATAACATCGATCATAAGAAGGGTATGGAGATTAAACAGAAGAGCCAGTTTTCAATTATTAAATTCTGAATTTTAATTGTACCCGTAGGAGAAAGTATTCTTGTGAGTTCAGCTTCACATTCTCATACCATTTAGTTTCCATGTGCATATTTTTGCATAGCTGGAGTTAGTGTATTTATTCTCTGTTGGTCTGCCTGCCTTTGCATCTGACCTTGGTTCATGTTGCCCTTTTCCTGTGTCCTCACACTCCACATCCTTTTTCTTGTAATGGCAATAAAGGAAACTCCTGTGCTGATAAGTGGCCATTGGTTCAACTTTTCATCCAAATACTGGATATTTGGGTTGTTTCCAGCGTTTCACAGATGAGAACATATTTGCTATAAACCTTGTATCCAGAGAGCTTAGTCAGCAGCTTATTAAACACCTTCTGGAATGGGACTCTCTGCCAAGGTTTTTGAAGTGATACCAACTCATTAAATTAAGAGTCCTGAGAACTGGCATTCAGGATTTCCTGAGACAGCATCTTATTCTTTGGCTTATTTTTTCTCATACATTTAATCAGCAGATATGTATGGACGACCTAGTGAGTGCCACAGAGTGTACTCAACACAGGTAAGCAAGATAGAAAAGGTCTCTGACTCGCAGTTCAGACAGCAGCCTGCAGAGGCAAGGTGCGTGCGGTTGAAAAAGAGATCATCATGGTGGGCTGCCATCTTGCAGGCATGGTGTCCGTCAGACTTCTAGGTGGAAAGTGGACCTTTGGTCTGGGTACATCAAATGTCAAGAAAAGGTGCAGTGTAACTAACTGCGGATGGCAGGGTTGGGAACCGTCAAAATTGCAGGATATTAAAAAGCAGTGCAGTTTTTGTTGTTTCCAAATCAGGCCAACAAAGAGATTACTGTTTGAAGCTGCATGGGATAGTAAAAAGCGCAAGGCCTTTGAATTCACACGTCCTAGATTTGAATCCTAACTCTACACTTGTAGACTAGGTTCTAGGAAAAACATTGAAACCCTGTACCCCTGTGTCCTTATCTCTAAAATGGGTATCGTATTTTCTGTACTTTGGGTTGTTTGTATCCACAGTGCTTAGTGAAATGCCTGCCTCAGCAGTTGGTTGTTGTTAGAAAAAAAGAAAAAATGGGTTGGCAGGTAGGTGGGTGGATGGTTGGATGGTTGGTTGGTTGGATAGATGGATGGAGCGACCACTCTGGATTGAGAAAGCCGAAGGGCCTCTGTGCTAAATGATATAAATATAGCTGGAGCAAGTCATACTTGCCCTATAAGCTTGAAGTTTGCTAAACAAAAATTTTCTCAATTCTACGTTAGAGGAGACCAAATTAAGAAGCCTTAAGCCTTTCTTTTGTCATCTTATATATATCAAGACTATAAGTAACAGAAAAGCTGAACTAATTTGGCCCTAACAAGTAGGGAGTTGTTTCTCCACATCTTCATAAAGCTTAGAGGAGGCAGCTGCTTCTGCTGTTTGCCATGAAAGACCTATGCTCTTTTCATCTCTGTGATCCACCGTCTTTATTGTATTAAGTTTTTTAAATTGAGACATGCTTTCTCGTGGTCAGCAAGTGGCCGTCACAGTTCTGTGCCTCATGACCAGTTTCAAAGTTGGGAATCAAGGAGGCATGGATCACACTACCCCTGGCTTTTGTGAGGAAGCAGAATCCTTCCCCAGCATTCTCCTGTCATCTCCCCTCAGGCCTCATTGGAGTGAGCAGGGCAAAGACCCACCCTTAAACTACAGCTCCCATCTCTCCTGAGCTCACAGGGTCTCTATTCCAACAAGCCCAGGTTCTGCTAGCAAGGAGATGTTGAGGACTCTCTGGTGGATGGACAACCTTAGGTTGGCCACATTTTCACAAAAGTAATAAGCGGGAAGCAAAAGCAGACATTAAAGTTTAGTGGATATGGTTTACTTGTAAGACTTTATTATCTGGGTTAAGGGATTCAGGATTTGCGAGCCCCCATTTGGTGCCTTAAGATTCTGTTTATGCTGAGGAGAAAGGTTTTTGTGCCTGTTATGTCTCTCTATGAGAGTTTATCCCCCCTCCTCCGTTTTGGATGGCAAAAGAAAAGAGTAAACGAATTCAAAAGAGAAATATTTTCTGGAGTCAAGTGGTGGGCCTCTAAAAAGCTGCAACAGTGACTAATGCCAGAAACTGTGTGCTGAAACTGGTCAAAGAACTGTTAACAAAATACTTCCCCAACAAAGTGAGTGAAGAGAAAAACATGTGAAACAGTGTTTGAGGAAGGAGGGGACAGGGAGGAGGGCTGGCAGTGAAGCTTTGCAAAAGAGTGCAGGAATTTGGGGGTCATTCAGAATGTCACCAGTGTGGGGTTTATGTTGGCTCTTCCCAAGTTCATTATTCAGAGAACAGCGGAAGAAAGCCACTTGCACAGCCCGAGAGGGATGCAGACTGCAGTGGAATTAAGTCCAGAGTTAAACTGCACAAGCACAACATTCTAGGAGGCCAGATTTGTAGTTTAAAAAAAAAAAAAATCAAAGTGCTTGACTTGAATGACCAAATACTTAGTATTTGATATCTACCGTTTTCTTCTTTTGGACAAACCACCTAACAAGTTAAATTCCCAAACAATTGAATAGGATTTCACATCACAAAGATCAAAATTTTTAAGCTTTAAAGAAATACATGGAAATCAAAGTTCACCAAGACTTGCAGATGATTTATTGCATTTTATTTATTAAAGAGGTAAAAGGGCAGAACTGATACCCATCTGTGTTTTCTATTTATGTTATCACTAATGTTAGAATTTGACCAGATCTTTGAACTAAGCTGAGTCTGACTTATTTCTCAAATGAGTCAGGATTAAGAATATCCTATTTTTACACAATGATTCCAAAGTCTTATATATAAAAGATCCAGAAAGATTATGCTTCAAGAAAAGGAGAAAAGACACAGGAGACAATTTCCAGTTGACTGAACTCTCTGAAGCTGAGGTTTGCTAAGAGTCCAAGGTGGAATTCACAGAGTGACATTGGTCTCTGTGGGGTGGTATTCACTGTCACACTGGGAAAATGTCAGAGGCTGGGAGAACGACTGTCCCCTGGGAGCTAACTCTGTCCACTGAGTGTGTCATGATAAATGGGTTTCATTCATGAAGGAAACACTGCTCTTCTGAAAAGCACCAATACTGGCCAGGCAGCCAGAAAACCCAAATATATTGGAGACTCCTGGCAGAAGGGGCCTGAACTCCCTTCTAGTCTCTTCCAAGGAGTTGTCTTAATATTCCACAGTGTTTTCTGTGGCTGCTAGGCCCAAACTGCATGGAACCATACAACAAAAGTTGTGTGGCAAACTACTTGGCATTGAAATCTGAGCCAGCCTTATTCAGATACAACTGGAGGGGAGAAAAACTGCCACTACCACAAATAAGGCAGACAATGTCTTTATTAGCTTAATTCTGCAAGCATTTTTTAAAGGTAATAAAGCCTTGAGGCTTTAGTTAGAGGCAAAAGACTACAGAACATGCCAGAT
Source organism: Homo sapiens (assembly GCF_000001405.40). NCBI lineage: Eukaryota > Metazoa > Chordata > Mammalia > Primates > Hominidae > Homo > Homo sapiens. Next base: position 67,792,536 of record NC_000001.11, on the reverse strand, counting down.
GCTTAGTAAAAATTCAGAATGTAGCCATGAGGTTTTATATATCAAAACACCCCAATGGGCAGATACCAGAATCTAGGGGGTAAGGCATACGTAGTTTAAAAATCATGCCTTATCTTATGATTCACTTGGGGAAAGAGGAAATGTTTATTTTTATAATACGAACATCAGAAAAATCAAGTTCAATAAAATATTTCTGGCCAGTTGAGAATATGCATTCATTCAGTAACCAAAAAATGTGTATTTTTTCTTGAATGCCTAGCCTGTGTCAGGCATTGCCTCAGGCACTGGGAGTGCAACGGTAAACAAACAACATCCTTTTCTTACGGCATTGACATTCCAGTGAAGGAGAGGGAATAATTCAATAGATAGAAAATAGAGTGCCAGGAAGGGGGAAGGGGTACGTACCAAGAAGAAAAGCAAAGCAGAGTCTGGGAAGAGAGAGTAGGGCCTTTCTGAGGAGATAACGCTTGACCCAGAGACCTGAAAGAAGTGAGGCAGTGAGATGTGCAGGCCTGCAGTGTCTGTGAGAAGTTTAAGCAGAAGGAAGAACCTGTGTCAAGGCCCCAAGACAGAGCATTGCTTGGCAGATTTAAGGAGAAGAGGGGTTAGTGTGGCTGGATAGAGTGAGCCAAGGCCAGTTCTCATAGCTGCTGATGGGCCAAGGAGTGGACGTGAGTAAGTGTGTTAAGTATGCTGAGAATCTGTTGGAGAGTTTTGAGCTAGGGAATAATGACTGATGGAAACTAGATGGGGGGTTGAGGAGGGAAGCAAGTGTGAAGCCCAGATCAGCAGAGGGAACTCTTTAAGTCATCCAGGCGAGAGATGCTGCTAGTTTGCCCAGATGGGAGCAGAGGAGATGCCAACGCATGATTGGATTCTGGAGGTATTTTGAAGGTAGGGCTGACAGGATTTGCTGATTGATGGGATATGCAGTTGGTGAGAAAGGAGCCAAAAATGAATGAAGATTTTGACTTGAACAAGGGCATGAATGATGGAGTCCTACTGGTACCATTGATGTCCCCTGGGAGCCCCAAGAAGGGAGAGCAGTGTGGGAGATGATTGTGGCCAAGGCACAATTGTTTGTGATGCCTTACTAAGCATCCTAGGGGAGATGTTAAGAAATCAGTCAGACAAGTAAGTCTGACGTTCAAAGAGCAAGCTGAGACTGGAGATAGAGATTTGAGAGTCATCAGATTTGAGGAAGAGGAGAGAATTCAGCAAAGGAGACTGAAAATACATATCACAGTTTGCTAAGACACCTAAGGATGGGTATATCAGAATCTGATTAGGGAACATAAGGTTATCAGAAATGAGTGTGAATTTTAAAAGATTAAGAAAAACTGTATTTACATCATCATATCCACAATTGTTCCTGGAATTAGGAGATACATGTTCACAGGAGTAAAAGCTGGCTTTGACAAATAAGATAAATAGAACTGAATTTCAGAATTAACTCTTGTGTTACCCTTCCCCTGAGCCACTATGAACATTTCAGTTTTAGAAAATTAGATATAAATAAGTACATCCAGAGTGTGTTTTTCATTTATGAAAAATCTAGGGCGCTTCAAGTAAAGAAATAATCCTTGTGGGAAGGAAAACAAATACATATAGGAATAAAGTATGGGCTGGGCATGGTGCCTCACACCTGTAATCCCAGCACTTTGAGAGGCCAAGGCGGGTAGATCACGAGGTCAGGAGTTGGAGATCAGCCTGACAAACATGGTGAAACCTTGTCTCTACTAAAAATACAAAAATTAGCCAGACGTGGTGGTGGCGGCACACGCCTGTAATCCCAGCTACTCAGGAGGCTGAGGCAGGAGAATTGCTTGAACCCGGGAGGCAGAGGTTACAGAGAGCCGAGATAGTGCCACTGCATTCCAGCCTGAGCAACAGAGCGAGATTCCATCTCAAAAAAAAAAAAAAAAAGGAATAAACTATGGCCTATGCAGTCAGGGGACCTTACGATCAAGTTGTCGATGCAGATACATAAATACATCACCAACAGGGGATCTGAGGAAAAGGGATAGGCACAGAAGTGGCTGATTTGACAGATAGAACGTTATTGAATGCCCTGAGCTGCCTTTAAATCTCCCTGCTGTGGTATAGTGGATGACAGATTTTTTTTCTTGGCTCTGGGTTTTTTTGGCTAGTACAATGATTATATGCTTGTATATTTCCCTAAACGCTGGGCAGCAGATTGTTTGTGTAGTTCAGAATGTATGTAAAAATGTATGTAAAATGGAAAGATCTGTAAGGATGCCTGGTGGAGGCGGGGGTGCAAACTAATATTACAATAGAGGCAGCAAAGGTGGCTTTACCCAGGAAGCAGGTGGTAGGTATAAGAACAGGTGGGTTGTACTGGATATGCTGGTTTTCTTCAGAATTGTCTTCCTGTTGAGTTGTGGCTTTGAGTGGACTGTGTTGAACACATTTGAGTGTTTTGTTTTTGTTTTTTAATAAGCTGTTGATCTCTTGATGATACAGGAAAAGATGAGCAAGTCCTTAGAATCTGTATATCTTACTTCTTTGGTTTTCGATGACAGAAAAATTTCTTTGCTAATCCATATTTTGGTAGCTAGAGTTTAAGACTAAACTATTCTGCGGAGTCAAAGCCCCAAAACTAGCATGGGATACTTTATAGCACACCCACCTCACACATCTGTGAATGTGCAGGTCTTGGAGGGAGGCTCACAGCCTCACCTGAGGAGCACTTCTCATTTTCTTCCTCTGAGTCCAAGGCCTGGGGAAGTGCGCTCATCTACACCAAAGGTCTGGCAGAGTGGAAACAAACCCTTCCGGCTCTTGTTTTTCTGATCCAGGCTCAGGGCAGTGCCCTTGGCTGCATCCTGCCCGATTGTGCCGCCTGACTCTGTAGCAGACATAACCTGAATATGTCTGCTGTGATTCTATCTATGTCTGATGCAAAGGTGTCGGCAAAAAGAGTAATAGCTTTAGAGAACTAAGCCTCATGGGCAAAATGTTTATTGTCAACATATAGCAAAATCTCAGTTACCTTGACTACTCCAATAAAACCGGAACTTTTAGAGGAATCATAGTTATATCATCAGTAAAAAATACTGCTAAATTTTACTCTTAATTTTTTTTTAGTTTTCTAAGGCTAATGAAAAGTGTTTTTAATATAGTTCCATTCAAATACAATTAGATGTTAGAAATATCTTTTCATCGAAAGCTAACCAAAAATGTGTTAGAAATCATTGTTTTTTTCTGAAAAAGATTCTAAGGCACATGTCCTCATCCATTCCTATGTCAGGATTCTCACCAAAGAGCATTAGCCTGGATGACGTTTCCTGAGCTTCCTGGGGGGATGCCTTTTGAATCGGGACTTAATAGCGGGCCCTTGGTCTTACCATTGAAGTCTTTCTGCATCTTCTGCAGACCGAAGGCCATGTCGCCTATTTTATTCATTACCACCCTTGTAAGGAAAGGACTGCTCTTGAAGAGCTTTTCCTTCCTTTTATTGGACAAGAACTGTGTGCCTCAGCTCTGAGCTCCCGCTGCTTTAGTCAACAGCACTGTAGCAAAAGCACAAGTATAGCCTTTATCTCATTCACTGTCCTCATCATTTTCTTTTTCGTAGTTCTGTATGGTCCCACCATCATTCATTCTATAAAGATTTGTCAGCCACTCTCTGCCTGTCAGATATTGCCACAAAGTAATATCCTTTTGTGACTGTATTTATTGGAAACTATAGTGCATTCTTGTTGTCTTCTAAACCTTCTTAAATCTGTCGAACAGTAAGAATGTAAGCCATTGCAATAAGTAAGGCATGGTAGAATTCCTAGTTAACAAAGATACATGAAAATGTGTATACTACTCTTCGTGTGTAAGTAAACTAATTTATTTTAGGAAGATTTTCAATGTCAAAAGTTAAAGCTGGCCAGGCACAGTGGTTCATGCCTTAAATCCTTATGCTTCGGGAGGCCAAGGCAGAAGAATGGCTTGAGGCCAGGAGATTAAGACCAGCCTGGAAAACGTAGCAAGACACTATCTCCTTAAAAAAAAAAAAATACAAAAACTAGCTGGGTGTGGTGAAGTGCCCCTGTAGTCCCAGCTACCAGGGAAACTCAAGAGGATTGTGTGAGCCCAGGAGGTAGGGGCTGCAGGGAACTGTGACCTGATCGCACCACTATACTCCAGCCTGAGTGACAGAATCAGACACTGTCTCAAAACAAAACAAAACAAAACAAATCAAAAAAGTTAAAGCTGAAAGATATTTGGTTAACTTTCAGTTAACAACAACAACAACTAATTTCAGACCACTCTTCTGGCTAGTTGCTGTGAAGTATGCAATTATTTGACGTTAGCACACAGATAGTAATCACTAAGCCCTCAGCTAGGCTTTTGCTTTGCAAATATTATTCAGTGTAAATTATGGCAAATTATATAGGAGCCTTTGAGAAGCCACTAAGCTATTCCAAAAGGTTCCGTGGTTCAAAGGATTCAAGTTAGCTTGGGGAGGTCAGTCACATGTAACTTTGCACCAGTTCCTATACAAAAACCTGTGTCATAAATCCCATTGCCCACTTCATGTGCCTCACAAACTCTGAGTAGGCTGACCAACCATCTTGGCTTGCATGGCACTGAGGGGATTCCTGGGACATGAGACTTTCAGTACAAAAACTGGGAAGTCCCAGGCAAAGCAAGATGAGTTGGTTTTTCCTAGTCAGAAGCTGGATCAATCAATAGAAAGGAATATTGATAAATACTGTCTTCTAAAAACAGCAACTTACCTGTAAAATGGAAATAATTCTGCCGTCCTCTTAGGGTTGTGAATAAGGCCTGCTCACTCTTCCTTTCTGTTGGGTTGGGTAGCTGGCTATTGGTTTTTCCTGTGAATTGGAAACCAGCATTGACTCTGATGAGGTTGTAGCCATGGTACAATTTATCTTCTTGCCCTCTCTCTAGAGGTCTATTACCTAAAAGGGCCTTGGCTGTCCCCCCTGTCAGTGCTCTTTCTGATGTGAAGATGCTAGAGATTCTGGGTCATTTCCGTTGGTCCTGTGGTTTTCACTACAGTTACCTCCTTTAGGTTTTGCCTGACTATTGCCTATTTGTTAATAAGGACTCCACTTGAGAACTCTTTGCTTGACTATTGCCTGTTAGTTTAATAGGACTCCACTAGAGAACTCTTTGCCCCAGTGCACCAAGCTCTTTGCATCCTTAGGGACTCACTTCCTCTCAGGCCTTGGCACAAGCTGTTCCCTCTACCTTACTTGTACCTCCCTCCTTTCCTCTTGTGGTAAACCCTGGTCATTCTGTACAGTTTAGCTTCCACACTGCTTCCTCCTGGAAGCCTTCTATGATCATTCCAGACTGGCATAAGTGTCCCCTGTGTTCTCAGAGTTAGTTGTACTTACTGCGATTAGATTATGTGCCACTGGAGCTATGGTGGCCTCGTGAGTTGTTTATATGACTTACTGTGGGTTCCTTGAGGAGGGGGACTATACACACACACACACACACACACACACACACACACTTATACACATACATATATACACACACACAGATATACACATATATATACATACACACACACACACACACACACACACACACACACACACACACACACACACATATATATATAAGTCTCTGTTACCTAGGCTGGAGTGCAGTGGCTCAATATCTGCTCACTGCAACCTCCACCTCCCAGGTTCAAGCAGTTCTCCTGCTTCAGCCTCCCAAGTAGCTGGGAGTACAGGCACGTGCCATCATGCCTGGCTAGTTTTTTTTGTTGTTGTTTTTGTATTTTTAGTAGAGATGGGGTTTCACTATGTTGCCCAGGCTGGTCTCGAACCCCTGACCTCAAGTGATCCACCCACTTAGCCTCCCAGAGTGCTGGTATTACAGGCGTGAGCTACTGCATCTGGCCCAGAGAGGGACTAAATTTTGTTCTCTGTTTTGTCTCTACCACCTTCCACATTGCCAAACACATAGTAGGTTCAGAGACACTCACAAGCAGCAGGATGGTGGAAGAGCCAACAAGCTACAAACCCTCTTCCTCTACAGTTTTCTTTGGCCTTGCTCTGTGGCTGTCTGTCATTGTCCCTCCAGTTCTCCTTGGGAGACACAGCTATGCTAGATCTTTCTCAAAAGAGCCCCATCCTCTCTATCTGGGGACCACCGTCCAATTTAGTGTTAGGTCTTAATTTGTCCCACAAGGCACTGGGCATGTTATGGAAATAGACACGAAACAGCTAACCTCAACTGCCAAGGGTTACATAAATATCAGTGGGGAGACACAGAATCTGAAAGTATTGTATAGGCTGGGGTATTCAGTTTTGTTTATTGGTATATACATGGAATAAAAATATTTCTACTGGTAACATATTTCAATAAAATGTTAAATCATCCCCACTTTTGAAGATCTCATGGCTCACAGGCTATACTGTATTAAATTCTGAATTTTGGATGTTTTCATTTCATAATTTGATCCAGATTATTTTTCTCCCTAGTTAACATTAATCATTTCCTGTGAATTTTCCTAGTATTAGGAAACAGATGTCCCATATTTTTATCTGAGTTTTTCCCAAATGCTGACCAAGACTTTAGTACTTGTGTGCTGTGTGTGTGTCTGTGTTGTGTACACAGAGAATTTTTGAGAAATAAGTTTTATCTGAATTTGCAAATAAAAGCATCACAGATATAGTTACATATTTATACAGATTTGTACATGGTTGGAAACATTCTTAGACATTCTGTTTAATGTAGTTTAGTATCGTTTGGCTAATGCAGACTTCCAGCCTAAGAATGCATTAGAAGTGTCTCATGATAGTATGCTTGCCAAAGTAAGGAATGGTGTAGCAAAGAGAATACAGTTAGTGCAACCTGTACTTTAATGCTCTTATTTTAATTACATTTTTTAAAAAACTGTTGTCTCTTAACTATGTAAAATTCTTCTCCCATATCTCTGTAAAACATCGAACGAGTGCTCCTCCATGCAGAGAAAGATGCCAGGTGATTTAGGAGATACAACTAAAATATGGACCACTGGTACCTTACCACCCAGTCAGAGAAGTGCAACACATTCCCAAATATCTGTGATAAAAAGTAGGAGGTAGAAAAGGTTGTAGAAATTCTAAGAGAAGAGTGGTTTCATTGAGCCAAAGAATAAGGGAATACTTGGGAGAAGAAGTGGTATTTTTGCCAGGTAAAAAATAATAATAATAATCAAGTAAAACTTAATTTAGGTTTAAATTATTTAAATTATTTTGCCTGTATAAAAAACTGTGTGAGGGTGGATCCGTTTTGTGAGCCATTGTTATAGTAAATTTGCTGAAATAATGCTAACATTTCTTGAGATCCTCCAGTGAAGTAAACATGGTTCTCTGATGCTGTGTGTAAAGGCTTTCTTATAGGAAACAATATAGAATTGGTGCTGTGATAATAATCCATTTTGCACAAAATACTTCTCTTCACTTTTACCTTGCAAGCTTCCTTTCACAAGGGGTCCTGTGACTCAGAGAAAGAGGGATTCAGAGTCTGGTTGTGGCCAGCTGCAGGATTCAGTGATCCTGTCTCAGTCACCTGGCCTGTTTGGATCTGTTTTCTCTGCCGTACAGGCAACATTGTTATACTCCCCAGCTCATTCACAGGGTTGCTATGATGATCAGCGTGGATATAAATTGACTTTGAGACACAATCAAAAGCCAAACATTTTGCCAAGAAGCAATATCATAGCTCTTGAGTAAGTTTATACAAAATATAGCTGTGACACATTATTTATGAAATGCTATATAAGTGAAAAGATACTTATCTTAAAATTGCGTAAGTTTTGGGAATCTATTTGTAGCAAATGCATATATTACCTGTTGATTACTGTGCGCTATAAAGAACTTATTCAAACTTACAAGAAAAACATCAGGATCATAGTATACGAATAACCAAAAAATATAAAATTAATTGTTTTTCGAGGTGACACACCATTAATAAACAAACATGTAAAAATGTTGATCCTAATGATCTTACAAATACAAAATAAAAGTCTTTTTTTTTAATAGAAATTGGCAAACTGCTTTTATTATTTATTTTTATTTTTTTAATTTTTTTATTATTTAAGTTTTAGGGTACATGTGCACATTGTGCAGGTTAGTTACATATGTATACATGTGCCATGCTGGTGCGCTGCACCCACTAACTCGTCATCTAGCATTAGGTATATCTCCCAATGCTATCCCTCCCCCCTCCCCCCACCCCACAACAGTCCCCAGAGTGTGATGTTCCCCTTCCTGTGTCCATGTGATCTCATTGTTCAATTCCCACCTATGAGTGAGAATATGTGGTGTTTGGTTTTTTGTTCTTGTGATAGTTTACTGAGAATGATGATTTCCAATTTCATCCATGTCCCTACAAAGGACATGAACTCTTCATTTTTTATGGCTGCATAGTATTCCATGGTGTATATGTGCCACATTTTCTTAATCCAGTCTATCATTGTTGGACATTTGGGTTGGTTCCAAGTCTTTGCTATTGTGAATAGTGCCGCAGTAAACATACATGCACATGTGTCTTTATAGCAGCATGATTTATAGTCCTTTGGGTATATACCCAGTAATGGGATGGCTGGGTCAAATGGTATTTCTAGTTCTAGATCCCTGAGGAATCGCCACACTGACTTCCACAATGGTTGAACTAGTTTACAGTCCCACCAACAGTGTAAAAGTGTTCCTGTTTCTCCACATCCTCTCCAGCACCTGTTGTTTCCTGACTTTTTAATGATCGCCATTCTAACTGGTGTGAGATGGTATCTCATTGTGGTTTTGATTTGCATTTCTCTGACGGCCAGTGATGATGAGCATTTTTTCATGTGATTTTTGGCTGCATAAATGTCTTCTTTTGAGAAGTGTCTGTTCATGTCCTTCGCCCACTTTTTGATGGGGTTGTTTTTTTCTAGTAAATTTGTTTGAGTTCATTGTAGATTCTGGATATTAGCCCTTTGTCAGATGAGTAGGTTGCAAAAATTTTCTCCCATTTTGTAGGTTGCCTGTTCACTCTGATGGTAGTTTCTTTTGCTGTGCAGAAGCTCTTCAGTCTTAATACTATTTTATGTATAAAATATGAAGATCTCAGGAACTGTGCATTATTTTGCTGGTGATATTATTGTATGCTAATAAAAACCCTTTTAAAAGCAAAAACCAGTAATTTCACCGTTAGGAATTTAGAGAAGCCAGAGAAATAAGATAAAAGAATGAAAAAGCTAAGCCATGAAGATGTCCATTGTAATCATGTTTGTGATAATAAAAACTGGCAGTAACTTAACTATCCAGCATTAGGGGATTGATTTAGGAAATTGTGGCTTTTCAACATGAAACACTTATGTCTATGTGTAGAAATACTGAAATATTTGAAATGAAATTTTAGAAAGAAATAGTAGCCATAATTCATGGAGTTCGTCCTAGTGGCACTGTGCTAAGATTTTCTTTTTTTATCCTTACAGCAAGTATATACAAAAGGTAATATTAGCCCTATTTTACACTTTAGGAAATTGAGGACTAGAGATAAATTGTTCAAGGACTTGCATCTCATTAGTTGAGGATCCGACATTCAAACCTAGATCTGTCCAATTTCAAAGCCTTTACTACTAATAGCATATAAACTATGGCCATAGTAACATAAAAACACATGTTTCTATCAAAGGTAACATGCAAAAATAAATAGCAGCACTAGACTGCTGGAAATATGGGTAAATTCCAAAGAAGCTTGCCATCCTTTTAAAACTGCCATTGTCCTTTCAGTACAAAAATGGGGAAAAAATTATGTTGAGTGTAACATTTCAATTTCTTGTTTACTCTTTTTCACTTATTCTCTTAAAGTGTGATGAAATAGGAATCTATGTGTATTTTTTTAAAATTTATACTGTCTTTGGCATTATCAGAATACTTTTCCCCCAACTTATCTGCAAGTTAGTTGAGTACATATACCACCAGTTCCTCAATTAAAAACAAAACTTTGTCTTCAGAAGCTCTCTGTGGATTAGGACAGTAACCAGGTAAAAAGAATTTCTCCTGATGAACAGCTTAGACCAGCTCTTCCAGCCAGGAGCCAGTCCCAAGGTGGAGATAATGGGGTGGTACCATTTGGTTAAAATAGGCCAGTTCAACCTTTCGGGGTGTACCATTCTCTGGGACAGAAGCCGTTGTACAATGGGGCAAAATGCCAGCATTTTAACCCACTGTTTTTAACCTTTGGAGCTCAAGAATGAATTTATAATTCTTTGACACATATAGTATTACTTTACAAAGTTGGTAGCCCTCCAAACATCTAATAAAGACAAATTTGTAGGATAGACTTAAAGCATAGGATATATTTCCCTCAACTATGCCCCAATTTTGTGGAGAATTTACCTTTTATCCCTACAGTAGTGTCCTTTATGTGTGTCAAAAGCCCTTTTACATCTGTTTTGCCTTTTGAGATAACATCATATCAGAATTTGCAAGTGAAACCATATAGTACCTGTGCTGTTGCATAGAGTAGCTGCCTCTGTGGCTGCTTGGCCACTTGAAATGTGGCTCATACAACTGGGGAAGTGAGTTTTTAATTGTATTTAAATTTAAAGACCCACATGTACCTATTATTGGACAGTATGGTTCTAGACTTCTTAATGCTTTCTTGACATCCCCCCTTGGATGTCTCAAAGTTAACTAGATCACATCAGAATTCTTGATTTTTTTCTTCCGTCAATCTGTTTTCTCCCTGAGTAAATGAAACCATCATTGACCAAGTTGCTTGACTCCCTGTATCCACTTCATCAGCAAGTCTTAATTGTTTTACCTCCAGAACCTATACTGAATTCATCTACTTCTCTCCATCTGAGGTACCATATCTCACCTGAACAATCAAATGGCCTCATACTTGGTCACCATTTGTTCACTATTGCCTCTTCAATACTCCTCCCTACAGCTGCTGAAGAGACCTTGTTAAACTCTTCATTAGGTCACTTCACTCCTTGCATGTATGAAAAAAATTGTAGAACTTATTGTTTAAAATGATCTTATTTACTTATTTGTATACGTGTTTGTTTGCTGTCCCCGATTACAATGTAAAGGCCTCAAGTCAAGAATGTAATATACTTCATTCACCACTGCATCTCCAGCACCTACAACCATCCCTAGCACATGATTTACATTCAGTATACCTCTCAATAATAAATAAATTAATGTCATTATTTCTTATCATGTAAGGAGATGATATGGCAAGAGTCAGAATACAGATTTATGGTTTGGTTGTTAAGAACAAGTGATGCTGACATCCGTCCATGCACATGGGAAGCTAGTGGATTCTTTTACATTCTAGATGCAGTATAAAGGGTGGATGTTATGGCTGACTGCATTTATCTGCAAGTGGGTAGGCTGGGCCACAATCCTAATACAATCTCTGACCAGGCTAGAGAGAGCTCCTTCTCTTCCTAGAGATCTGTATATGTTCTAGATCTTAAAACTTTTTGCCTTTCTCACTGTTAGAGGAAAGTATTCTTCTACAAGTTCAAATTCCATAGCCATCTGAGGGGAGTTTAGATAGTAATGGAAAGAAATATATCCTGGAACTCCAGGGTAGAAATATCCAAGCCATGTCCAGGCAGCCAAAGGAGATTTTTCAGCATGTGTCTTTTCTGGCAGTCCTTGATAATGGCCAGCCAAGACACTGGGTATGCTATTGCTTAAGCATGTTATTACTTAGTTCTACATGCAAAGTCAAATAAAACTGATGAACTTGGAGGTGTGAGCAAGTCTGCCAAGCTCCGAGTTGCTCCGAGTTGCTTCTTCTCCCTCTGGTATTGAACAGGCCTAGGAAGTGACCATCTCCTTGGAACTGGCTGGATTTAAAAGATGAAGTCAAAACTTGCTTTGTTAAAGTGTGTATTTGAAGATTCTTTATACTGGTGCGTTTTTATCAGGCCTGGGTTGATAGCCTTGGCTCCTATCCTTTCAATGCTATTCCAGTGTTTTCCTGTGTGTGTCTTTACTGAGTATCTACGATATACCAAGTACCTTACTAGGTCCTGGAGAGACAAAAATGAGCTAGACACATTATTAACCTTCAGGGATTCTGCAAACCTGTTGGGGGAGAAACCAATAAATGGAAATCTAAAATATAGGAGACACCAGAGTAAAGTAAGTGCAAGGGCAATGAGAGCAGAGGGAAGTGGACCCTAGTTGGAGGCAGGCATGGAGTGTGAAGTCTAGAACCAAATTGTCTGGGTTTACAATTTGACTCTGCCACTTACAAGCCATGTAACCTTAGACTACTGGCTTAACCTCTGTGCCTCAATTTGCTGTCCTACTAAATGGAATAATGAAAAGAACCTTCCTCATAGGATTACCAAGGGGATTAAAGGAGCATGTAAAGCACTTGAACAGTGCCTAGCACATAAAAAACCAGCTTTTAATATTACCAATAGTACAGTCATATGCGCATAATGAAATTTCAGTCAACTATAGGCTGCATCTGTGGCAGTGGTCCCATAAGACTATAATACCATTGGTACTGACTGAATGTTTTTTAAACAAAACAACCTATTTTAAAGATGATAATACCATGTTTTTACTATACCTTTTCTATGTTTAGATACACAAATAGCATTGTGTTATAGTTGCCTACAGTATTCACAACAGTAACATGCTGTCCAGGTTTATAGCCTAGACACAATAGGCTCTACCATGTAGCCTAGGTGTGTGGTAGGCTGTACCCTCTAGGTTTGTGTAAGTACACCCTACGATATTCACACGATGAAGTCCCCTAACAATTCATTTCTCAGAACGCATCCCCCTCCTTCAGGGACACATAACTATAGTAGTGTATAATTGCCATTTGAATTGAATGAATACTACCTTATTGGCGCTACTGCAGAGAAGTTGTTGCTGAGGCAGTCAAGGATGTTCACACAGGCTTCCCAGAGGTGGTGACTTTTGAACTGAGATGTGAAGACCCACTGATACTGTAGGGAAAGGACATGTTGGGCAGAAAGAACAGAATCCACAAAGGCATAAGGGGGTGTGCATTTTGGGACCTGTCAGTGAGGCGCCTGAGGGAGAGTCCAGGCATGAGGCCACAGGGGCTTTTTAGAGTAGTCTGAGGAGCTTGGCCTTGATCCTAAAACCTAGAGGAAGCCACGGAAGGATTTTCAGCAGGTTCAGGGCTCTCCATAGGAGACTGGGTGGCAGCACTTTGAGTGGCCTCAGCCCTACGGTGTCACTGACCAGCCTCCGTCTCTGTGATTTGGCAGAAAGCTCACATGTGGGGGTCTGATTTTGCTCACTGAGTGTGATTCTTTTGCGGCCTGTGGATTAATAAAGTGAAAAAGATGTGTTTTCTTAATTCTTTTACTTGATTCTTTCTAACTCCCTACCCCTGCTGAGACAGATATAGGGATATCTATCTAAAAGACCCATTTGAGAAATCTTTCAGCATCTGATGAAAGCATTAGGCCCTTCCCTCAGAAAAATCACCAAAAGAAGATTTTCCATGGACCTCACATTAACCTCCCCAGCCACCACCACTTTGGTCATCCAGACAAACCTCCAGACCCGGTGCAGCCTTTTCGACCCCACCTGCTGTGGTTTTTGTGCTCGGATCCCAAATTGTTTTAAATTTAATTTGCTGGTGCATCCAATAACTGTTCCATCTGCCATCACTGCTATTATCTAACCATGTTATCATGAGAGCAGACTTGGATCATTTGATGGTTATAATTAAAACTGAAAGTAATTATCTTATTTTGAGCTGTTCAAATTTAATTGAGAGGGTGGTGGGTAAAAGCATGGACTCTGGAGGCAAACGACTTAGATTTGAATCCCATCCCTGTCACCGTCTCACAGTCTTGTGTAAATAATGTAACCCCTCTGTGCCTCAGTTGCCTCATTACAAAATGAGAATAATATATTTACCTCGTAAAGTTATTGTGACGTTTAATTGGGGTAAGATGGGGGCATGCCAAGAACAGTTCCTGGCACATAGTAAGTGCTATATATAAGTATTTGCTGTCATTATGTCTGATTTCTGTTAAAATGACATCATGAAATGGGACTAATGATAGATGACTGAGAGAAGGAAAATAGGTGAATAAGATCTTCATATGCGTCGGACTTCTTGAAGCCTTACCAATACCTGAAGGCCAAGAATAGGTTCCCTAGACCTGTGCTGTCTAGTATGGTAGCCACTAGCCATGTGTGGCCATGGACTACTTGAAATGTGGCTAGCTCAAGTTGAGACGTACTGAATCTTGAAGATTTGGTCTAAAAAAAGTAAAATATCTTGTTAATGATTTCTGTATTATGTGTTAATAATATTCTAGATAAATTAGGTTAAATTAAATATTAAAATTAATTTCTTTTTTGCTTTTTAAATGTGGCTACTAGAACATTTAACATTATGATTAAATGTATTTTATTATAATTATGTATAGTTATAATTAATATATAATATACATAATTATATATTGTTAATCTATTATTAAATATATTCAATATTATGTTTTAATAGTATGTGGCTTGGGTTATATTTCTATTGAACAACACTACCTTAGGCTCATCATTATCAATTAAGACAAAAATCTGTGTTTATGTATATGATCAGAAAGCCACTGTTAGAAAGTCTTATACACTCCTCCTCTGCCCTTCAAGTTATGTTGGACCACCAGTATTTTAGGTGGTGTCTTAGAGAGGGCCATGGCTGGGCCCTAGCATAAAGAGATTGAGACCAAGGCAAGGGCAACGGCTAGAGAGGCTTCCCCTGACTTGGAGAGGTTTGGAAAAAACACTACCATTTATAGTTACGCTGGCCTCAGACTTTGAACACTCCCCAAAGTAGATGAGAGCATGCTCTCTCTATTCAGGAAGTTAAACTGTGTTGGCAAAAAATGTTCCCTCTTCCATCAGGAGCCAGAAAAAGCTTTTTTCATCTTTAAATACATGAATAAATGCTCAACGTTATGGCAGTCACTTGGGATCGAAAGCACACCCTTTCCAAATGTGATTTACTTATGGAATGTTTATTTAATTCTATTTCAGATTCATTCCACTTAAAACCTGAAAACATTGGACCACACAAAGTCTTACTGGTAAGTTCTTCATTTCTTAAACAAAGTGACTGTTTGACTTTATTTTTGAGATGATATTCACACTTCTAAGTTAGATGCTTCCCTACCAGTGCTATGATGAGATGTCTATTTATTTGTACTTTTCTTTAATCTCTATAATTTATGATGTTTCCATGCCTTAAAAAAACAGAGCAACCCATGTTCCTTTGTAAGACCATGGGCAGGATAAAGATCCATGATTACATGCCAAATACTACTAAAATAAAAACTTTTTTGGGTAATGAAACTATTTCCAGGCCCCTGTTGATGGGAGTATCCAAAACAACAGAGTGTTATTTCAGCCAGGGAATTCAGACAGTTTCTTGTAGTGTGTTGTAATGAAAATTGTCTCACAGCTACAACATAAAACATACTGGGGCTCTACTCTTTATTATTGCTCTATTTTTTTTCTCTCATCTCTCATCTCACCTAAATGTGATTATTGTGAGGTAATAGTTCTGCCATGGTAGAAAACTTCCTTAAGAGCTAGGAAAATAATGTACTTTTTAAAAGTGAGAAAGCTTCCGGGGCTTCATATAGCATCACTCCCTAATATTGTGGCTATACAGTTATTTGCAGTGTGTATCAGTTATATTATGCTGCATAACAAACCACCCCAAAATTTACTGCCAGCATTTTGAGTCAAAATTTACTGGCTCAAAATAACAATCCTTTATTTATCTTGCCATTCTGTGGGTTGGTGATTTGGGCTAGGCTCAGCTACGTGATCCTTCTCCTTTCACCTGGGACTATTCATGTATCTACAGGTAGCTGCAGTTCCATGTCAGCTAGGCTTTGTTTCTGGGGGTCACTGGCTGTCAGGTGGAGAGATAATGATGACTAAGCCATGTATCTCATCATCCTGCAAGTTACCCCAAGTTTGTTCATATGGTGATTGGGCAGGGTTCCAGGAGAGAGCAGAAGCATCTTGACACTGAGACTCAGAATTCACACAACATTGTTTCCAGTACATTCTGATTGTTAAAGCAAGCTATATGGTTAGCCTGGATTCAAGAAATATATGACAGAGGAGCTACAGGGTCCCATTTCAAGGAGCATGGATACAGGGAGGGGAAGAAATGTAGCCATTTTTGGCAATCTGCTATAGTGTTTATGGGGCACATGGAAACAGCTGTGGTGAATGAGAAGAGCATGGAGTGTGAGAGGACTTAGATTCCCATCTTATAGTCCCATTCCTTCACCCCATTCTGACTGCCAGCACTGTCAAATCTTAGTCTTACTTCTAGCCGTCTGGCATCTCAGTCAGTTCAACAAGTTCCTAGGCAGTCTTGCAAATACCAGGTTTTCTACCCTCCAGCCCTCCCTCCATTCTACACAGCACCACTACACTAGTCATTCTTCAGTTTATCTTTCAGGACGTTACTCCTCAAAAACCACCTCCCTCCCTACCTGCCATCCCCTACACCAGCCTAGGCTCTTCTCTAGCTTCTCCACTCATTTTCTGGCCCCATTCTCTCTTGTTCAAGTCCTGCTATTCCCTTTATTCTTGCCAGACAATCTGTTCAGTATCTCTCTTGAAGATATTTCATTCCACTTACCCCTTCTCTACCTGGAAATCCTTCCCATTTTGCAAGACCTACTGGAATTTTCCCTTCTCCATGACATGGCCTTCCTTTCTATTCCTGCCATCTGTGATCTTGCCTGCTCTGACTTCCTTCAAAGCCAAACAGTGCCTTCTTTGGCTCACTCTTTTTCACTTGTTTAGTCTTACCTCCTAGCTCCTACTCACTTCCCAGCTTCTTATTCACTTAGCTCTTTGAGAGCTAAAGGCGATATATGCCTGCCTTGTAGTACTTAGCACAGGGCTGAGGGTACAGCAGGTACTTAATCAACCAAGAAGAAGCATGGGCATTGGACTTGTCCATCCACCAGCAGCTCATCAGAATCACACAAGGCACCTGTTGAAATACAAACTCATACAGTCCCTTCCACTGGGCCATCTATATTCATTAGGTCTGGGGTAGACCCCAGGAACCTTAAAGCACCCCAAATGATTCTTTATTTTTTTGCTTTTACAATATCTTCATGACATTCAAAATTCTGATGATTCTGATGTGATTGCACTCTAGTTGGCAACCACTTGTTATGGGAAGAACAAGAAATTTATACAAAACCTGAGTTTGAGCCTGGCTCTGGAACCTTACTAACTCAGTCTTCCTGAGCCTCAGTTTGCCCATCTATAAAATGAGAAGAATGTTTAACTAGACAATTGCTAGGAAGATCAAAAAAGGCTAATGTGTGTAAAAATACATTATAAATCATAAATATGATTAAAATGGATTAATTGATTGTGGATCTCCAGTCGGCCAGTGTTCCGAAAAGGGCAGTAGCCTGCGTGGTAGAGGTAAAAGGAATAGACAGTGAGTGATCAAATGGTAGTGGTGGGATTAACAATAACAGCAACAATAGTAATAATGAGTAGCTACTGTGTATTGAGCACTGTGTGCCACGTACTGTGCTACCTTACATAGAATTACTTGAGATTTACAAGAAAAAATCTCCTTTTCAATTGCTTTTGTACTACTTTTGTAGTATATTCCACCATTAGTGAATTACTTCTATGGGCTTTTTTTTCCTCTTCAAAATGCCTGGTTAAAATGTACCTGTCCTTGAAAGAGAAAAGACACTATGCTATTATCAACTGTTGACAACATACAGTCAAGCCCAAGGTTCTAGAGAGAGGAGGAAGGCATTTTGATTTGGTGGGAAGAGTTGAGGGAGGGAGAGCAACCAGTAGTACTAAAGAGAGAGTAGGTGTGGATGCTCAGAAATGGCCCAGGGGGAATGGCTGCCCATGGAGAATGGAGCGTAGGGAAGGTGAGCAGGAACACAGGATCCAGGGTGGGGAGAATGAGATATTTGCTGACTTGATGGGTTGGCCCAGGGCTATTCCTGGTTCAAGGCCATCACCCTGTGGCTGCCACTGCATGGCAGCATTTGTAAAACTTTCCTCCACTCACCATCTGGTTTGTTTCCTCTTATGTTAATTACTGTTGATCTGATGTATGTAGCTGTCTTCAAAGATTTTTGAGATGGCCTTTAAACATAGGTGTAAAATAATGCAATTAAGAAAAATAAGTAAGGGAGGAAATCTGTGGGGAAGGAAAAGTGGGGTGAAGTCAGAGATAAAATAAGTCCCCAGTTCATGGGAGAGAGGCTATTCATTTGCTGGCAGTTCCCACAGACTTACCTCTGAGCTTCTGAGCAATCAGTACCAGAAGGAAAACATGCTCCGTTGATGACTTACGGTGGCTGGAAGATAAAAGCACACCAGTTACTTAGAAGAAGCAGGGTTGATCATGATTCAAGACTCAGAGAAATGTCTTCAGAGTACTCATAAAGATAATGCCACACAGAGTGGCCGACAACATCTCTGTAGGTAAAACAATGACGACTGCCTCGGTGCAGGTGAATGATGTGACAGCTGAGTGCAGTCCAAGAGAAACCCTTCTAGGTTCAGGTGTGCATTTCTCTGTTGGTCTTGCTTAGTCCAAGGATGAAATGTAATTGTTTCAGCTGAAATAACAAATAAATATATTCACAACCCTCCTCCCCTCCCCACCTTGTAATGGACTTCAGATTGTCATGACCGTCTTGATGCTGAGCCTTGGCATTTTAGTTGTGGACCAGATTGGGCACGCGAGTTGAAATCTACTTACCATCCCTGTTCTAAAAGAAAAATAACTTCCTGATAGTGCTCTGTGAATGTTATTTCTCTCAACTCTCAAGTCATTCTACACTATGACTCAGTCTGTGTTGTGGTTTTTGATACACAGAATTTACATTGACCCTGCATGATCCTCTTCCCTTGCTCCATGTCTCTCTCCTTCTCTTTTGAGCCCCATGGTTCTAGGTTCATTTCTTATACTGGAACATTCAGTGCCTTTTGGGGGCAGTTTGAGAGGCTCATGAGACTTGACTCCAAGTATTTGATGGTAGCGAACTATAAACTAGGCCACCATTGTCCATTTCTGGGTCCCTCCTCTTCTAATGAGTAACCTTAATATTTATTACAAGAGGAAATATCCAATAGTATAGGGAAGGTGAGCAGGAGTGCAGGATCAAGGGTGGGGAGAATGAGATATTTGCTGACTGGCAGCACTGGTAAGATGAACCATTGGTGCCGAGAATGATAGGGAATAATGTTAAGCCTAGACTTTTTTGCAACAATGTCGTAGGAAGAAAAAGTTTTAATTCATTCAGGATCGTTGTCAGAGAGGAGCCCAGAATTCCACAAGAACTACCCGTGAAGGAGAATTTCCTTTGGGACTTTGTTTTGCTTTGGATCAAGTTTATTAGGAGTATTTTGGTTGCAAGCAACAGAAATATAATTTAAACTAGTCTCTTGACTTATATGATTAGGATGGCCATGCTAGTAAGGGCTTCAGGCACAGCTGTATTCAGGAGTTCCAAAGATATCATCAGGCCATTATCTTTCACTCTGTCTTGACTTTGCTTAGCTCT
Organism: Homo sapiens; assembly: GCF_000001405.40. Lineage (NCBI taxonomy): Eukaryota > Metazoa > Chordata > Mammalia > Primates > Hominidae > Homo > Homo sapiens. The sequence goes on along the minus strand of NC_000001.11, from coordinate 67,772,954 downwards.
CTCAGCTTCATTCTCAGACATGCTCTCCCTCACCATGGTGGCAGAGGTAGCTATCAGTACTGGGTTTCTGTCATTCTCACAGCTATGGGTGCCTCTTTTGCCATACTTCTAGCAGTAGTGAGTACCAAGGAGGGACCTTGACCAGCCCAGATTGGATTGCCTGCCTGAATCAGCATGGCCAGAAATATGCAGTAGACAATAAGCAGCATCACTTTGGCTAAGGCCTGTTCATGTGTCCCATGAGAGAGGGTAAATCCCACCAGAATTACACAGAACGGGTTCCCCATGGAAAAAGGAGGGGTAGTGTTACAGCTCTTTTAGAATTTGTCTAGCAGGTTTCCTCTTTTCACTGGAAGACTCCCCACATTATGTAATAAATTTTAAAAATGAAAAAATAATAAAAAGGAGAGGTGTTGGTACCAGAAGGAGGGAAGGAAAGAATGAGAATGCCAAGCAGATAAATTTTCTAGGTACCAGAATCCACTAGTTTAGACATTCTTCATTTGGAGTCTATTAAACTTGAAAGGTTGGAAATTAGATTCTGCACAGTTACATTGACTACCTACTTCAGGTTTGGTGTCATGATCCAGACTACCAATAAGGAACATGTGGAGAGGACAAGGATGGGTAGCACCACTTTGGGATCTGGTGGGCAGCTCTTGGCCTGAGGACCTCATGTTGAATCCCCAGGATCTACAGGAGTAGTTCTTAATCTGGAGACTATGAATAGACTTCAACAGATCTGTGAACTTCTGTCATTATTTGCAAAATTGTACATATGCACTTTTTTTGTTGGAGAAAGGATTATGTTTTCCATCATTATGTCACAGGACTCCATGCCTACCCCCTTCCCTGGGCCCCTCTTGCTTAAAAACCGTTGCTTCAGACTTACTCTAATTGTTTTAGACTTGGCTAGCTTAATCTTACACATTCCTTTCTTGTCTTGGCTCAATTAGTAAAGTGTAGTGTCCATGATAAGCATAGCTCCTTATGGAACAGACACAGTGACATCAGTGGCTGAGCATGTTGCATTAAATTATATGTTGAGGTTTTTAGGCACATATGTAAACTTTCCACAATCATAGTTGCCATTTACCTAATGCCAGGCTCTGTGCTAAGTGCTTTACATGCATTCTCTGAACTCTATATTTATACACATGATTATAATTCTGTGAACCTCAGATCCACCTGCTGGAACCAGCTCCTTCCAGCTGCCTCTCCTGGAACACTGGATACAAATTCTGAGTTTTTCCTGTCGCCTGTGTCTGCTGTGGTGGGTCCACCTCTCTCCACCTTCCCGCCCACAGATGATAGCATCATAAAATCAGAGTGTTGTACAGGACCCATAAGATCATGCTCGTCAGTGGCTTTCAAACTCTGCTTTTTGGTTTTCTAGCTCAGGGACTCGCGAGGAGGAAGGATGGATAGGACCCAAGTCCCTTTCCTGCTTCAGTCGCAAAAGTTTTGCTGAAAACCACTCATCCGGGACAATACAAGAGCTCACAGATAGATGTCAGGCTTGAGGTTGAATACAGGTTCCTACTACTTTACTTACTTACCTGCGTGACCCTGGGCAAGTTGCCTAACTTCTCTGAGCCACAGTTTTCTTATCTGTCAAATATCCGCCTCAAGGAGTTGTTAGAGGGACTGAATGAGGTAGTGTCTGTGAAGTCCATGGCCCAGTGCCTGGCACTTAGTCAGGACTTAGCAAAGGTTAACTGTATGTAACTAATATATTGTACAATGTGACTCACCAGTCATAGTTAAGACTCAGCTTCATTCTTGTCTCCCACTGTTCATTTAAAGTTTATTCAGGGAGGTATGTTGTACCCTATTTCCTGATAATAACTTGATCAGGCCCATGACTTTTCTGGTTACTTTTCTGGTAATGAGAAGTTCTAAGGCCACTTGAAGTCAGCCTGCCTCTCTCTCTCTCTCTCTGTATCTCTGTCTCTCACTCACTCTCTCTCAGCACGCACACACACATGCACACAGGTTCATTTTGGAAATTTGAAATGCCCTTTTTGGTCTATAAACAGTCAGTATTCATTCCAAGGGAGGACTTCCCTCCATCCAGCCACCAAGGGCCACTTCCCCCTCCAGTGGCCTCCAGCTGCCCACTGCTCAGGTCTCTCCAGGTTGTGGGGTCAGGGGGAGTGTGCAGCAAGTCGTTACCTGACTGTGACTGTCACATCTGATGCTAAGTTATCTGAGCCTGGCAGACAGGGAAAGGGGACTTTTTTCTCTCCTGGCTGCCTCCATGGCCTTCTCCAGGACTCCTCTGAGGGGCCTTGCTCTGGGCCCCCCGGGATTTGGGTGGTTCTCTCCTCCTGCTGCTGTTGCCATCCCTCAGCATCTTCTGGTTTCCAGTCGGACTCTCTTTGGGGTCCTCTCACTCTCATGCCAAAGCCCTCTCGGGGAGAACCTGTTGCAAAGACACCCAGGCTGCCACTCTGGGTGTCCAGGGTTCATATTCCTTTCACCCTCCCCTCCACCATGGGGCAAGGGGACAGTACTCACTTTCTGATGTGGCATCCACCCTGCTGGTTTAGCCAGCGTCAGCTCCCTCTCACATTTTGGTTCCTGAGGGAGATGCATATCAAACTCACCACATACAGCTTTTGAAACCCTTTTCTCTGGGCTGGAGAAGAAAGGCTGAGCCCTCTCCATTCCACCCACCTTGGAAACCGTAGGAATCAGAGCATTACCAAAGAATCTTACTCACAGAATCCTCCATTGCTTTCCACCGTCCTGACCTGTTTGTGTCCTCCTTCTGGGTCTTAGAGCCATCTTCTTAGAAATTTCTGCATAATGATCAGATCCCTTGCTTTGGAATTTCCCATCTGTTACATCTTGAGGTGGTGGAAACCTTCACTTTCGCATCTTAACCTCAGACCCAGTGTGAGACACTTCCCTTCTTTTAACACTCTAAAAGTGGTCCTTCATCTGGTGAGGAGCTTCCTACCTCCATCTCCCCTCCTTCCCTCCCATATCATCCCATTCAGATTTTCAGCTAAGTTGGAGTTGTTGGAAAGATGCTGCTCCCTCTGAGCCAAACCTAGCTTCCTGTGACGTTCTTTCTCTCTAATGGGATCTCAGGAGAGAGAGAGAGTGAGAGTGAGTGTGAGTGTGAGTGTGTGTGTGCGTGCCTTGTCTGGGAGAATTGGACATTGGAAAAATGGGAAATGTTTGGGAAAATTGGAATTCTTTCCTGGGCCTCAGAGATTCCAAAGCGAAGCTTAGACACCCTGTTATCTAAGCCCACAGGGAAACTTTTGACCTGTGTATCTGGGTGGGTTTCCTCTACCTGCATACCAACGTGCACCTGTATAACTCCAGCAGAAAGCTAGTATTTGGAAACTGTGCTCATGCCATTTCTCATGCTCATGACCCTAACATAGTTTCTCTTGATCTGAGAACGTATTTGCTGTGCTTCATGGAAGCATTTTGATCAGGGCTCCATGCAGAGTTTATGAACTCTGCAAATTCAAGCCTTGCAGAATGTATCCTACCTCCCTCCAAAGACCCACCCTCACTTATGTAGGTTTTCTTTCATGCTCATGTGACATTTGGAGTCAGCATATTTCTCTGCCTTCTCTGGCGCCAGCACTGTGAACTCAGCCTCCCTGCCAACGTGCCCTCCTTTTTCATGTGTGGTTGGACCACTGTGATGTTGGGTCCTGTAACAATTAGGTCACTCGCTGAGTATAGACCCCCCAACCCATGGTGAAGCCAGCGTCTCAAATGAGCAAGTGACACATGCTGGGAAGATGCTTGGGTCAGCTAAAGTTGGAGTCTCTCTGGGTGCAGTGGCCTAAGAATGTATTAAATGCATTTTGGGTAGTTCCATCATGTACTAGTCTCTTGGCAAGACTGAACATTATATATCCAGATGTGGACCTGATTTATGTCCTCATTTTTACTGGCTGCTTACAAAGATGGCAAGATACAGCTCCCTCCTTTCCTCCCCCAGACCCATCATATGAGGTGATATTAGAGACAGAAGCTCAGATAGCAGAACTCAACTCCCCTGGGACTGTTCATCTATATTCTCTTGGCCTAAAAGCATATGGTGATTTGCACTGGCCATTCAAAGATCTAGATATATATTTGAAATAACTAACAGGCTCTTAGCTAAAGCATACTTTTTATATGTATACATTTTATAGTAGGGAAGTGGCTTAGTGTGGGCAGATAGACTAGAGTTCAAACTTTCCTTATCTATTGAGACACTTTGAACATGGTTACGGTTAACCTTTCTGAGTCTCAGTTTCCTCATCTGTTAAATGGGCATCATATCATTTGCCTCACAAGATAGCTATATTAAAGGAAACACTGCACATAGTGAACTTAGCCAGTGGCCCATCACATAATACATGTTCAATAAATGGTAGCTATTACATTGTTTGCATTTAACTATTATGATGATTTCTAAAAACCTTTAAAGCCTTGGAAAAAACTAGCCCCATTCCTCAGCCTGTTTTTTTTTAATCAAATAGGAATTTGGGAAAAAATCTAAATATGTGCAATGATCTGCTTTTAAAAAATAACTATCTTGTGAAACTCACTAGTTCTTTATAGTATCAAAAGTGATTTTTGGCTGCTGAGGCAGCATGGCACAGGGACTAACAATAAGGCTCAACCTGCCCAGCCTCAAATCTATACAAAATACCTTTGTAACCTTGGACAAGTCGCTTACCTCTTAAAGCCTCAATTTCTGCATCAATAAAATAGGGATAATACTGCATAGGGTTATTGAGGTGATTAAGTGAAATAGTCTATATGAAATGTTTAGACTATGTGTGGTTCACAGGATGCAAATAATGGTGGCTGTTATTTTCCCAGCACATTCCGTTTTACAAATAAGAATTTGCAGAAGACCAAGCACAGTGGCATGTGCCTATAGTCCCAGCTCATTGGTAGGCTGAAGCCAAGGATTCCCTTGAGCCTAAGAATTCGAGTCCAGCCTCCGCAACGTAGCAAGAGCCCATCTCCAAAAAAAGCTTTTAAATCAAATTTGCAGAACACTGTTTTTTGTGATAAATGGATTTTATGAAGACATTTCTATATGTAAGAAGTTGTTCTTACTGTTTTGTTCAAAAAGAAGAAAATTTATATCTGGTTTGCTTATAAATTCCAAACTGTAGCACATGTGAAAACAAGCTACATCAACTAAACTTAACTTTCTATTTTTTTAGGCCTTGCCTCATTTTATTGTTAAGATTTAGGTAAGTGATATTGCCATCAGATAAGGAGAAAATTGTGTATTATTTTTACAAGGACTGAAAATATGCAAACAAACTATGTTTAGATAAATGCTCTCAATTGAGGTCACTTTATTTTGCTGTCTTTCAGTAAAGACTAGTATAGTTGGCACCTTTGTGCAGCCCAAGGAGGTCTGGAAGGAGGGTTGCATAACCTTCCCATGGGTGGAAAAGGAGGAGGAGGCAGAGTCTGAACTAGTGAGATGACCCAAACTGGTTACTGAGACTTGGTCAGGTAGGTGTGGAGAGCTGACCCGTGGCAGAGGAGTTTGTTCCCTTTCACAGGGCAGCGCAAGTGTTTCTTTCAATAGCTCCACCTCGGTATCTGTCTCCAGGCAATGGACAGTCCTAAGCGGGAGGAGCTCAGGCCCTGTCGTGCTGAACCCCTGTCAGTCTCATTAGAGATGGCACCATGTTCAAGAGGCCAAGAAGAGACCCAGAGCCAGCACACGTGACATGGGGTTTTACTGCAGGGGAGAGTCCAGTGGTGGCAGGCTGGACAAGATAACTGCATGGCCCAGCAGTTAAAGAGCCCTAAGGTTCAGGATCTTTCACTGGCAACATCCCATTCCAATGCCCTGTAGCTAATGTGATATTCCTAATTTTGTATGATTTTTCTAAAGAGGACCCCCAAAATTGTATAAGGCTTAGAACCCACAAAAACGATCTATCCATGGGTCAGGGACACACACACTCTGAGCCTTCTGCCTTGTATGGTTGCTAGGGTGCTAAAACTCACATTTGATTCTCCCTTGGGAATAGGCATTGCCTGTGTATGCCCCTTCTGTAGCTAGACCTGCATTCCCTAAGAGGACACCTAACCCTTTCCGTGAGGGGGAAGCGAGGCCCAGCGAGGAACTGCTGTCCAGGCATCTTCCTGACCACCAGATGCCATCCTCAGGGTAGAAAGGGCCCCGTTTGTGCAGGAAGGGAGGGCAGGCACTCAGACCTCCAGCAGCTTGCTTTGTGGTTTCTCAGAGGGAGGCCCTACAGAGGAGACCGGGTGGGAGGGAGCCCCGTGTGAGGCTTCACCTGGCTTCAGAATTTCCCCAGTGGAAAATTCTCCTGGAAAAAAAAAAAAAAAACACCAACATATATTCTTGAAAGTGTATCATCTTTGGCAAAACCATAGCTGTGATCTCAAGTTTGAGGAGAATGAGCTGGCCGGCCTTCAGGGTTGTGCTGATTAAGCCCTGCTTATGCTCCGCCGTAATCACATTCCCTCCCTCTTACTGTGCCGAAGGGCTGGGCTGCTTTGCTCATCAGCCGAAGTGAAATGTATTGAGAAGAAGCAGGAGCGCGGAAAGACCCCTTTGTATGTGAATATCTTTCTAGCACTGTGCGAAAATCAGGGTTTGAAAATAATTTCCCCTTTCGGTGAAATGCGAGCCAACTTCGCCCCCTAGAGGAGGACCAGAGAATTGTTTAAAATGAGCCCTCAAGGGCATTTTTATTGTTCTGATTGATAATTTGGAAAGATTGTCAGCCTGTAATTAGGTGGGACTTTGAAAGGGGCTTGTCTATGAGGGCATTGTTTAGGGGTGTGTGTGTGTGTGTGTGTGTGTGTGTGTGTGTGTGTGTGTGCGTGTGTGCCTTGTTTTGTTTGAGTTTTTGCCTTGAGATATTATTGTAAACTTAGGGTTGAATACTCTTATAGCTATAAAGAATAAAATGGTTTAAATGCCACCAGGCTTAAGGCTCACAGCTGTTACATTTATAGTGGACTTTTTTTTGGCCAGATTTTCACCACTACGTCTAGTTACAACAAATCATTGTTAGTCTTGAGTTTCCTTTCACTCCTTGGGGTTGTGGCAGACGTAAAGCCCACTAGAAAGCAGGAATTTTCAACCACAAACTGGATATGTATTAGAGATCCTAAATTATAGACTTTAGCTATGTCACCCACATTGAAATCTTTTTGATTTAGTCCTGCTAGTTTATTCGCATCGTTTCATTTACACCTGCTACTAACAACTGCCAGATTCAGTCACAGGTTGACTAGGTAGTAGTTATTTCACTACTGCTTCCTATACTTTTTGTGTATTTTTAAAAGAAAAATGCAAAACAGGCAGAAGAATAAGGGTTGAAATATACAAACCTTTCTATGTATTTCATCTTCTGTTAAAATATGATCTTGTTCTAACACCTTTGTTAAGCGTTTGTTGATTATTCAGCTGCTTTTAATTACCAAATCTGACCCAATTACTTAGCTTCTAATGTGTTCCCTTTATAAACAAAGCCTTTATAATAAAAATCTTATCTACCATCTTTTGTCTGTAGGTAAATATGTTTATCATCTTCATTGTTCTAGATCTTCATCCCTCAAGTGCAATATACAATCATAGTGTTTATATTAGTAATAATTTTAATGTTTTTTTTCTTTCTCTGCTCTTAGAAACACTGAACTGTACTTCAGTATTTGATGGCATGGCATTGTTAAGAGATCGTTACTCGTGCATCAGCTTAATCGCCTACTGGGGGCTGTTTCCCTTAGAAGGATGTGAAAAGAAAAGAGTGTGCATACATTTTATAGATTATTATAAGTTATTTTTTCAGTGCTTGACAGGGGCATCTAATGACTATTGATAATATTCTTATATATTTTGTCTACTTTAATTTTTATGTATTCTTATATATTTTGTCTAATTTTTCATCTCATGCAAGGAAATAATTTTTTGACAATATAATCTGTTGCTTTTTGACCCAAGTGTTTGGAAACTAATTGCCTGAAATACCAAACAGGCTTTGTTTGGAGAAAGACGGATATATTTTTCCCAGGTCTAGTTCCTGGACGATTCCTCTGTGTTCTTGCTACTTGACTCACTCTGACAAAGTCCAGAGGTGATAGTGAGCCCTGGGGAGCTGCAGTTTCTGCTAGACCAGAGTAACTCCAAAGCACAAGCAGATTGATTGTTTTTGCATGAACACCCATCTTCCTTGCTTGTGGCCATAGCCACCACCCCGGTTATTGAAGGAGAACACACACACATATACACACACGCATATACACACAGCTGTTAGTACCTTTCTGTCTTCTTGGACATCTGTTCCCTTTCCACTGTTGAAAGTGGCCATTAATCTAGTGTTGAGACAGTCTCATTCATTAATGGTCCCTCAAAGTCAGGTAATTGCAATGCTGAGCAACATCAGGATGGTATCTAAGTTCCCTCTAATTTCAGAGCATTTTCAGGCTTTCATTATTATTCACAAATTATAATACGCTGAAGTTTAGACTCTGCTGACTAGGACAGACAGAGGAGAAGGGTAGGCTTTGGAAGTGGGTACTTGGGATAGGTCAGAATAAGGGTTCGTATTTTTAGTAAGAGCAATGTTTTGGAGACATTTTGATAGAATTTTATGGTAAATGCCAAGAGATGCCCCACCTCTTTCTCCTGGTCCCCCAGCTGCAGCTCACTGGCTCATTTGTCTTTCTCTACGCACCAGACTATTCCCTGTCTACCTGGAGCACTGCCTCCAGGTACTCATTGTTGCACCAGCCTGTGTATTTCATATCCCTTACCACAATCCATATTTTCTTGTTTATTTCTTTACTTGAGACCTTGATCTCACACCTAAACTACTGGCCCAGAATATACACTCAGTATTTACTGAGTGAATGTGAAGGAGTGAACGAATGAGAAAGCAAACAAACAAAGGAATATATTCAGAGGCATGACAGGAGCAATGCCGTTTATAACCACAATTTAAGGTGAAAGCCACTAAAACAGCAGTGCAATACTAGCATGTCAGTGCTCAAGGCTTGTTAGCCTGACATGGAGTTCACACTCCATCCTTTGTTAGACTGCAAATTGACAGAGCTTCTTAGACAAAAGTTGTTAATATAGTAACAATCTTAACATATTCTTTTAAATGGATAAATTATTAATATAAAAATTAATGGTGGAAAGCCAATCAGTAATTCATAGGGTGGGAGGGGGGTGGATTTGGAATTATAGCAAAATTATAAAAACAACCTAAAATTCTCTAATAAGGACATGCTTGTGTAAAATGGAATTTGTAGTCCCAGCTACCCTGGAGGCTGAGGCAGGAGGGTTGTTTGAGCCCAGGAGTTTGAGGCTGTAGAGCTATGTGATTGCACCACTGCACTCTAACTTGGGTGACAGAGTGAGACCCTGTCTCTTACCAAAAAAAAAAAAAGTGATGGATATTTATTTCTGTGGTATCCCTACCAAACGTGCATAACCTGCATCGAATCAGGAAAAAACATGTGCAAACCCAAATTGAGGGACATTCCACAAAATAACCAGCACTTACTCTTAAATATTAATAACATTAAAAACCAAGACATACTCAGGAAGCATGCCAGAGTCAAGAAGACTAAAGAGACATGACAGTTGAACATAATGTATAATTTTGTATTTTCTTTTCCTGTAAAGGACATTATTGGGATAATCACCAAAATCTGAATAAGGTTGTAGATCAGATAATAGTAAAATATCAGAGTTAATTTCCTGATTTGACTAATTGGTGTGGTTATATATGAGAATTCCTTATTCTTATTCATAGGAAGTATACACTGAAATATTTAGGAGTAAAACTTCATATTGATTCTCTCTCTCTCTCTCTCTCTCTCTCTCTCCTGGGAGGGTAGGGTGTTAAATATAGTAAAATGTTTACATTTGAGGAACCCAAATCTGGGTGCTTTGCGACTATTCTCTAAGTCTGAACTTATATCAAAATAAAAGTTAAAACATGATGCTTATAAAGACTTTATAATCACATAGGGAAATGCTTTTGCTAGAACGGAGCAAAATATAAAGTTGTGCAGCAGAGTATAATTTAGACTACCTTAAAAACTCAATCTGATCAAGGTTTCCTTTGATTTTTTAAAAAAGGAAGAACAAAAACTCCCAAGAAAATATTAGAAGGAAATATAACAGCATGTTAACTTTTACCTTCTGTTCACTTTAATTATATTTTACAAATTTTTCACTAAATTGCATGTATTTTGTGAAAAATTAGGGGAAAAAAATTAGGGAAAAAAACTTTAAAAAGAGATAAACGCTAATGCTCAAAAATCTGAGTGAATCTTACTCTGCGTCTTTACCACCACATACCCCATTCCAGTAGAAGGATGCCATATATGTATGTATGCATGTAGAAGGTATATATGTACATAAATACATACTCTTTTAAACTTTTCTCTTGTTTTTCTTTACTTTTTGTATTATTTTCCCTCAAAATAATTTCTTGTATTTTGAGGGAAATCCTGTATTGGGCAGGATTATAAATGAGATGACCTCTTAAGCCTCTTCTAGCCTTACAGTTCCTTGCCTTCCTTTCCAGCTCTTTGGGAATCAGCACCTCCTCAATCCAGAGGCTGTGCTAGCTAGGTACTGAGTACGTAAGGATGGTTAAGCCACCCCACTTCATCTTTTAGAGATGTTTCAAGTCCATGGGGTAGGCAGATAAACAAGTCAGTGATTACAATCTTGTGTTAGGTACTGGGCAAATGTGGCAGTTCCTACTGTGGACAGCCTTGGGTTGGGGGCGGTGGTGGTGGTCAGGCAAAAGAAGGTATTGATCTGTAGCCCTAGAAAGTTCAGTGAGAGCTTGCCATTTGGAAAAGCTAGCAGAGCATTCTAGGCTAAACATTGCAGCATATCTAATGTATGTTCTCACCAAGACCCACTGGAGTATCATTCTGGAGGCCCTGAACAAAGAGGCCAGAGTCTTACAAGACCTGGGAAGCTCTAGGTCCCACTGGGTCTGCTTTCCTGGGTGTGGGAGAGAGTGGTCTGACTGCAGGTGGCAGGAGTTGCTTTCTTTGGTCCTGGAGTGGAGCCGTGATTAAACTCAATGTCCCCATTTCCCATTTGCAGGATCACTGAGAGAGTTTTCCTGATTGCCCCTGCCTCTCTCCCTGCACCCTCCCTCACCCGACAGAAAGCGGATGGTGTGCACATACCCTCAGGGAGGGTAAGGGACTAAGGGTTAACGGGAATACCTCGTTGGAGAGTTTGCCGATCTCGGATATACCCTGCTGAACTGTTGGAAATGTGTTTTATTTATTTGGAATCATAAAACCAAAGAGCCAAGTCGACCTGCACTTGACCTTGCAGGCTTTGTAGATACTTCTAGGGACCCAGAATTACCCCAAAGCAATGTTGTTATTGAACAAGATGCCCCCTGTTTCCCTAGACAGTAACTCATCATTGAACCATTTGCCTGGACCCATTATCCATTCCCTTCATGAGAGCCTGAGGACACCAATACATAAGGTTTAAATCCACCATTCAACAAAATCAGACAGAACAGAGATTCAGGATGCTACAGCTGAGTGAGGTTGGAAGCCTCTCTGTTTATCTTGGAAATCTTTTAAACTATTTTAGAGCATGATTTTTCACTCAGTTATTATTTGTATCTTAAAGCTGTCTCATAGGTTGTGAAGAAGATTGCCTGAACTGAGAAATTCAGGGCGTGGCACAGAGTAAGCATTCAATAACTTCCAGCTGTTATTCATAAATATTGACCAGCACAGTGTATAGAGAGGGAACACTAGACTCTTGGTCAGGAAAACCGACCAAGGTCTAATCCCAGCTTTACCCCAGAATCCTAGAAGTGAAGGGAAACTGATCTGGAAAGAGGTCTTAGAAATCTTCCAGTATCTAGCACAACTTTATTTCAGAAACTTAGACCTAGAAAGGCATAGGAGCCCTGTTTGTTACCCACAACTTAAATGTTCTCCTGCACATTTTCAAAGCAAGAATAATAATCGCACCCCCATTATAGGATTGTTTCAAGTCAAGGATGAAGCGAGTTGGTGTACATGAAACTCTTGAAGCAGAGTCCTTAATACATATTAGCTGGTATTGTTATTGTGGATTCTCTGTTTATCTTCCCCTCCTATTTGACTGCAAGGATCGAGACGTGTCCTCCTTGCTTACTGTCATGTCCCCGGCATCTGGCACAGTGCCTTACTCAGGAGGTGCCCAGTCAATGTTTGTTGAATAACTGAAGAAAGTATCTTGCTGAGGATCAAATTTAGGCCAAGTCTGAATCAGAATACGAGTTCTAACACTAAGGTTCAGTATTTCCACACAGTTCTACATTAGCTTTGACTTTAGGCAAGTCGCTTCATTTCTCTGTGCCTTGGTTTCTTTGCCTTGAACACGATCCATCAGGTTTTTCCTGGTCATGAGCAACGTGTGTCTTAAAGCTAAAGACACACATCACCCGTCCATCAGCCTTTTCGGGCAACCCATGTTTGTGCTCCACTGGCCACTAGGTGTCGTGGTTGGTCAAATATCAGAGAAAGCAAAAAATAAATAAAAATAAAAATAAATTGAACTGATTGACCTACCAACCTACCAAATGATGGGAGTGAGCTTATACAGTTATTGGAAGCTAGTTACCTCTGGATGAGTTGGCTGAGTTGCCTTGGAAACTCAGGGAGTTGCCCAGGATTTGCATGCGTGGACTTTGAAGCAAAGCATAGATTAGAGCCCACAGCTGTACTCACACCAGCTAGCACCTTGGACTCACTGGAACGTCACAGGGCCTTGGTTTCAGTAATGTAATGCATGTAACATGCTCAGCACTTCGCCACAGTGAAGGAAGAGCACTACAAAGTTAGTGGTTATGAGGGCTACTTCTGGTATTTGATACTGTAAAATGCTGCTTTTCTGTTCCTTGCCACGCCAACTGCTAAAGCTTTGAAGGCTTTCTGCCTTGCTCCCTGCTTTACAAAGCCAAATTTTTAAATAGCCCCTTAAACAGTAGAGTGGACAGGGTATCAGTATCAGGTTAAAAGGGCAGCCTAGAATATTTGGAGGGACACCAGAACTCCTTGGAATGTCACTGTGGAGCTTAGTCAACACAAAGCAGAGTGTTTTATACATGACTGGGACCCAGAGTGGAGGGAAGTGAGTGAGCATTGTTGAAAAATGGCCTTCACTGAAATTGCTCAAGTAAGGGTTTTCTTTGTTACATGGACTGTCATTTAGATCTAGGTGCCTTCTTTTTAAAATAATTTGGGGAAGCTTCTAGGAATAACAATGACTAGTATTTATTGCACACTTACTATGTATAAGGTATTATACAAAACATCATACTTGCATGATTTCATTTAACTCTCACAGCAACTCTTTGAGGTACATATAGTTCTTATGTCCATTTTGTAGATGAGGAAATTGAGGTGCACCAAGATTATAATAATTACAGCCAACAGATATTCGCAGGTCACACAGGGAATGGGTGAAAGAGTCCGAACACAAACCCAGGCCTACCTGATTCCAGAATTCGTTTTCTTAATGGCTACACTGTATTGTCTCCCACAGTACTTTGGATGCAGTTAGGCACTTGACCAGTGTTTACTGAGGTGAATAGTTCTCAGACTATAGTTAGCCAACACAGAGAAGACTGCCTACGCAGGAACCATAGAGATCTTGACACTCCTCCCACCCAAAGCCACATGCCCTCTGGCCTCCATTAGTACTGTGGGATGTATATGCTGTTCCATGTGCTGGATTTCACCCCTAACTTCTTAAAACATTTTTTATTGTTGTATAATAGTTGTGCATATTTGGGGGATACATGTGGTATTTTGATCATGTATACAATGTATAATGATCAAATCAGGGTAATTGGGCTGTCCATCACCTCAGACATTTATCTTTTGTTTGTGTTGGGAACATTGCACATTTTTTTAGCTGTTTTGAAATATACAATAAATTGTTGTTGACTCTAATTTTTCTACTGTACTGTCAGATACTAAAACTTATTCTTTCTCCCTAACTGTATTTTGGGACCCCTTAACCAACTTTTCATCCCCCCCTTCCCTTCCCAGCCTCTGGTAACCACCATTCTAGTCTCTACCTCCATGAGGTCTACTTTTTTAGCTCCCATACATCACTCCTAACTTTTTGTTGGTAATAAGGTATTCCTCCATTGGAGCAATCAGGAAAAGGCAAATGTTTTTAAGACACGCTTCCACAGGGAGCATCTTAGCTGATTTTATTTGCTTCATGTTTTTCTCTCAAGGACTTTTTTGGGTGGGTTTGTTCTATAGTTGTATCCAACCTCATCTTTCAAGCATCTAAAAGCCAGGGCTGACAGGTTACCAGGGATGAGCCCAGCCCTCTCTGCTGTACTATCAATGTGTGCTCCAGTGTGCATATAGCAGCCACTCAGCCCCTGTCCAGCATGCTCCCCAATCCTGACACCAGGCCAATGCCAAGCTGTGTGAAGAGCAGAGAGGGGTCTGCTGCCCAGGTTAGCGAGCTGGCCGCTGCTACCAGCCAATAGTATTTCATCGTCATGGCGAAATACTAGGTCTGAGGAGGGATAGCAGGACCCAGGCCACATTAATCCTTCTCCAGGTGTATTAGTTCAGTCCCAAGGGTTTGGTTGTTTGTTTATTCTAATGTGTTGCTGCAATAGGAAACCCAAAGCTAGGGCTGGACGCAGTGGCTCACACCTGTAATCCCAATACTTTGGGAAGCCTAGGCAGGCAAATTGACTGAGGTCAGGAGTTTGAGACCAGCCTGGCCAACATGGTGAAACCCCATCTTTACTAAAAATACAAAAATTAGCCAGGGGTGTGGTCGTGGGTGCCTGTAATCCCAGCTCCTCGGGAGGCTGAGGCAGGAGAATTGCTTGAACCTGGGAGGCAGACACTGCAGTGAGCCGAGACCGTGCCACTGCACTGCAGACTGGGCGACAAGAGTAAAACTCTGTCTCAAAAAAACAAAAAAGGAAACCCAAAGCCAAACTAAAACCTCCTTTTCAGACCTGCGATTCTGAGCACAGAGACTCGTTTATGTAACCCCTGTCCATTGCTGCGTTTTCTTTTTAAGTGAGCTGAGCCATCTCAAATCTTTCTCAGAACTTCCCAACACTCCCCAGTGTCCTTGGGGACCCCTAGTTCAGCCTTCTCAAAGAAAGCAGTGCTTTTCCTTCTGAATTTTTCTCCCTGTAAATACAAGATTTTTTTCCACTGTGACCAAAATCACACATATCAAAGGAGATGGAGAGGGAGTTTGGAGCTTCTGGAGGGAAGGCAACAGTCAGTATAGAGCAAGGTCCCCCGGAAGGCAGGAGGGCATGAGGTGGAAAGCCCTAGTGGAAAGGCTCCCATTTGTGATAGTCCCTTTGGCCCTACTGCTTGGCATCTTCCAGCCATGTCGGTCTTTGGTTGCCTTTCCAGTATGCAGCTGGAAGCAGGTTGGTGTTGGCTTTGTCATTAAAGAGCTAGTGGACACTTGAGTGACGGAAGGAGACATGAGTGATGAGCCAAAGGAGATTCTGGGCTCATGCGAATGTTTTTCTTTCTCTTGTCTAGAGTGGTGCTTCCTGCCTGTTTCCTCATGTAGGCTGATCATTCCTAATCCAGGAATCTGAAATCCTCCAAAATTCAGAAATTTTTTGAGCACTGACATGACACCAGAAGTGGAAAATTCCCTGTCTGACACCTTTGCTTTGTGATGGTTCAGTGTGAACAAACTTTGTATCATACACAATATTTAAAGTATATAAAATTACCTTCAGGCTCTGTGTATAAGGCCTATATGCAACATAAATGAATTTCAAGTTTAGACTTGGGTCTTATCCCCAAGATATCTCATTATGTATATACAAATACTCCAAGATCTGAGAAAAATCCAAAAATTTAAAACATTTCTGGTGACAAGCATTTTGAATAAGGGATACTCAACTTAAATGGCACATTTAGAAAAGTCGTACTATAGCATGGAGGAAGATGCCCACAGCTGGAGGCTCTGGATGGTCCAGGCCCTGTCAGGCCACCTGGGGCTGAGGCATACCTGAACCTCAGCAGGGTACACCGGCTGAGAAGCCCTGGTACAGAGAATCATAAACCTTGCAGTGCAGATGACCCGGGCAGACCAGTTGATTGGTTTTAGAGATTGGCCCAGCTTCTTGATAGGACCTGTGAAAAAGCTGGGGGTCAAAGAGGTATGACCCCTTGAACTAGATCACAGAGGAATCTGTGGCCATGCTGGGACCAGAGCCATTCCTGTGCTCACCTAACTGTGAGATGTGGTAAATGAGGAGGCGGAGCGTCACATCACACACATATGCACACACACGTGCACTCATGCTCACACCAGGTTAAAACCATCACACCCTATCTTGTGGCCTCCAAGTCAAACCCACTCCCCATCCTGAACCCAGAAGATGGGAAACTGGTGTCCAGAGCCATCATCCTTTGAGCAGCAGCCATAGCACCACATGCTCTTGAAAACCCAGGCCTGACATTATTTGTCATTAACCTGTTTCCAGCCTGAGAAACCTGTGGTATTCCACAATGAATTACTGTAGCAGCCCCTCAACTGGCCTTGCTGACTTCAGCCTTGTCTCTCCTACCTCATATTACAGTCAGAATTAGCTTTTTATAAACTACAGACCTGATCATGCTACTCTTCTTTTTATTTATTATTTTTTTGGTCCCTTCCTGTATGATAAACTTACCCTTTGTGTTCAGATACTCTTCTGAGAAACCTTCTCAATGCACCAGGTCTGGCCTTGGAATCTCTATTGCACCCTCTACCTTACCTATTATAACATTTACTGCACTCTTTTGAAGTTGTCTGTTTTTCTTCCTCCCACTCCCACACTCTAAGCCCCTTGAGGACAATGGGTTCGTCTTACCTGGCTGAGCCCCAGGGCCAGGCACAAGTAAGATGGGCATTCAGCACACATCCAGTGGGCAGCTCTGCTGCTCAAACTTTTATTTTTTTGCTTCACTGTACAAAGCCTAGTTCTGCTTGTTCTATTTTAAGGCTTTAGCATCTTGGTGGATCAAGGCTGTCATATAAACAAACAAAACCTTACTACCAGTGATCTCCTAGAACCAGGATATATTTAGCACTATTTGTCGGTAATTACTGTTCGTTATGACCTTAGGACATTATAAAAGTCCTAAGTGCTCTTGACTCATCAGAGGCAAATTAAATTATTCCTTTAGCAAACATTTTGAGTATCCACTTTGCACAAAGCATGTGTTCAGTACAGTGAGGTATATAAGGATGGATGTGATAGGTTTGCCTCCTAGAGTGGACTGTAGAGCTTTTATATTTTGTTCATGTTTCTTCCTACATTGAACATTTGTAAAAATAAATGAAGAAATTAAGCCCCTGAAGAAGGCCCATCTACAGGTTGTGAGACCTTATAGTGTGAGGCCGGAAGACGATGCTGGCTCTTCATTCAATCTCAAGAGTAGGACAAGCCACCAGCCTCTGGGAGATACAAGGATCTATCAAAATGCAAATGCTGCCCTTAAAAAGACCACAGTCTAAAACAAGAAACAAGATTTGTACCTAATAAGTACCTCTAAGACAAAATAGGAAGTGAAAAGTGCCCAAGAATCTGTAATCTGTTTGAGCTCCAAGTAACAGAAAACCCAATTCAAAATGGCCTAAACCAAAGGGAACTTACCATCTCATATAAAAAGAAGTCCACATGTAGTCTGCTTCCAGTTTGGTAATTCAGCAGCTCAACACCATCAAGCTCTTTCCACCTACTCTGCTATCCTCAGAGCATCAGCAAGCTCTCCTCCTAGGTACAGAAAGGTCAAAGGCATCCCATCCTCTTGTAACAACGCCAAGGCGGACAGATAAAGAACTGTTTCTTATGCATCTCTCTATGAATGAAGAGACCTTTCAAAATTCCCAAGCCAACCTCCCCTCATGTCTCACTGGTCAGAACTGGGGCACATGCCCACCACTAAACACTCAGAAGTGGTCTGGGGCCATCCATGTGGCCTAGACCAATCTGGATTTACCTTCATCACATGAGGAAAGAGTGAACTTGTTCTACCAGCAGAGAGGAGGGAGTTAGATGGCTGTCAGGTAGCAGGCTGGAGTGCCTGCTACACAAGGAGTGATTAAAAACCTTCCACTGCTCAGAGGAGAGCAAGGAAGTCCTCACGGAGTGGCCTCTAATGCAGAAGACCAACAAGTGTGCTCGGTATCCTGATGGGAGAGACGGAGGTGCTGTGGCTTCCTGCATCAGCACTGCTTCCTGCAGGAAGCGATATCTAAACTGTGGACAGAACTTTAAAAGGGGAGGGTCACAGTCAACTTTTCTTTACAGAAACATCACTTTGGGTGTGCAGAGTGGATTGAGGGGAGGTAGAGAGACCAGCTAGACAGCCATGGCTGTGCTACAGTGATCCAGGGGCCAGCTGCTTATACTCCCAACTAGGGTGGGGCAGTGGGGTAAAAATATACTAATTTGAGAAATATTGAGGTGGCGTAAGCAGGACTTGGAGACAGAAGAAGGGGTGTGGTGGAGGAGTGGGGAGTCCAGAACGACTCTGGGGTGTCTGGCTTCGGCAGCTGCCTGGATGACAGTGCCACTCCCTGAGCTGGAGACCACAACAATAGGCGGAGGTTTGTGGTGGGGACAGGAATGATGAGTTCAGGTATGACCGGGGCTTAGTGTGTGGGAGGTAGGCGTGGTTGGGACCAAGCTGAAGAGGTGACCGGCAGTCATAGCACACAGCACCTGTGGGCCAGGCCAAGAGCTTGCCCTCCAGCTGCCCAGAAATCTGTACAGAGTTGGAGGTGAGGAGAGATGAAGGAAAAGAAATAACATGCGCAGAGGTGGGGAGCTCACAACTCTCCGGGCACGACCGGGAACAGAAAGTTGTTACACTGAGCTGCACAAAGTGGCCCAGAGGAGAGTGGCCAAAGGGGCAGGGCATGCTGGAATGACAACAGCAGCCCGTGTAGGGCAGCCTCATGAAGAGGAGAAGGGAGCGCCTACCTTTACCCTGGCAGAGTGCTCACATACACTGCCACACTTAACGCCCGCCACCTGTCCTGCTGGGCAGGCATTCTCTCACCGACACCACAAAAACAACTCAGACAGAAACCACCCAAGGGGATCAGGGCAGTTCTAGAAGTAGCTCCCCGTTTTCCAGTCTCAGGCCAGTGCTGTCTTTACTACAGACCCCTTCAAAGATCTTTATTCACCACTGACCGAACACTTTAGTAAGTGCTAGGGATACAGAGCACAGTCCAGTGTGGGAGGTACAGAAAGGCAAATTGCAAACCCAGCAGTGAAGCATGGAGGCAGAAGCTGAGCTGTGAATGCTTTTCATGCTTGGAGGGGAGGTGCATGCGAACAGCTGATTCATGGAAGGTATCGGGGCTGCCCTGGCCCCCGCTTCAGTTCTGGCTGGCCTGCCCACCACTCCTTACTTTATGAAGTAAATTTCCTCCAGTCGCAGGACTTGTCATGGGTGATGTTCACTGTAGGGCATGAATTGAAACTCAGCAAGTACAGATTGAGAATCGCTTATCTGAAATGCTTGGATCCAGAAGTGTTTCAGATTTCAGGTTTTTTTTTTTTCAGGTTTTGGAATATTTACATTATATACTTACCAGTTGAGCATCCCAAATTTGAAATGCGTCAGTAAGCATTTCATTTGAGTGTTATGTCAGAGCCCAAAAAGTTTCAGATTTTGGAGGATTTTGGATTTTCAGATTTGGGATGCTCAACTTGTATTTGAAAACAAGAACTTAAAAAAAAATTCTTTCAACATAATTACCAAACACCCACTCTATATTCAGCAGTGTTCCATGTGCTGGGCATTGAAAGGTTAAGTAAGACATGGGTCCTGCTGTTGTGGAGCTAAGTAGGGAAGAGGGCACATGGACAGACCATTGTAGTATGACAAAGTGAATGCAGTGGTGACACTGTAGGAAGCAAAGGGAGGCCAATAATTCAGCGTAGCAGTCACCTGGAAAGGTTACTGGAAGCCATAATACAGGTCAGATTCGAGCCACCTTTCCCTGCCTTGAGATTTTTGTAAGGACACAGGGACATAAATTGGCACTTAGTGTCTAACAGTGTCTGGCAATGGATGATATCCCATATTATTTGTAGCTCAGATTAGTGGAGGAATTAGCTAAGAAGTATAGAGAGAATGTTGCTAAAATAAAGTAATGATACCTTAGTCAACTGTCAGTTACTTTAAGGAAAGAAATTAAAGTATATGAAATCAATTAGAACAAAAATAGTTCATTGTTTCCAACTTATGTGATTGGGGCGAGGTGTTGAAAAGAAGTATTAACTAGCTCATGTCTGGGCCCAACAGGAAAGAACACCATGACTCATTAGTGATAGCTGCCATGAGTGCTGATCCATTAGGGATGTCTACCGTGAGTGCAAGAGGAAAAGAGGCAACCTCCATGCCACATGTCTGCATTCCTTAAATTAGAATAACAGCTCAAGGTACTGGGATCTGACTGCATGCAACCTGTTAACCCCAAACTCCTACATGCTTGGCATTTTTCAGAGACAAAGTAAACAAAGTAAACTTTCAAAATGTCTGTTGTGATCCTGGTACATTCAGACCAGTCTCTTATACTTGCTACTTCTGGACAGCTGCCCTCTTCTCTCCAGTGAGACCTGGAACCAGAGCAACATCCTGAAACGCCAAGGAAAGATGAATATGGGGTACTTAATTACTGCATTGATTCAATTATATTTCTCCCAGTGGTGGGAGAGTGAAGGAGTATACGTTAGATTTCCTGTAAGAGCTGATCAAAGAAAAGGCCTGCTAACAAGCATATGGTTATCAGAACTTCTCATTAAAGGGTCAGCGTAATCAATTGAGGATGGGCCACATTGAGTAACTATGAGGTGCTATGGGGCAGGGAAGGGACTGCAGTTTCTTATGTCTTGGTAATAACTCTTGCTGAAAGACAGATGTAATACGACCATACTGATATTTGTCATCCTTCACAGCCATTAACCTGGCATCTCTGTTGTGCCACTTAAATGCCGACTTAGCTTAGAAAGACAGCTGTGGACTCCAGAAAATGGGGAGAGGCTCACCTCATTCAGTACCCGTGTTCAGCACATTAGTCTTGAGAGAGGTTTCTGTTTGCTTATGGTTTGGGTTTGACTCTTCTAGAGCATCTGCATGATAACTCTTTCCACCAGCCATAGAGACACAAGAGATGTCTCACAAGCCATGCTGGAAAATCACTTAGATTTCTTTTCAGGATGCTATTGAATGGGAATAAGGGCCGAGGTATGGCTTTTCAGGTTACCTAAGTATCCCAGAAGCAGTACGCCAGTCGACATTTGTGTGCATGTACTTTTGTACTCAAGACCCCAAACACAGCAACCCTGACCTGTTTGAAGACCCCACCCTGGACAGGGGACAGTGTTTCCCCAGAGCTGCCACTCTTGAGGCTCTGGAGGAGACTGGGTACAGAGACCCTAACTGTGGGACAGTCAACTGAAGGTGACTGTCCTGCCCCCTGAGCCATTGAAAGCTTTTTTCTTCAGATACTATATTATTCCCAGAGGTGCCATTAAACATTCTCCCTATGCTGTAGTGAGAAGTGGCTCACAGACTCTGCCTCTCTGTTGAACAACTATAGCTTTTACTTTGAAAACTAATGTCATTCATTTCTATAATGGCTAATAAATATTTTTAGTGGCCCAGAATGCATTTTAAAACGTGTGTGTATATGCACGTGTGTGTGTGTGTGTGTGTGTGTGTGTCTGTATGTGTATCCATGTAAATGGGCAGTCCTGGTAGACTATGAGTGGATGCGTGGGTGGGTGGGTGAGGGGGTGAATGTGTGTAAATGGTTGGGAAAGTCTGGAGTGGCCCAAATAATAACTGAGGTTAAAAACTGGTGAAAAATATTTTAATGTAAAAGGAAAAACAAAAGTTCATGCATCTTTTTTAATGAGGAGCAAAAATAACTCCTTACCTGTTAGTGTTATTTTTAAAGTATATGATGAGTAATTTATTACCTGCTGCTACATATAGTGTCATAAAATATGAAAATACGACTAATAAGTGGGAAAGGAAATTTGTGCAAGTCAGCATTGCTGTAACTGAAAGAACTAGAGTTTATCCTGCACATATACTGGCAGTCTAATGTGAGTCTGAGGCAAATGAGAGAGCTCAATAAGACTGCATGTAAGTAGATATAGGATATTCTGAGAAATAAGAGGGCCTGGAAACCTAAGCCCCAGTTATAACACTGTTTCTATGGGAAAATATGCTACATAAATACCTTCTTTGAAACCAACTTTTGAAACCCTGCCGATTTGTAAGTTAGGGGCTAATGATATAAAATGATCACCTACTGATCTGTAAAATTCTCAGCACTAGTCTGTCATCAAGCATTTATTGAGTAACTGCTGGGTGAATTACGCTGTGATGAGCATAGCAGGGTGAAACAAAAGAAATAAAGGAGTGTTTCTGCCCTCAAAAAGCGTGCACCTCGTTGGAGAGAGAAAACCTGCATACAAAGCAACCTGAGAACTTTTACAATGCCTGAGCCCACAAAGCAAGAGGCCTGCAGGCAGCAGTGTGAAAGAGGGATGTGAGGCAAGTGTGGTTAATCAGGAAAATGTGAGGTTCCACTGGGAGAACATGTTCCCTGTTCGTTTGTAATCCCCCAGAGGCACACCAAAGACTCTCTCATTTTTCCTGGAGAGCCTCACACAAGCATGAAGCAGTAGCTGCGGTGAATGTCATATGATCCTGGCGTGCCAAGCAATTCAAAACTACAAATGGCATGTGGTATTACCTTATTAGGAAAGGTTCAGGCTTTTTTCCTCTTTCTGCTCCGTTTTTGTTGTTTAAAGGAAGATAGGTTGTTGGCAGGCTGGGCAGTGGGTACCTTCTGTACCCAGAGTTTCAGTTCTGAAGCACACCCTGGTGAATCATAGCCTTTCTGAGAGTGCCCAAGGTTTGGAGCCCAACTTTGTGTTTTTGTGTAAATTTCTGGGAGAGTCTGTAGATGGGACAGTTCCTAACCAGTGACTCAGCACCTGAGAGGCAGAGTCCTTACCTTATTTGTCAGGCAGAGCTGTTGCTTTTCATTTCTCTCCAGCCTTGAGGTCTCCAAAAGGGAGAAGGGAGATCAGGAGAGGGGAACAAGTTGTGGATAAAAATTCTCAGTCTGGGGCTGTGGTGCATCCCACTGGGAATGCCGATAGCCTGTGGAGATGGGCGTGTGGCTGAGGCTGCCTTGCCAGGTGAGGCATCCAGATCAACCAGTCTGTCCTGATTGGAGGCTCCTAAAATAAGCCCTTTGCTCTGTCGTGCAGGCTGCCTCTGAGACGTGCTTCCTGGGGGCAGCAATCAGCAAACAGTTGTACCCAGACCCTTCCTCCTGGTACTGTATTTTAGCTTTGAGAAGCACTGAATCCGTGTTACTATATATGCAGTGGGGGAAAGGATGACATTCCTCCTCAAAAGATTTACATCATCATCAGTAGCAGCAAACATTTATTGAGTGCTTACTGTGTTCCAGGCACTCCATATGCTTTGTCTCATTTAATTCCCTTTACAGCCTTGGAAGGGCTTTTTTATTATTAAAACTCCTAATACTGTTATCTTAAAATAATAATTTTACCCTAATGTAAAGTTCCATTTTGCAGGTGAAAAAAACAGAGGTTTAGGGAAAGGTTAAGCGACCTATCCATAGTCTCACTACGAGCAAATGACAAAGGCAGGATGCGAACCCAAATCTGTCTCCCTCCAAACTAAGTTAGCAGACTATTCTTCTTAGACACCTTTTTATTTGCGGTTACTATAAGTAATGTCTGTAGACCTTCTGCTTTATTCTCCTGCATTATTCAGGAAGAAATGGAGGGTTTGGTTGTTCCCCACCTCCTCCCCTCCAGGGGAGTGGGAAGAGGGAAAGTCCTTGGAAAATAAGTCAGAGATGATTTTTTTTTTTTTAAGGAGAGTTTGTAAGGGAAGTGTTGAGTTGGCCAACCGAAAGGGAGAGGCTATTCTGGACTTCACATGTGTTATGGAAGAATGCGTGGTAATGAGTGGGAGAAACAGAAAGTAAACCAGTACAGGGCAGGATCAAATAGAAGGAAATGTGATAGCAAAGAAAGGGGCAGTCCTGCCTCCAAAAGTAGCATGTTAATGATTAGCACTCTGCAGACTTTTCAGATCTCACATGCTCTCAGCAGTATTCAGAACTCCCTTGTTTGGGGGAGAGTTTTGCTTTCCAAAACACAAAACCATGACATTTAATTCTCAGTTTCTGTAGGGACTAGATGAAATCACCACTGGAAAAACAAGAATGGCAGTGCATGTTAATTATTTCAGGAACTCTTAGAGGGTGCGAATAAAACAGCTGCCATCCCAAAAGACGCTGCACTTCTTCCTCCACCCTCTCTTCTTATCCCCCCAAGCACGATTTCTGTTTTTTGTGCCCTTCTTGCTACTTCTTTTAAAGAACTCATATCCCTGTGTTTCACTGAAGAGAAAAATGCATGCAAGAGATTATTGTTATTTTTTTATAAAGCATGTTACATCTTCCCAGTAGCCTATGGTATGGTTTCAGGACTACTCTGATTTTTGTATCTGATTGACCTTTGATTGGTAGCCACCAAACTCTGGAAAGCCAGGAATTTCTTTCTTGATCTGTAACCAAACTTCCAAATGCCCAGAACTTCCACTCTTCAAAGGAAGCATATTACAAACAGAAAACTCCTTCGAAAAGTGAATTGTAGTCCACCCTTTAGGTTCTCTCCTTTCCCTGCCCCCACAAAAAGGAAAGTTCTTTATCTCTGCCCTCTGCCTTTCTCTCCCTGCCCCCTCATGCAGACTAACAGTCTCTTGTTCTGATATAGAATGTTCTGTAATTATTTGTCCTCTGAAGATTAGGATAATAAAACATTTCAGCCACCCTCTTTTGGGTTCCCACTTTGCCCCAGTGAATAGAACTGTGCCCCACCATCCTTCTCCTCATAGCCAGCAGCCTCAAGTCCCACAATAGCTCTGCCTTGGTACAGGGAGCCAACATTGTTTGCATAGCATACGTTCCTGGACAATTAGAAGATCCAGTTTAACCTTCAGAGCATCCCCATCAGTTTGTGGGTGTTTGTTCCGGGAAGAGGAGGAGAGATGGTGACTTTTGTGGTCCACACATGATGCTACCCACACACAAGTTCAAATCTTTAGAGATGAGCTGAAAATTGTGTTGCTAAAGTTCACATGTAAAATCAGACTTTTTAGGTACTTCAGTCTTTCTGTCCAGAAGCAGATAGCATTAATATTTGCTTCTTATAACACTACTTGCCCACCTCACTCTCATTAAGTGAAAGCTTTTTTAAAATAGCCCAATTTCATGTAAAATTAATATTCATTAATCAAGATACTGTAATAGCACACCTTTCTGAAAATACATTCTGGTTATGATTGGTGTCTGATGAGGGAGGCTTTAAAACTCTTACTCCAAAGATGATACAGTCTTGGGCCATCGAACACTCAATAGATTTTTTATGGGCTAGGCGCGGTGGCTCACGCCTGTAATCCCAGCACTTCCAGAGGCTGAGGCGGGCAGATCACTTGAGGTCAGGAGTTCGAGATCAGCCTGGCCAATATGGTGAAACCCCATCTCCACTAAAAATATAAAAATTAGCTGGGCATGGTGGCACACACCTGTAGTCCCAGCTACTCAGGAGATTGAGGCAGGACAATCACTTGAACCCGGGAAGCAGAGGTTGCAGTGAGCTGAGACCGCACCATTGCACTCCAGCCTGGGCAACAGAGCAAGAGTCCGTCTCAAAAACAAACAAACAAAAAGATTCTTTATGCTTTTAAAACTGCATGTTAGGAATTATTTGCAGTTTTGTGTGCATAAAAGTTGGATCCCAAAATGGTATCAGGAAAGATAGGAGTAACTAAGTTGAAACTCACCAGTTTTTCTTCTACTTATTTAGAGTGAATTATAGCATGGCCTCCACCACCAAAAAAGAAAAAAAAAACACACACTTTTAAAGTATATTATTTGCTTTAGGAATGTTTAGCTGCCTTTCACTTTCAAACTGGAATTTAAGCCTTCTACATCATTTTACCCCCTTTCTGTTGTCTCTTTTCACCTTTCCTTAGACTCTGAGAGAATAAATGTTTTAGAACTTTGGAATCAAAATAAAATGGCAACCTCCTTGAATTACTTACTAATACTCTCTGGGTCTTAAGCGTAATTTTTTGCACATAATTTAAAAATCAAAACACCAACTGGTGGATTTAAGCCAAACTCCCTATTTTTAGAACAGTATTTTTTAGATGGTAGATTTTATTTTAGACCACAGGGATGGAGAGGAATGAGGGAGGCTCCTGGGCACTTCTCCATCCCTTGGTGAAGAGCTGGTGTGACCACCTCCCCCGCCCCCATAGCTCCCTCCGAATGCCTTCCTCAGCACAAGCCACTTCCGTGCCTTCATGAGTTGATTGCTGAGAAGAAGGGATGTTACAGGCTTGCTTAGTTTAAAAAAAAAAGTATTTGGTAACTTTCTTTTTAATTCTGGTGAATTTAAGTGCTCATCGAGCTAGAGGGGAAAGTGGGGACTTTTTAAAAAATTAAGAATGGAAGAGAAACGTTTCTTTATTCTTGCAGGAATCAACTTAACTATGCCTTTGTCAGCAGGTAGTTTATTGGAGAGTCAATTAAAAAAGAAGGCTCTGGCCTTTAATTATCCCAGTTGGTATTCAGCTTTAGAAAGTCTGTGGACCTGCTGAGTATGTTAATTTAACAACTTTATAGTATCTTAACTCTGCCATTTCTCCACCCAAACCACCTCCCCAAAGAAAAGAATTTAGAGGAGTCAGATGATACAATACACCAAGAGCTTTAGTCCTGCATACCTTGTTTCTTAGGACTTTGGACTTTCATTAATATCTTTAGGTAAGTTTGTTTGCTTCTCATGTAACTTCAGAGTCATTTATTCATTGGTTCATGTATTCATACTTTCCACAAATTCGGTCAATAAGTATTTATTAAGTACTGACTCTTTAACAGTTGCAGGGATATAGACAGAGATGTCCTTGCTTTCAGAAACCTTAGCTTCTAGGGGGATGGAGAAACAAGTAACAAACAAGGAAAACTACATCAGACAATGATAGGTGCTACACGTCATTTCCACAAACATCTATTTATGTATTTATTTATTTTTTAGATTTTTACACTGACTTGGAAACCACAAATACTTACTAAGTATCCACCTGTTACCCAGCAAAGGAGATGCCTGTGGAGAGCCCTGTTTGCAAAGGGGCTCTAATGTTCCCTTTCTTACTTGCCCCCAACCCTGTGAAATAAGGGGACGGACACCATTTTCTCCATTTTAGAGAGAAGAAATAGAGATGCAAAGAAATAAAGCAGTTTTGTCCAAAGTTATAAAATTCGTATGTGGGAGAACCAGACCCTGTGGGGCTTGGATGCCATTTCTGGGCACTTTCCTTCCCAATGCCATGCTGCCTGGTCACCGGGGCAGCTTTCCACCTGGGAAGAAGCAGGGCCCAGAAGAGTGAAATGCCTTCTCCAAGTCACGCAGTAATTCATGTCAGATCTGAGACTAAAGCCCAGGACTCTTCCAAATGTATTCTTCACATCAACAATTCAGATGGAAAGCTATCAGGTCCCACAACAGTGTTTGTGGTGGGCTTGCTACATTGGCAACTGTGAAAGTTGATTTATATAAATTTTCTGTGATGACACATCTATTACCCTGGTTTATTTGTCGTCTGTGTATAAGTACCCATACAAGAGAAAGTTTTACATTTTTATTTATTTCACACACTTAAGTAAATATTTACCATGTGCCAAGCACTGTGCTAAACACTTTACAAATACTAATACATTCATTCCTCAATACAATCCAATAGGATAGGTGCAATTATTATTCGCATCTTACAGATATAGAAAGAGGTACAGAGAAAATAAGCGACTTGCCCTCAGTCATATAGCAAGTAGGTGGCAGAGCTGGTCAAACCCAGACATTCTGGCTCCAGCCTGTGAACTTAGCCACTACTCTTGGTTGTAGTTTTAAATAGGATCACATTCTCTCTTAGGAGATGTGCTGGGAGGGACAGAAGATTTGGAGGTAGAGATTCAAATGCCGGATCTACCCCTTGCTAAGTGTATAATTTGGTGCAGATGACCAAAGCTCGCTCTTCCCATCTGTAACATGGGACATGTTACATACTTTGTAGGGTTCTAGTGAGGATGAAATGAGATATTAATAGCATCTGCATGGCCTTTCACAAAAAAACCTGAGTCCTCCTAGCTCCTGCCCCATGAGTAGCAGTCACATATGTGTGATTCTGGAACCGGTGCCTTGTCTCTGTCCATTTCCATGGCGCTGCACTAAGACGTGGGCCCTCTCTGCAGACTATAAACTGGTGCTCCTTCTTACAAATGTTCTTCGTATATCTGAAAATCAGTTATTTAAAGAAGTGCCCGAGCACAGTGTAGGGCACAGTGGAGAGGAAACACCAGGGGTAGCCTCTGCCTTTCCTTGGACACCTGAGAATTTCATCTCAGGCTCTGGAGTTGCGGACAGCAGTTGGCAGTACAAAAACTCTGCTGTTTAACCCAGAACAATCTTGCTTAGTAGGCACCCGGGGAACCAGCATTTAAGAGCAAAAGTTTGGAGTTGATCTACCTAGGATCACATCCCAGCTCTATGACTTGCTAGCTGTAATTTACTTGATTTCTTCATGCCTTTGTTTCTCCATACATAAAGTGGGAATGATAGAAGTACCCCCTCATAGGGTTAGTGTGAAGATTAAATGAGGTAATTCTTGTGTAGCACCAGTACCTGGTACATAGGAAGCATCCAGTAAATACTGTTACATTTATTGTTCGTACTGTCATCATCACTCAAGCAATGCCCTTTGAGGATTCTCTTCCCCACGCACACACACACAAAAACTCACTCAAAGGAACACACCCAAGTGGCTTACTATGTTATTTCTACTAACCGTTTTCAGCACTTCACTGACAAATAAATACCATTTTCTCTATTGTGATATATTTCCAGAAAATTGTTTAACATGCAACTAACATTCTCAATCTCTTAAAGACCAATATCCTTGTAAAAAGCTGGATGACTGGTCTGCCTCATAACTTACCTCCTGCTTATAAACACAAAGAATTCAGTTTATTGATGAATAGAAATATAGAAGTGTCTTAAGCATTACAGCAGCCTAAATTAATTGCTCTTTGAGTTTCTGAAGTTTTAAAAATATATGCCATAAATAGGGCTTTTTCAGGGGAGGTAGGGGGCAGTCAGGAAGCAAATTCAAATGGAGGCAGGTGTGAGTAAACCCAAACTGTCTTGTTTCCCTGGGTCTTACTTTGCAAAATCCCTGTATGCAAAGGCATTCTGGCCTGTCACGGTCTTTATCTAATCTAGGCTTTTCTGAGTTTCACTCTTCTGTTGCATTTGGCGGTATTAGCAGCAGATAAAAATTCTCTGTCATTTGCTGTATGGAGACATTTATGCTATGAGGTTAGATGCAGTTTTTATTGTTACCAAAGATGTATTGCATTTTGTTATATTTGTTGTTTTTATGTTATTTTGCCTACCCAGCTGACAGTAGCATGAAGAACCTTGCTTCTGCTTCAGGTACTAGCTTCAGTGCATACTAAATCTTGACACTGAGATTTCAAGATTCAAATTCCTAAAACACTAGATAGCATTTCATTCTCACCCAGCTGCCCCTACTCCTATTCTCCTAGGCTGCAGATCCCGGAAGGTGGCTTCATGGTAACACTCTAGAAATGTTATTCTTAGTGAACCCAGTGTAACTGAATTTTTTACTAAGCAGTCAAAAAGAAACCTTTATTCTTCCTGATTAGTAAGTAGATAGCTTGTATCTTTACTCTTCTAATAAGGTAGTGTATTCTAAACACCAGTATTTTGTATGCCACCATCAGAGGATTTATCAGACCTGCATACCATCTAGTATCAGATGTTTAGTGTTTTTCTTTAAATCCATTTTAAATCAACTCACTTTTTAACTTATCCTTGTGTCAATATCATCCATAAAACCACTAGTTTGATGTGTAATTATCTTTTTCAAATAAACATGAGCTATTTCTATTAAAATAAATGTATGCCCATATACCACCAGAAATCATTATATGTTTCCAAGAATGGAAAATTGCATTATTTGATGTAGAAAGCAGTCAAGTGGTATAATTTGCCAGTGATCTTCCACTGAAATTTAGTGACTTTATTTATAATAAAAATATTTCTTTCTCTTTTTTCAGATAGCTTATATCGCTTTATACACACTGTTTTTTGCCACTTTTCTTCAGCTTCTTTGGACCCTACCTGTCATTTCAGGCCCCCAAATTTATTCTTCTTTTGAGATAATAATCGTACTTATCTCATAGAGTAATTGTGAGAACGAATGCTTTGAGCACAGTGCCTGCCACAGAGTTAGAGCTATAAGCTTCTCTTTGGTCTATGTGGGAGTTTTCTTCCCAGGTGAATTACCAGATCCTTAGGGCCAGAGAATTCCTGAATTCTCTGTGAGTATATAGTGTAGTAACTTGCCTCTAGAAAATACCAACATATATTTATTAAATTATTAAAGATTAGATTGTTTTAGAGTAGGTCAGGGGAAATAAACAGAACTTGGGTCATGAGAATAAAACATTTCTTGATATTGATTGATTAATGCACATTGTGGTGGATGAGTCTTTTTGTGAATGTTGTGAACATTTACTTAGATCATTTCTAAAAGGGTGCTAGAGAATCTGCCGGTTCACCCTAATTGATGCCCCCTCTAAGTAGCAAAGCAGAAGAACCAAAATTCAGTCTCAGCACTTTAAAGGTTTTGATTCCTAAACTTGGTGTTGGTCCCACTGCCTGCTTGAAACATTGAAACAACTTTCCAAAAAATGACTTACCCCACGGTCACAGCCTCAGCCACCTGTGGGCCCAGGCAAGTAGAGCAATGCAGCAGGTGAGGCCAGGCCATATCCAAGTGCATCTGCTACTCAGCTCCAACTGAGCAGCCACATGGGAATGTGCTTTATGTAAAGAAGCCAGAAATCTGGATTTTTATGTGAAAACTCCCAATTTCTGAATGTTAGCTCCATGAAAAAAATAATAATAATTCTCTGTAGGCCAAATAAAACAGGTCTGCAAGCCAAATTCAGTCCTCCAAATGCCAATTTGGGACTTTTGACTTAGACTTTACTTCCTTGATCCAATTCTAGAGCTTTTTCAAGTTATACAGTATTTTTAAATAATTTATTCTAGTATCAAACAGCTAGCTTAATTGTTATAGACTCAAAGATGGTGGAATTAAAGACCTTTGATGATCAGTTTCTGTTTGGGGTGATCCCAGCCCCTCCAGAATCTGAGAATGAGCTGTTAACCCTAAACATAGCCATCAGTCCTTCCCCTCTTGGCAAACAGAGGAAACAGATGCCAGGCAGTTAATAGCACTGGTAGCTGGTGAGGGACTTTGGATAGAATATGGTGAACTTTCTTCCAGGGTCAGTGCATTTTTGTAGCACAAGGAGGAACAGCTTGGAGGAATTAAGTCCATGTAGTCTGCACATGTCAGTGACCTTACACAAGAAGGCGGTGGCCATGAAGTCCAGGTGTGCAATCAGAATGGCCAGGAACTCTGACGTGTTTATTTCTCCCAAAGGCCAGAGAAGCTTTAAAAAGCAAACAAAACCTTAAGTTGTAAAAAATGCTTTTCAGTTCTTGCCACTAATCTTTAACTTAAGAAGCATTTCTCTGTCACGTGTCCCCAGTCTGTATTTTATAAAAATGAACTGAGGTTCAAATTAGGTAATAAGCTGTCTGATTAATGCATGACCTTTATATATACACTGAAATAGAAACAAATGGGAAGAATAGTTTTGGGGAATAGTTTTATTCTTTAGTTTGGGTTTTTTTTTAAGAACTAGTGGATAAAAATATAAAACATAGATGATTCCCTGTTCATTCATATTCATGGTTGTAACAGCAAAAATACCATAAATTGGATGGCTTATAAACAACATTTATTTCTCACAGTTTTGGAGCAGTGGAGATCCAAGACCAAGGCTCTAGCAGATTCGATGTCTGGTGAGGTCCTGCTTCCTCATACACGGTGCCTTCTTGCTATGTACCACAAGGTGGGAATGGCCAATTAGCTCCCTTGAACCTGCTTTATAAGGGCATTAATCCCACTCATGGAGGCTCCACCCTCATGATCTAATCACCACCTCCTAATACTGTCACCATGGGGTTAGGATTTCAACATATGAATTTTGGGGAGACACAAACATTTAAACCGTAGCAATTATATATGTAGTAAATTTTAGAATGAAGCATGATCTTTCCTTACTCCAGATCAGGGATTGGCAAACTTGTTCTGTAAAGGGCCAAATAGTAAATAGTTTAGGCTTTGTGGGCTACACAGTCTTTATCACAACTGCTTAACTCTGCCATTGAAGGGCAAAAGCAGCCATGGGTAATACATAAACAAGTGAGCATGCCTATGTTCTCATACAACTTTATTTACAAAAATCATCAGCCAACTGGATTTGGCCCACTGGCTGTAATTTACAGACCCCTGCCCCAGATCAGCAGGGAAGAAATATAGGAGACTTGTTCTATTTTTAATTGTTTTTATAGTTCAAACAACAGTGGTAAGAGTATTCATAGCCCTGTATAGCGAATTAATTCATTTGTGTATGTTCTGCTCATTCTTTATGCACTTTGTATATAATCTTATATACTCTGTGAGTAGCACGGGTAAAACTATACATTTTTTACTTAATGTAATATCCTAAACATATTTTATATAGCAATACAATCTTGAAAAATCATGCCTTCAGTGGTATATTTATCCAGCTGGCGTGCCGTAATTTATCCATGCCTGTGTTTTGTGAATTTTTATTGTTCATTTTTAATTTTTCGTTAAATAATACTGTAGTGAATATCTCTATACACATACTTTGGATTATTTCCTTAGGATAAATTCCCTGTGTTCAGATTATTTTTGAAAAGGATGGAAAAGCAGCTTTAAAACAGAGTTGTAAATATTTTCCGGCCCATTGTGGAGTTCTAGTTTCACAGTGGCTTTCCTGGCTGGGTTAGGTTTAAATTAAGCAGGTCATTTGGTCTTCAGATATCTGAACTCACTATGTCTGGTTTATGCCCAGCTCTGATCTGCTCTGGTTTGTAGGAGTAAGAACATAACTCTTCCCTCAACCCTGAAGTTCATCTGTCAGATATTTTGAGTACTCATGAGTACATTTCTAACTTACAAGTACACTGCTTTGACGCAGGCTCTTCCTTTGAAGATGTAGCTCATGAACACCACTTTCAAAAAGCTATCTCTGATCCCAGGACAAGATAGAGCCCCTATTCTGTGATTTTCCAACGTAGCTGTCCCAATACTTTTCATCAGTTGTGTGATGTCAGCCTGCCCTCTGTCTTCTGTCTCTATATGGGACCTACCACATAGTAGGCGTTCAATAAACTTAAATTGAGTGAAGATCATACCGGTCATTGTGATCAACTCTCTGCGGATATCACCTTGAGGGAGAGGATTTCAGAACAGGAAGAATCTTTGGGGCCTGAGCATTTGGGTGAATGGTATTACCATTTTAGAGATGGCGAATGCCACAGGAGGAAGGATTTTGACAGGCATACAGGGTGGGATCCAGAGATTTCTACATATTAAGTGTGTTGTTGCTGGGGTTTTTTTGTTTTTGTTTGTTTTAATTGACAGATTCTCACTCTGTTGCCCAGCCTAGAGTGCAATGGTGCAATCTTGGCTCACCACAACCTCCGCCTCCTAGGTTCAAGCGATTCTCTTGCCTCAGCCTCCCAAGTAGCTGGGACTACAGACGCCTGCCACCACGCCCAGCTAATTTTTGTATTTTTAGTCATGATGGAGTTTTACCATATTGGCCAGGCTGGTCTCGACCTCCTGACCTCAAGTGATTTGCCCACCTTGGCCTCCCAAAGTGCTGGGATTACAGGCATGAGCCACCATGCCCAGTCCCATTTCTGTTGTTTTAAAAGCCAAGGTGTTGCTGTGTTGCCCAGAATGGAATGCAGTGATACAATCATACTTCACTATAACCTTGAACTCTTAGGCTCAAGCAATCCTCATGCCCCCAGCTTCAGGAGTAGCTAAGACCACAGGCACATGCCATCATGCCCAGCTAACCTTTTCAATTTTTTGTAGTGACAGGTTCTGTGTATGTTGCCCAGGCATGTCTCAAACTCCTGGTCTCAAGTGATCCTCCCGCCTCCCAGAGTGCCGGGATTGTGGGTGTGAGCTACCATGCCTGGCCTACACGTGTAAACTTTGAGATGCATTTTAGATATCCAAGTGGAATGTTGAGAGGTCAGGTAGAGATTAGAGACCAGAGCTCCAGGGGGAGGTTGAAGCTGGAGATAAACAGAGGGGAGGGCTCAGGATCGTTGTTAAAGACTTGATATAGACCAAAGCTCAGTGAGGACAGTGACTGAGTCTATTTATTCACCTCTATATACCTAGGACAAGCATTCAGTTATGTATATCTAATCAATAAATTAATCTGTGGCTATTGTTGCACAGTGATTGTGATTTAGTACAAAACGAAATCACTAACTGATAATTTGCTTTATTGTTCAAAACAAAAAAAATTGAAATCTGGTATGTAGTTTCTTAGAAATAATTTGCTAATAGGGCTGGGCACAGTGGTGCATACCTGTAATCACAGCACTTTGAGAGGCTGAGGTGGGCCCAGGAGTTCAAGACCAGCCTGGGCAACATGACGAAACCCCATATCTACCAAAAAACAAACAAAAAATAGCCTGACATGGTGGCGCACACCTGTCCCAGCTACCCAGGAGGCTGAGGTGGGAGGATCATCTGAGCCTGGGAGGTTGAGGCTGAAGTGAGACATGATCGTGCCACTGAACTCCAGCCTGGGTGACAGAAAAAAAAAGGAAAAGAAAAGCTTTTATAATAAAGCTTGACACTGAAAAGAATCTTAGAGGCCATTTAATGCAAAGGTTCAAAGTGTGCAGGCAAGGAATGGTAAGGGGAGTGGACAGTTTATTGCAAAGGGTGAGCCCTTGTTTACAGGGGCCACATATTGACAATAAACTGAGTAACAATGTCTTAAATGTAATGGCACCACTCTTGTTAAAGTATATGAAGATGTTGTTGCAATTAATAAAGAGAACATTTTTGTTAATTTCTTGTTATTATGTATTTTCATAACCAGTAGGCTCCAAAAAGACAGCTATCTTTGGAGCAGGGAAAAGCTAGTGCTTATACATTTAAAAAAAAAAAAGAAAGTCTTCATATTGAAAAGAGGAGGAAACACTGATCTAGTCCAAGCTCTTTGTTTTACTGATGCAGAAAGGGAAAGGGAAGGGGATTGAGTAACTTGCATAAATTACACAGTTAACCAACTAACAGCTGAACCTAGATAGACCCTCGGTTTCTTGACCCTGGGCCCAGAGCTCTTCTTACCATCCATGTGACTGTTTATCTTTCAGAACCAACTTTCTTCAGGCCAATAAATGAGGTATTGCCTTAGAACAGAAATCATTTATATTTGGCCATGGAATTATATTAATGATTTATTTTTATAATGATTAATTATGAGAATTATAATTAGACTTTGCTTTAGCTAGTTTCAAAATCCATTTATAATCCCCTAAGCACAGGCCATTTGGCAATGCAAAAGACTAAGTAGCCCAAGAAGGGTTGATGAAAGTATGATTTTTAATTTGCAGTAGATAATTTACCTAATGAGTACTACTTATATAGAAAATTAAGACTTGGTTTTAGTTGCAAACATCATTTTAAGGAAGCTTAGCAGCCTACGTGGAATTTCAGGAGTGGACACATCTGAATATCCACAATTCTTGGTTTATATTCAGGCTGCACAACTTTAGTACCTATATGATGTTGGCCATGCTCACTCACTCCTCCAACCCTCAGTTTACACATCTGCAAAATGAGATACTTCTTTTCCAGTGTTGCTGTGGACATTAGCAGGCACACACATTTGGTGCTTGCACAAATGAGGTCCTAAGAGGTGGGTCCCTCTCATCTTACGTGAGGAAACTGAAGCAGATTAGAAATGACCCAAGGAAACCACTCCGAGTTCAGTCTGGAGCCCACTCCCCTAGGTTTTAATCATCCCCCAACTCAGTCCCTATCTGCTGAGGTTCCTGGATCCAGACGGTTCTTACCAAGGAACTGTCTGTCCCCACCACATGGATGGTTTTCCTGGCAGAGGTGTGCCCTGTGAGGGGGTCACTGCTCCTGGGGTTGGCATCGTGAGGCTGAGCCTGCAGGCTGCACAAGTATGTTCCACTGAGAGGCTGCCCTGGTGACTCCATTACTCACGCATCCCTGCCACACAGTGCAGCTGGGCCGTGGCCCCAGCACAGGGTTCATTTACATAGCTGCACAACAGGAAGCAGTCTAGTGTTTAGAGCTGCCCTGGCCCACTGAGAGCAAATTGTTTCAGGTGCTGTGGTGTGGGTTCTGGAACTGTGGGCTGTGCCTTTGGCGTCCACGTTAGCATCAGGAAGCAGTAGCCTTCTACTGCAACATTCTCCCTGCCTGCTGCTTGGTTCGGGGGTTGGGATTTTTGTTTTGCTTTGGTTGTTGTACACTCTCACGCTTGGCAGGCACAACCGGAAGAAGAGGTGGGCGTTGTGTCAGGCTGGGAGGGAGTGCCTTTGTGGAGCCAGGGTTCCTAATGAACAGACTCCTAGTTCTTCTCCCACAGTTCCTGCAAGTGAAATGGCAGATGTATGAGTCACTTCATAAGATGGGAACAGGAAGACATCCTGTTGATGCCAAGCCATTTTCAGTTCAGTGATGAGAATCTACCCCCCGCAAGAAAGTGTGTTTGTATCTTCCTCCTTTCCCCAGTGCAGAGGGGGTCAGCACCTGGCTCTTTCCCTTGTGAGAACTCCTCCACTTGGTTTAGCGCCCAGGAAATCAGCCCTGTCTTTCATTTGCATCTGTTATGTTATCAGAAGATCCTCTTTGCCAAAGATACTTTCTGTCTGAACTATTTTTAAAAAAATATTTTCCCTTGTTTTTTCCTTCTTTAGAATAATATTGTACTCTGTGATGGTTTAGGATTTTCTTTCATGGAAGAATTTTTTTATGTTTTTCTCACAGGAGCTTCACTGTTGTTAGTGAAGATCACTCAGAAATTATAGTATTTACAGTGATTCTCTGCCCCTTTTAATTGAATTCTCATAGTTCCTTTCTTAAATTAT